>NC_000007.14:64627991-64931021 GCF_000001405.40 Homo sapiens
GATGTGGCTTTCCTCTATTACCTGAACTCTGCCCATAAGAAAGATTGTGATATACCTCTGGGTCCAGCACTGAGATGTTGGCACTCTTCTCCTTGCCTGTGCCATGCCTACAGAAATGAAAGTGACTTATCACTGTGTCCAGCGAACACATGATGTGACTCTTCTGCCTGGCCTATGCCCACAGGAATTATTGTGACATACCTCTAGGCTCATCACCTAAATAATATGACTCTCCTCTTTTTTCTTAAATCTGTCCACAGTGGGGATTATCACACATTGCTTTGCCCAGCAGCTATGTGATGTGACTCTTCTCTTATGCATGAGCCCTGCCCTCTGGGCCAGTGATGACATAGAGCTGGGCATAATCTTTAGGTTATGTAACTGTTCTTTCTCAGCCCTATCCAAAAGGAGTATTGTGACATATCTCTGAGCTCTTCACCAAGGTAATGTGACTCTCCTGCCCAAGCTGCTTCCTCATAAGGTATTGTGACATATTGCTGGATCCAGCAATAGGTGATATAAACCTACTCATCTACTTGGGTCTGCCTAAGAAAGAATTGTGATGTATTTCTGGGCCCAGCACCTAGGTGATGTGATTCTCGCCTCCTGCCTGTGCCCTGAATACATTATGTGTTGTGATATATGGCTGGGCCCAGCACTTAAGTGATGTGACATTCCTCTTTAGCCTTGGCCTTGCATATTTTGAGTATTTGTGACATATCATTGGGCCCAACACTGAGGAGATAGAAAGATATTGCCTGTGCCCTTACCACAGGGGACCTTGTGACATATCTCTCCATCTATTACCTAGGAGATATGGCTCTGCTCTTTAGCCTGCACCCTGCCCACAGAGAAAATTGTGACATATTGCTGGGCCCAGCAACTGAGCGATGTTACTCTCTTGCTTGGTTCTTGCCCAAAGGGAGCATTGTGAAATATTCCTGGCCTAACACCCAGCTGATGTGACCCTTCTGCATGCTCCCGATTCACAGGTAAGATTGTGAAATACACCTTGGCCCAGTTCACAGCTGCGATGATGACTCTGTTACCTTGAACCAGCCAGTTAAAGAGACACTGTGTCTTGTAACCAAAACAGCATGGTACTGGTAGAAAAACAGACACATAGGCCAATGAAACCAGAAGAGAAAACTCAGAAATAAGACTGCACATTACAATCATCTGATCTTTGACAAACCTAAAAAAACAAGCAATGGGGAAAGGATTACTTATTTAATAAATGGTTCTGGGAGAACTGGCTAGCCATAAGCATATAATTGAAACTGGACCCCTTCTTTACACCTTATACAGAAATTAACTCAAGATACATTAAAGACTTAAATGTAAAACCCAAAACTATAAAAATCCTAGGAGAAAATCCAGGCAATACCATTCAGGACATAGACATGGGCATGGGCAAAGATTTTATGAAAAAAACATCAAAAGCAACTTCAACAAAAGCAAACATTGACAAATGGGATCTAATTAAACTAAAGAGCTTCTGCACAGAAAAAGGAACTATTGTCAGGGTGAACAGACAACCTACAGAATGGCAGAAGCCTTTTGTAATCTATCCATGTGACAAAGATCTAATATCCAGAATCTAGAAGAAACTTAAACAAAAATTTTTAAAAAGAAACTCCATCAATAATTAGGCAAAGGACATGAACAGACACTTCTCAAACGAAGACATTTATGTGGCCAACAAACATTTTTAAAAAGCTTAACACCACTGATCATTAGAGAATTGCAAATCAAACCACAATGAGATACCATCTCATACCAGTCAGAATGGCAGTTATTAAAAAGTCAAGAAACAACAGATGCTAGCAAGGCTGTGGATAAATGGGAATGTTTTTACACAGTGGGAATATAGATTAGTTCAATCATTGTGGAAGACACTTTGGCAATTTCTTAAAGACCTAGAACCAGAAATACCATTTGACCCCGCAATCCCATTACTGGGTATATACCCAAAGGAATATAAATTATTTTATTACAAAGATACATGCATGTGTATGTTCACTGCAGCACTATTCACAATAGCAAAGACATGGAATCAATCCAAATGCCTATCAATGTTAGACTGGATAAAGAAAATGTACATATACACCATGGAATGCTATGCAGCCATAAAAAGGAACAGGGTCATTTTCTTTGCAAAGACATAAATGGAGCTGGAAGCTGTTATCCCCAGCAAACTAATACAGGCACAGTAAACTAAACACCACATGTTCTCATTTATAAGTGGATATGAGCAATGTGAACACATAGACACAAGTTGGGAAACAACACACACTAGAACCCGTCTGGCAAAGTGGGTAGAGGGAGAAAATCAGGAAAAATGGCTAATGGATGCTGGGCTTAATATCCAGGTTATGGGTTGATAAGTACAGCAAATCACCATGGCAACATTTACCTATGTAACAAACCTGCACACTCTGCACGTGTACCCAAGAACTTAGAAAATTATTAATTTTTTTTTAAAAAAAGAGAGAGAGAGACACTGTATTTTATAGCTAGGCTTAGAAATATGTGTAAGATTCTGGGTCTCCTCTTTGTACAGAGCTCATAGAAAATCATCACTTTCTCACATATGGTGTAAAGCCCTCTGGTGGTACAGGGAGTGTCATTACAGGGCCCAGGACACAAGTGAGATATTGTTTCTCATATGGACACCCTTCCAACTGTTAGGAATGTCACTCTCACAGAGCCTCCTGTTGAGTTCCTAAATCTCACACGTGAACGCAGTTCAAAGTTGGAATTCTGACAGCCATATGTAAACATCTGGCCCAGTTTGGATGGTGACTCATTTATCAACCCAGCTTATAGGCAGGTAAAAACTCTCCTATCTGGACCCAGCCAATTAAGGAGATGTTGACTGTAATACCTGGGCTTAGGGCCACAGGTAGAATAATGTTTCCATACCAGCACGAAGATTCTAGAGTAAATTGTGACTCTCATGCATACTGTATAAAGCTGTTGAGTGTCATAACAGGGAACAGCACATAGATGAGATTGTGACACTTATATTCATACCCAGCTGACAGAAAAATTGTCATTCTTCCACATAGACATAGCTCACTGTGGAGGCTCTGAATCTCACACCAGGAGGCAGGTAAAAGTTGGAAAATGAACTGTTACTTATATGTGGATCTGGTCTACAGGTAGGTTGGTGACTCTCAGACCAAGGTTCAGCACACCTATAAAGGCTGTGACTTCACTACAGAGACACAGTCCATAGGAAGGATTGAGGCCCTCATGCAGAGATCCAGTTCACCATTGCGACTGTGGCTCATGCACACAGATTTAACATTCAGGAGACAGTGCCTCCTATACCTAGAACTAGGGCATGTGCAAGATAGATTGTTCATCTTATCCCTGGAGCTTCCTGCAGGTATGATTGTGATGTATGCCTCTGCTCAGCATTTGAGTGACTTAATACTCTTGCCTGCCTCAACCAACAAATGGGGTTGTTATGGATTTTATGTGACTCTCTTGCCTGTGCCCTGCCCACATGGGCAATTGTGATGTATTTCTGGGTTCAGAACCCAGGTGATATTACTCTCCTGCCTGGTTCCTGGCTACATAGGACATTGTGATATATCACTGCAGCCATCACCAAGGTGATGTGAGTCTCTCCTCCTGTCTGGTTTCCACTCACAGGGGTAATTGTGACCTATCACTGGGTCCAGCACTGAGGTGATTTTATTATTTGCATCTTACTGGGTTCTGCCCACAGGGAAGACGGTGACATATCACTTTGCCCAGCACCAAGGTTACATTACTCTGCTGCACTGGCCCTGCTTTCAGAAGGCATTGTGACATATTGCTGGGCCTTTCACTTAGATAAGACGACTTTTCTCTCCTGCCTTGGTGCTTCCCACAGAGGGAACTGTGACATATTACTGGGCCACACCACCAGCTTATGTGACTCTCTTGCCAGTGTTCTGCCCATGTGGGCCATTGTGACATTTGGCTGGGTCCAACACTTAGGTAATGTAACTCTCCTGCCTGGGTTCTACCTAGAGAGAGCATTGTGACATCTCTGCATCCATCATGCAGGTTATGTGACTTCTTTTCTACCTGATCTCAGCTCCGAGGGGCATATTGTGCCATATTATTTGGTTCAGCAACTAGTTGAAATGATTCTTCTCTTCTTCATAATTTCTGCCCTCAAAAGAGATTGTGACATATTGCTGGGCCCATCACTAAAGTGACATTACTCTTTTACTTTGCCCTCAGAAGGTATTGTGAAATAATGCTGGGCCAAGCACCAAGGTGATATGAGTCTTCTGTCTTGACCTTGGTCACATGAAGCATTGTGACATATCTCTGGGCCCATCTACTATTTGATGTGACTCTCCTTTTTTACCTGGTATTTGCCCATAGGAAAGATTATGGCATATCTCTAGGTCCAGCACCTAGGTGATGTGACTCTTCTCTCCTGCCTGGGCCATGCCCACTGAAGTGAGAGTGACTTTATCTCTAGGCCCAACACACAGATGATATGATACTTCTGTCTGGTCCCTGCTCACAGAGGTCATCATGACATACCTTGTATACCTTGGGGCTATCACCTTGATAATGTGACACTCCTCTTTTTCCTGGGACCTGTCCACAGTGGTTGTTGTGACATATTGCTTTGCCCAAGACCTGATTCCATAGTTTATGCTACTCTCTTCTACCCTAAACCTTACCCATGAAGAAAATTGGGACATATTTCTGGACCCCTCACTTAGGTATTGTGACTCCTGCCTGGGCCATCACCTCTGGTGGTATTGTGCCATATGGCTTGACCCAGCACCTCAGCGATGTAACCCTCCTATAATGCTAGAGCTCTTTCCAGGCAGAGTGTGATTTATTGCTAGTGAAGCACTCAGGTATGTACCTGTTCTCTCCTTCCTGGGACCCGCATTTGTTGGTTATCGTGACATACCACTAGGTCCAACACCCTGCTCGCAGGGGTATTATGTGTCTTTTCATTCATCACCTAGGTGATATGAAAACTCTGCCCTTGCTCTCCCAAAATTGGAGATTGTGACATATCATTGGACCCAGCACCTAGGTGATGTGACCCTGGTCTTTTGCCTCAGTTTAGTATATTTTATGTATTGTGACATATTACTGGGCAAAACACCTAAAGGATGGGAGGCTCCTGCCTGAGTCCTGACCACAGGGGGTCTTGTGACACGTTTCTTCATCCATCAACTATGCGATGTGACTATTAATCTCTGCCTTGGTTCTGCCAAAAAAAAAGAATTGTCATTAGACCCAGCAATTTGTAACGTGACTCTCCTCTCTTTTCTGGACCCTGGATACATTGTGTATGGTGACATTTGGATGGGTCAACACCGAAGTGATCTGACTCTTGAATGGCCTCTTCCCACAGAAGTATTATCGCATAAATTTTCTTTCATCACCTAGATTGAATTGTTAATCTAATCCCTTGATCTTGCTGAAAGTGTGATTGTGAAATATGCCTCTCCCCAGCACCTGAGTGATTTGACTCTCCTGCCTTGGCCCAGTCCACAGATAGCATTATGACATGTTGCTGAACCCGGCACCTAGGAGATGTGACTTTATTTTCCTGCCTTGGTACTGCCCACAGTGAGTATTGCGACACATAGCTTGACCTTGCACCCAGGTGATGTGAGTCTCCCCTCCTTTCTTAGCATGGCCCACTGGCAGCATTGTGACATATTGCTGGTCCCCACACCCAGGTTGTGTGACTCTCCAGCCTGTGCCTTGCCCACATGGATCACTGGGACATATTGCTGGGTCTAACATCCAACACACGGGTCACTGGGGCCTATTGCTGGGTTCAACATAAAGGCAATTTAACTCTCCTGCCTGAGTCCCACCTACAGGGGACATTATGACATATCTCTATGCCAATCACCCAGGTGTTATGACTCTCTTCTCCTACCTTATCCCTGTTCACAGTGGGGATTGTGACATATCACTAGGCCTAGCACCTAGCTGATGTGACTCTTCTCTTTTTTCAAGGTTGTGTCCACAGGAGCGATTTTGATGTATTGCTGGGCCGAACACAAAGGTGATGTAAGTTTTCTGCCTTGGCCCTACCAAAAGAAAGCATTGGGACATATTGGTGGACCCAGAACCAAGGTGCTGTGAGTCTCCTACCTGGATCCTGGCTGCAGGAAGCATTGTGCCATATCTCTGCACTCATCAACTATTTGGTGGAGTGCTCTTCTCTTGCTTGGGCTTATCCCATTGGAGATATTGTGATGTATCTCTGGGCCCATCGCCTAGATTACATGGCACTCGTTTTCTTCCTGGGACCTATCCACAGTGAAGATTGTGACATATCGGTAGACCCAGCACCTACATGATGTGACTTTCTTCTCATACTGGGGTCATGCCCACTGTGGTGATTGTGACATATAACTGGGCCCAAACCCTTGGTTTTGTGACTCTCCTTTTTTTCTGAGCCCTACACAAAGAAAAAATTAGAACACGTATATGGGCCCCTCCCTAGGTGATATGACTCTCTCCTCTCTTGCCTAGCCATGCCCACAGAAGTGAGAGTAACTTATGACCAGCACACAGGTGATGTGATTCTTCTGCCTGGTTCTTGCTGACAGGAGTCATTAAGACATGTCTCTGGGCCTATCAGCTAGATGATGTAACTCTCCTTTTCTTCATGAGACCTGTCCACAGCAGGAATTGTGACCTATTGCTGAGCCCAGTGCCTGTGTGATGTAACACTCCTCTCATTCTCTGGCTCTTCCAACTAGAATGATTGTGACATGAAGCTGGGCCCAGACCCTAGGTTATGTGACTCTTCTTTTCTTACTGAGCCTTACACATGGAGAAAATTGCAACATATTATCGAGCCCCTCACCTAGGTGGCATGACTTTCATGACTAAGCCATTCACTCAGAGGGGTATTGTGACATATTTTTGCACACACACTGATGTGATGTGACTCTCCTCCTTTGCTTAGGCCCTGTCCAAGGAGGTATTTTGATGTATCACTGGGCCCAGTACCCAGGTTATTTGACTCCCCTCTTCTGCCTGGGCCCTGAATACATTGTGCATTGTGATGTATGGCTGGGTCCAAAACATAGATGATGTGGCTCTCCTCAATGGACTTTGCCCACAGAAGTATCAGAAGAGATTAAAAAAGAGATTAAGGCCGGGCATGGTGGCTCATGCCTGTAATCCCAGAACTTTGGGAGGCCGAGGCAGGCGGATCATGAGGTCAGGAGATCGAGACCATCCTGGCTAACACGGTGAAACTCTGTCTCTACTAAAAAATACAAAAAATTAGCCGGGTGTGGTGGCTGGCGCCTGTAGTCCCAGCTACTCGGGAGGCTGAGGCAGGAGAATGGTATGAACCTGGGAGGCGGAGCTTGCAGTGAGCTGAGATCAAGCCACTGCACTCCAGCCTGGGTGACAGAGCGAGACTCTGTCTGAAAAAAAAAAAAAAAAGAGATTAAAATCTCTTAATTCTACACCTAGGCGATTGGACTCTTCTTTTATGCCTGGGCACTGCACACAGCTGAGATTGTGACCTTCATATGCATGCCCAGCCAACAGTATAAACTTCTTTCCTTCCACGTAAACAGCCCACTGTTGAGGTTCTGAATCTCACACCCAAAGGCAGGGAAGTGGGGAAATCGACTCTCATATGTAGATTTGGTTCACATTTGCGTTTGTGACTCTTAAATCAACATTTAGCAAACCTGTGAGGCCATCACTCTACTAAGAAGACACAGTCCACAGGATGGATTGAGGCTCTCATTCTTTGGTCCAGTCCACCATTGAGACTGTGACTCATGTAGTTATACCCAACATGACATTTCACTGTGCCGAGCACCTAGCTGATGTGACTCCTTTTATTTCTGGGTTCTGTCTCCAGAGAAGATTGTGAAATATTGCTAGGCCTTTCACCTAGATGATGTTACTGTCTTACCTCGGCTCTTTCCTCAAGGAATATCGTGACATATTGCTGGACCTAGCATCTAGGTGATCTGACTCTTTTCTGTTGCTAGGGATCTGCCTAAAAAAAGGATTTAGTTGTATTGCTGGGCTTAACACCTAGGCAGTGTGACCCTCCCCTCCCACCTGAGTTCTTCATACATTGTGTATTGAGACATAGGGTCAGGTCCAACACCTAGGTTATGCAACTCTCCTTGATGGGCTCTGCCCTTAGGGGTATCTTTTTATTCATTGCCTAAGTTATGTGACTCTCCTTTTCTGCCAGAGCTTTGCCAGAAGTGGGGATTGTGACATATAACTGGACCCAGCACCTCGGTAATATGACTGTTCTTGTTTTACTGGCCTGAGCATATTTTGGGTACTGTGATATATCTCTTAGCCCAACACCCAGGGGCTGGGAGGCTTCTGCTTGGGCCCTGTCCACAGGGGGCCTTTTGACATATTTCTGCATTTATCACCTAGGAGATGTAACTCTTCATTCTGCCTGAACCCTGGCCACGAAAAAAAAATCGTGACAGATTTTTTAGGCCAGTAACCAGGTGATGTGAATTTCCTCTCCTACCTAGGCACTGCCCATAGGGGGCACTGTGACATATCACTGGGCTCCACACCCAAGGTATGTGATTCTTCTGCCTGTTCCCTGCCCACATAAGGCATTATAACATGTTATTTAGTCCAAAACCCAGGTAATGTAACTCTCCTGCTTAGACCCTGACTACAGGGGGCACTGTGACATATCTCTATGCACATCTCGCAGGTGATATGACACTCTCGTTTTGCCTGATCACTGCTCATGTGGGGGATTGTAAAATACCACTGGGCCAAGCACCAAAGTGACATTGCTCTTTTCTCTTTGGCTTGGCCTTGCCCTCAGAAGGCATTGTGACATATTGCTGGACCCAGCACCAACGTGATGTGAGTCTCTTTCCTGAACTCTGTCCACAGGGGACATTGTGACATATCTCTGGGCCTGTCAACTACTTGATGTAACTCTCTACTCTTACCTGGGCATTGCCTGTAGAAGAGATTGTGACAATTCCCTCCTGAAAGCAGAACACGGGCAGCCGAGTTACATAACCTGGACGCATGGCCTAGTGATAGTTCCCAATCTTCCTTGTGGGCAGGGTGCAGGTAGGAAAGTCATATCTTCTAAGTGATAGATGCAGATAAGTATCAAAAGGTCCCCACATAGGCAGGATCCATGCACAAGCCTCCCATCTCCCAGTGGTGGGGCCCAGCAATTTGTTACGATACCCAAAATATGTGAGGCCCAGGCAAAAGGAGAGAGTCACATCACCTAGGTGCTGTGTTCAGTGATATGTCACAATCCTTCTATTTGGCAGGGCTCTGGTGGAATAAGAGAGTCACATCACATAGGTAATAAAGAAAAAGATATTTTAAAGTACCCTGTGGGCAAAACCCAGGCAGGAGAGTCACATCATGTAGGTATTGGACTCAGCCATATGTCATAACACACAATGAATACAGGACCCAGGCAAAGGAGGAGTCATATTATTTAGGTGCTGAGCCCACAGGTATATATCAGAATCTCACTTTTTGGCAAAGCTCAGATGTGAAAAGAGCATCATATCCAATAGTTGAGGGGCCTAGAGATATGTCAAAATGCCCTGGGTGGGCAGGGACCATGTGGAGGATTAAGGTAAAAGAGGAAAGTTACATCAAAAGTTTATAGACTAAAAAATACGTTGCAGTGCTCTCTGTGGGCAGGGACCAGGCAGAAGAATTACATCACTTGTGTGCTGAGGTCAGCAATAAGTCACTTTTTTTTTTTTCTGAGGGGGTTTGTCCAGAAGGAGAGGACCCAGAGACAGAGATATGTCAGAATCTTTCAAAAGCAAAGTGCAAGTAAGAATAGAGAGTCACATCAAATAGTTGATAAGTTTGAGATATGTCACAATGTGTCTCCAGGCAAAAGAGCCACATGATTTTTGTGCTAGGCCCAGCAATAGGGCTGAATGCCTTTCCAGGTCAGGGCCAAAGCGAAACGGTAACATCCTGTTAGTGTTGGGTCCAGTGGTATGTCACAATTTTCCCTGAAGACAGAACCTAAAAACAATAGAAGAGCCACAATCCCCTCTGTTAGCATGAATCAGGAAGGGGAAGAGATTTATGTAACCTGGTTGATGGGTACACACATATATCACAATGTCCTCTGTAAGAAGTTCCCAGGCAGGGAAGTTTCATTACCTAAGTGTCAGGAATCAGGAAGGAGAAGAGATTTATGTAACCTGGTTGATAGGTACACAAATATGTCACAATGTTTCCCGTAAGCAGTGCCCAGGCAGGAGAGTTACATTACCTAAGTGTTAGACTCAGCAGTATGTCCCATTGGCCCATGTGGGCAAGGCACAGGCAGAAGAGCCACAAATCCTTGACACAGGATGCAGCAATATATCATAATGCTCCCTGTATACAACACCAAGGCAGAAGAAAAGACTCACATAACTTGGGTGCAAGACCCAGCAGTATGTCATAATTCTTCATGTGGGCAATGACAAGGCTTGAGAGTAGAGTCACACCACCAAGGTGCAGGGTCGAGCAATATGTCACAATTTTATCTGTGAGTTCACTCCAGGCAGCAAAGTCGAACCACTTAGGTGCTGGGTAAAGGTGTATGTCACAATCACACTTGCAGGAAGGTCCAGGAATAAGATCACAATCCCACACATGTTCTAGTTCTAGGTGGGAGTGTCAACATATCTTGTATGTTGGGTCAATCTCTCCCAAGAGGATTGACCGTACACCCATATCACACCCTGCTGACAGTAAAGATTGTTATCATTTCCCGTGAACACAGCCCACTGTTGAGATTCTGAAACTCACACCTGGAGGCAGTCAAAAGTTGGAAAATTGACTCTCATATGTGGATCAGGTCCACAAGTGTTCTGGTGACTCTCAGGCTAAGATTCAGCAAACCTGTGAGGCTGGGACTCTACTAAGGTGAGATAGTCTGCAGGAAAGATTGAGGCTCCCATGCACTGATCCAGTCCACTGCTGAGATGGTGACTCATGTACTTAAACCCAACATACAAGAGGTGCTGACTTTCATACCTAGAACCCGGACATGTGTGGGCTTGTTAATACCATCCCTGCACCTTCCTACAGGTGTGATAGTTAAATAAGTCTCTGCCCAGCTCTTAAGTGATTTGACTCTCTTGCCTGGGCCCGGCCCACAGTTCAAAATGTGCCATGTTGCTGGACCTGGCCCCTAGGTAATGTGATCTAGTCTCCTGTCTCAGCACTGCCCACAGTGGGCATTGTGACATATCACCGGGCCTTGCACCCAGGTGATGTGAGTCTTCTCTTCTGCTTTGGCACTGCCCAAAGTAGACATTGTTACATATCACCAGGCCTTGCACTCAGGTAATGTAACTGTCTTGTCATGGCCCTGCCTGCAGGAGGCTCCATGATGTCACTGTCTTCTTCTACCTGGTCTTTGCTCACAGCGGGTATTGTGACATATTGCTATGCCCAGAATCCAGCTGATGTGACTCTCCTCTTTTTTCTAGGTTCTGCCCACAAGGGAAATGGTGACATATCACTGTGCCCAGCACCAAGGTGACGTTACTCTTTTGCCTTGGCCCTGCCCTCAGAAGACATTGTGACAAATAGCTGAGCCCAGAACCAAGGTGAACCTGCCTGAAACCTCCCCACAGGGTCATTGTGACCTATCTCTGGGCCAACCAACTATTTAATGTGTCTCTCCTCTCTTGCCTGGGACTTGCCCATAGGAAAGATTGTGACATATCTCTGGGCATAGGACCTAGGTGATATGACTTGCTGTGCTTGTCTGGGCAATTTCCACAGAAGAGAGAATGACTTATTCCTGGGCTCAGCATACAGGTGATGTGATTCTTCTGCCTGATCACTGCCCACAGGAGTTATTGTGACATGTCTCTGGGCCAATTACCTAGATAATGAGACTCTTCTCTTCTTTCTGGGACCTGTCCATGGCAGGGATTGTGACATATGGCTTGGCCCAACACCTACCTTTTTTTTTTCTCCTTTTTTTTGAGATGGAATTTTGTTCTTGTTTTCCAGCACGTAGTGCAATGGTGTCATCTTGGCTCACCGCAACCTCCGCCTCCAGGGTTCAAGCGATTCTCCTGCCTCAGCCTCCCAAGTAGCTGGGATTACAGGCACCCACCACCACACCCAGCTAATTTTGTATTTTTAGTATGGATGGGGTTTCTTTGCCCCCCTTATTTAGGCGATGTGAATTTTTTTCTTGGGGCCTACCCTCAAAGGGTATTGTGACAAATTGCCAAACTCAGCACCTAGTTTATGTGACTCTTTTCTATTGCTTGAGCTATGCCCTGAAAGGGACTGTGATGTACCACTGGGCCTAGCACCTAGGTGACATGACTTGCATCTTCTGCCTGGGTACTCTATATATTGTGTATTGTGACATATGGCTTGGTCCATTGAGACTCTTCTGCATGGGCTCTGGCCACAGGGGTATTATGAAACATTTTTTTATTCATCACCTAGGTGATGTGACTCTCCTCTTCTTCCTGGGCCTCACATATCAGTGGACCAAGCACCTCTGTGATTTGACTCTCTTTTTTTCTCAAAATCCACATACTTTGGATATTGTGACATATTGCTGGGTCCAAAACTTTCAGAAAGGGAAGTTCCTGCCTGGGCACTGCCTTGTGATAAATATCTGCATTGTCACGCATAGGGCCTTGTGATATATATCTGCGTCTGTCACCAAGGAGATGTAACTCCCCTCTTCAGCCTGCATTCTGTCCACATGGAAGATTGTGACATATTCCTCTCCCAGCCCCCGGTTGATGTGACTCTCCTGCTCAATCCTTACCAACAAATGAGATTGTGACATATATCTTGGCCTAACTTCTATGTGTGATGATGACTCTCATTCCTCAAATTAGCTAGTAAAAATAAATACTCTCTCTTATAGCTAGGCTGAGGGAAACAGGTAAGATGCTGGGTCTCCTCTTTGTACAAAGATCATAAAGAATTACCACTTTCTCCCACATTGTATAAAGCCCTTGGGTGATGCAGAGAGCGTAAATTCAGGGGAGATTTTTCTTTTCATAGACACACCCAGCCAACTATTAGCACTGTCACCTTGACACATGAAGAGAGCCCAATGGTGACATCCTCAATCCAACTTATGGATGCAGTCCACGGTTAGATTTGTGATTGCATATGTGAACATCTGAACATCTGGCCACAGTTGGAATGTTTACTCATTTCTTTTTCTCTTTTTTTTTTTTTTGAGACGAAGTCTCGCTCTTGTCACCCCGGCTGGAGTGCAATGGCGCAATCTTGGCTCACTGCACCCTTCACCTCCTGGGTTCAAGCAATTTTCCTGCCTCAGTCTCCCCAGTAGCTGGGATTACAGCCACCTGCCCCCACATCTGGCTAATTTTTGTATTTTTAGTAGAAATGGTGTTTCACCATGTTAGCCAGGCTGGTCTCGAACTCCTGACCTCAGGCAATCCACTTGCCTCAGCCTCCCAAAGTGCTGGCATTACAGGTGTGAGCCACCACACCCAGCCCATGGTTACTCATTTCTAAACCGAGCTTATAGGCAGGTGAAGACCCTCCTATCTAAAACCAGTCATTTTAAGAGATATTCAGTCTCATATCTGTGCCTACAACCACAGGTAAGATAGTGGTTATAAGCCCAAATACAGTTATAAACCTAGAGCATTGTGACATATCTCTGGATCCAAGTACAAAGGTTTCAGAGCAGATTGCAACTCTCATGCATACTGTGTGATGTCCTTAGTAAAACAGAGAGGGTCCCTACAGTATCCAGCACACAAGTAAAATTGTGACACTTGTATGCACACATGGCCAACAATAAAGACTGTCATTCAACCACATAAACACAGCCAATGTTGGGGTCCTGAATCTCACAACCAGAGGCAGTCAAAAGTTGGAAAATTGACTCCCATACATGGATCTGGTCCACAGGTGGGTTTGTGACTCTCAGGCCAAGATTCAGCAAACCTGTGAGGCTGTGACTCTATGAAGAATATACAGTGGACTTGAGGGACTGTGGCTCCCAAGCATGGATCCAGTCACCTGTTGAAATTGTGACTCATGTACTTGGACCTTACATACAGGAGGTATCGACTCTAATACCTAGGACCGGGACATGTACATAATTGTTCATTTTATCCCTGGACCTTTATGCAGGTGTGATTGTAAAATATTTCTTTGCCCAATACCTGAGTGATTTGACTTTCCTAGCTGGGCACAACAGGTGGAATTGCGACATATTGCTTAACTCAGAACCTACGTGATGTGTCATTATTCTCCTGCCTTGGTATTGCCCACAGGGGCATTTTGCTATATCTCTGGGCTTTGCACCAAGGTTATGTGGGCCTCCCCTCCTGCTTTGGCACTGCTCACAGGGGTATTGTGACATGTTGCTGGGTTCTGCATCTTGGTACTAGATGGCTTCTGCCTGTGCCCTGTCCCCAGGAATAATTGTAAAATATTGGCTGGGTGCAGTGGCTCATGCCTGTAATCCCAGCACTTTGGGAGGCCAAGGTGGGTGGATCAAAAGGTCAGGAGTTTGAGACCAGCCTTGCCAACATGGTGAAACTCCGTCTCTACTAAAAATACAAAAATTAACTGGGCATGGTGGCACGCACCTGTAATCCCAGCTACTCAAGAGGCTGAGGAAGGAGAATTGCTTGAACCCAGGAGGCGGAGGTTGCAGTGAGTTGAGATCATGCCACCTCACTCCAGCCTGGGCAACAGAGCAAGGCTCTGTCTCAAAAAAAAAAAATCGTGACATATTGCTACGTTCAACACCCAAATGATGTAACTTTCCTGCCTCAGTCCTGCTTAATGGGGGCATCATGTTATATACCTCTGCACCTGTCACTCAGGCAACATGACTCTCTTCCCCTGCCTGGTCCTTACAGAGGAGATTGTGACCTACTGCTGGGCCCAGCACCTAGCTGATGTGACTCTTCTCTTTTTCCTAGGTTCTACCAACAGGGAAGATTGTGACATATCACTGGGCCTAACACCAAGGTGTAGTTACACTTTTGCCTTGGCCCAGAACTCTGAAGTTCACTGTGACGTACTGCTGGGCCCAGCACCAAGGTGATGTGAGTCTCCTGCCTGGAGCCTGCACACAGGGGCTATTGTGACATATCTCTGGGCCCATTTACTATTTGTTGTTACTCTCTTCTCTTACCTTGGCTTTGCCTGTAGGAGAGGCAAATCCCAGCACTTTGGGAGACCAAGGCGGGACATAACTCTGGGCCCAGCACCTAGGTGATGTGACTCCCTTTTCTGCCTGGATGGTGCTCACAGAAGAGAAAGTGACTTATTTCTGGGCCCAGCAGAGAGGTGATGTGATTCTTCTGCCTGGTCCCTGCCCACAAAACTCATTGTGACTTAACTCTGGGCCCATCACCTAAATGACGTGACTCTCCTCTTCTTCCTGTGTCCTGTACATGGTAAGTATTGTGACATTTCACCAGGCCTTGCACTTACTAATGATGTGATTTTTCTCTCATGCCTTGGGCCTGCCCACTGAGATAACTGACATAGCTAAACTCAGCCTTTATGTTATGTAATTTTCCTCTTTTTCTGAGTTCTACCAACAGGGAACATTGTAACATATCTCTGGGTCCATCACCTGGATAATGTGACTCTTCTTGGGACCTATTCACAGTGAAAATTGTGACACATCTCTTGGGTAAGCAACTACATGATATGACATTTCTGTTATGCCTGGGCTCTGCCAACTGGGGTGATTGTGACATATAGCTGGGCCCAGCCCCTAGGTTATGTGACTCTCCCTTTGTTTCTGAGCCCTCCCCAAAGGGGAAATTGTGACATATATCTGGGCCTGTCACTCAGGTAATGTGACTCTCCTGCATGAGCCCTCTCCTCAAAGGGTATTGTGACATGTTGCTGAACCCAGAACCTGTGTGAATTGACTCTCTTCTACTGATTGGGCTCTGACCAAGAAAGAATTGTGACGTATCATTAGGCACACCACCAAGGTAATATGACTCTTCTATTGTTTGGGCTTTGTCCAATGAGGGATTTTGACATATTACTGGGCTCAGATCCAGGTGATGTGACTCTCTTTTACTGCCTGAACCTTGCATACATTGCATATTGTGATATAGGACTGAGGCCAACACCTAGGTTTTGTGACTTTTCTGCATGGGGCCTACACACAGGGGCATTCTGTCATATATTTTTGTTCATCACCTAGAAGATGTGACTCTTCTCTTTTACCTGGGCATGGCCAAAAGGGGATTGTGACTTTATTAGTCCATTCTCATACTGCTATAAAGAACTGCCCAAAACTAGGTAATTTATAAAGGAAAGAGGTTGAATTGACTCACATTTCAGCATGACTGGAGAGGCCTCAGGAAATTTACAATTATGGTGGAAGGCAAAGGAAAAGCAAGGCACCTTCTTTACAAGTTGGCAGGAAGGAGAAATTCTGAGCAAAGAAGGAAGAGCCCCTTATAAAACCATCAGATCTTGTGAGAACTCACTATCATGAGAACAGCATGGAAAAAAACCACCCCCTCATTTAATTACCTCCACCTGGTCCCTCCCTTGACGTGTGGGAATTATAAAGATTACACTTCAAGATGAGACTTGGATGGAGACACAGAGCCAAACAATATCTTTGACATATTGGTGGACCAAAATCCTAGATGATGTAACTCCCCTCTTTTTGCTTTGCCCGACATATTTTTGGTACTATGACATATTGCTAGACCCAGAACCTAGGGAATGTGAGTCTCCTGCTTGAGCCCTGCCTGCAGGGAGCCTTGTGAAATCCATCCATCCCCTAAAAATTGCATCTGTCACCTAAAACTTGTGACTCTTCATTTCTGCCTGCATTTTGCCAACAAGAAAAATTCTGACACATTTCTGCATGCAGCAACCAATAGACGTATCTCTCCTGCCTGGGCCTTTCCTACAGGGAGCACTGTGACATATTGCTGGTCCCAGCACCCAGATGAAATGATTCTGCTTCTTCTGCGTTGCTTTCTTTATTTTTTTTTTTTTAATTTTATTATTATTATACTTTAAGTTTTAGGGTACATGTGCACAACGTGCAGGTTAGTTACATATGTATACATGTGCCATGCTGGTGTGCTGCACCCATTAACTCGTCATTTAGCATTAGGTATATCTCCTAATGCTATCCCTCCCCCCTCCCCCCACCCCCCAACAGTCCCCAGAGTGTGATGTTCCCCTTCCTGTGTCCACGTGTTCTCATTGTTCAATTCCCACCTATGAGTGAGAACATGCGGTGTTTGGTTTTTTGTCCTTGCGATAGTTTACTGAGAATGATGATTTCCAATTTCATCCATGTCCCTACAAAGGACATGAACTCATCTTTTTTTATGGCTGCATAGTATTCCATGGTGTATATGTGCCACATTTTGTTAATCCATTCTATCGTTGTTGGACATTTGGGTTGGTTCCAAGTCTTTGCTATTGTGAATAGTGCCGCAATAAACATACATGTGCATGTGTCTTTATAGCAGCATGATTTATAGTCCTTTGGGTATATACCCAGTAATGGGATGGCTGGGTCAAATGGTATTTCTAGTTCTAGATCCCTGAGGAATTGCCACACTGACTTCCACAATGGTTGAACTAGTTTACAGTCCCACCAACAGTGTAAAAGTGTTCCTATTTCTCCACATCCTCTCCAGCACCTGTTGTTTCCTGACTTTTTAATGATTGCCATTCTAACTGGTGTGAGATGGTATCTCATTGTGGTTTTGATTTGCATTTCTCTGATGGCCAGTGATGGTGAGCACTTTTTCATGTGTTTTTTGGCTGCATAAATGTCTTCTTTTGAGAAGTGTCTGTTCATGTCCCTCACCCACTTTTTGATGGGGTTGTTTGTTTTTTTCTTGTAAATTTGTTTGAGTTCATTGTAGATTCTGGATATTAGCCCTTTGTCAGCTGAGTAGGTTGCAAAAATTTTCTCCCATTTTGTAGGTTGCCTGTTCACTCTGATGGTAGTTTCTTTTGCTGTGCAGAAGCTCTTTAATTAGATCCCATTTGTCAATTTTGTCTTTTGTTGCCATTGCTTTTGGTGTTTTAGACATGAAGTCCTTGCCCACGCCTATGTCCTGAATGGTATTGCCTAGGTTTTCTTCTAGGGTTTTTATGGTTTTAGGTCTAACATTTAAGTCTTTAATCCATCTTGAATTAATTTTTGTATAAGGTGTAAGGAAGGGATCTAGTTTCAGCTTTCTACATATGGCTAGCCAATTTTCCCAGCACCATTTATGAAATAGGGAATCCTTTCCCCATTGCTTGTTTTTGTCAGGTTTGTCAAAGATTAGATAGTTGTAGATATGTGGCGTTCTTTCTGAGGGCTCTGTTCTGTTCCATTGATCTGTATCTCTGTTTTGGTACCAGTACCATGCTGTTTTGGTTACTGTAGCCTTGTAGTATAGTTTGAAGTCAGGTAGCGTGATGCCTCCAGCTTTGTTCTTTTGGCTTAGGATTGACTTGGCGATGCGGGCTCTTTTTTGGTTCCATATGAACTTTAAAGTAGTTTTTTCCAATTCTGTGAAGAAAGTCATTGGTAGCTTGATGGGGATGGCATTGAATCTATAAATTACCTTGGGCAGTATGGCCATTTTCACAATATTGATTCTTCCTACCCATGAGCATGGAATGTTCTTCCATTTCTTTGTATCCTCTTTTATTTCATTGAGCAGTGGTTTGTAGTTCTTCTTGAAGAGGTCCTTCACATCCCTTGTAAGTTGGATTCCTAGATATTTTATTCTCTTTGAAGCAATTGTGAATGGGAGTTCACTCATGATTTGGCTCTCTGTCTGTTATTGGTGTATAAGAATGCTTGTGATTTTTGCACATTGATTTTGTATCCTGAGACTGTGCTGAAGTTGCTTATCAGCTTAAGGAGATTTTGGGCTGAGACAATGGGGTTTTCTAGATATACAATCATGTCATCTGCAAACAGGGACAATTTGACTTCTTCTTTTCCTAACTGAATGCCCTTTATTTCCTTCTCCTGCCTAATTGCCCTGGCCAGAACTTCCAACACTATGTTGAATAGGAGTGGTGAGAGGGGGCATCCCTGTCTTGTGCCAGTTTTCAAAGAGAATGCTTCCAGTTTTTGCCCATTCAGTATGATATTGGCTGTGGGCTTGTCATAGATAGCTCTTATTATTTTGAGATACATCCCATCAATACCTAATTTATTGAGAGTTTTTAGCATGAAGGGTCGCTGAATTTTGTCAAAGGCCTTTTCTGCATCTATTGAGATAATCATGTGGTTTTTGTCTTTGGTTCTGTTTATATGCTGGATTACATTTATTGATTTGCGTATATTGAACCAGCCTTGCATCCCAGGGATGAAGCCCACTTGATCATGGTGGATAAGCTTTTTGATGTGCTGCTGGATTCGGTTTGCCAGTATTTTATTGAGGATTTTTGCATCAATGTTCATCAAGGATATTGGTCTAAAATTCTCTTTTTTGGTTGTGTCTCTGCCCGGCTTTGGTATCAGGATGATGCTGGCCTCATAAAATGAGTTAGGGAGAATTCCCTCTTTTTCTATTGATTGGAATAGTTTCAGAAGGAATGGTACCAGCTCCTCCTTGTACCTCTGGTAGAATTTGGCTGTGAATCCATCTGGTCCTGGACTCTTTTTTGTTGATAAGCTATTGATTATTGCCACAATTTCAGAGCCTGTTATTGGTCTATTCAGAGATTCAACTTCTTCCTGGTTCAGTCTTGGGAGGGTGTATGTGTCGAGGAATTTATCCATTTCTTCTAGATTTTCTAGTTTATTTGCGTAGAGGTGTTTGTAGTATTCTCTGATGGTAGTTTGTATTTCTGTGGGATCGGTGGTGATATCCCCTTTATCATTTTTTATTGCATCTATTTGATTCTTCTCTCTTTTCTTCCTTATTCGTCTTGCTAGCGGTCTATCAATTTTGTTGATCTTTTCAAAAAACCAGCTCCTGGATTCATTGATTTTTTTGAAGGGTTTTTTGTGTCTCTATTTCCTTCAGTTCTGCTCTGATTTTAGTTATTTCTTGCCTTCTGCTAGCTTTTGAATGTGTTTGCTCTTGCTTTTCCAGTTCTTTTAATTGTGATGTTAGGGTGTCAATTTTGGATCTTTCCTGCTTTCTCTTGTGGGCATTTAGTGCTATAAATTTCCCTCTACGCACTGCTTTGAATGTGTCCCAGAGATTCTGGTATGTTGTGTCTTTGTTCTCGTTGGTCTCAAAGAACATCTTTATTTCTGCCTTCATTTCGTTATGTACCCAGTAGTCATTCAGGAGCAGGTTGTTCAGTTTCCATGTAGTTGAGTGGTTTTGAGTGAGTTTCTTAATCCTGAGTTCTAGTTTGATTGCACTGTGGTCTGAGAGACAGTTTGTTATAATTTCTGTCCTTTTACATTTGCTGAGGAGTGCTTTACTTCCAACTATGTGGTCAGTTTTGGAATAGTTGTGGTGTGGTGCTGAAAAAAGTGTATATTTTGTTAATTTGGGGTGGAGAGTTCTGTAGATGTCTATTAGGTCTGCTTGGTGCAGAGCTGAGTTCAATTCCTAGGTATCCTTGCATTTCTTTCAACAAGAGATTTTAAAGTATTCTCTGCCACACGTACAAATGATGTGACTCTCCTGTCTGGTCCCTGCTTTCAGGAAAGGTTGTGAAATATTCACGGCCTAGCACCTAGGTGATGTGGCTGTCCTGCTCACTTCTTACTGAGAGGAGGGATTGTGACATATATCTTGTTTCAGCCCACAGGTGCAATAATGACTATTATACCTTGAACCAACCAACAGGAGAAATACCTTCTATTATATTTAGGCTTAGGGAAATGAGTACGATCATGGGTCTCCTCTTTGTAGAAAGGTCATAATAAGTTACCACTCTCCTATATCATATAGAACATTTGGGTACTAGAGTGTTCTTGCAGATCCCAGAACACAAGTGAGATTGTGTTATTATATGTGCATTTCACCAGCCATTAGAATTTTTACCCTCAGACATAAACATAGCCTACTGCTGAGGTCCTGAAACTCACACATGAACACAGTCCACAGTTTGAATTGTAACTGTCGTATCTGGAAAACAAGCCACAATTGGAATGGTTACTCATTTCCTGTTGACTGTGTCCAGATAGGAGAGTTCTCACCTGCCTATAAGTTGGGTTTAGGCTTATAAGCAGGTGAGGACTCTCCTTTCTGGACACAGTCAATAGGAAAGATGTTGACTCTCATACTTGGGCTTAGGGCCGCAGGTACAGTCATGGGTCCTTTCCAGCACGAAGGAATCAGAGCAAAAGTGGACTCTCATGCATGTTGTATAAAGCCCTCAGGTGGTACAGAAAGTATTCTAATAGGGCCCAGCACACAAGTGAGATTTTGACACTCATATGCACACTTAGGTGACTGTAAAGATTGTCTTTCTCCCACATGAACACAGCCCACTGTTGAGGTCCTAAATCTCACACCCTGAGGTGGTTGAAAGTTGGAAAATTGACTCTTATACTTGGATCTGTTCCACAGATGGGTTTATGACACTCAGATTAAGATTCAGCACACCTGTGAGGCTGCGTCTCCACTAAAAAGACACAGTGCACAGGACAAAATGGGGCTCTCAAGCATGGATTCTGTCAGCCATTGAAATTGTAACTCGTGCACTTAGAACCACCATACAGGAGATGTTAACTCTTATACATAGAACTGTGACACGTGTGAAATTGTTAATCTCATCCCTGGACCTTCCTGCAGGTGTTATTGCTACATAGGCCCCAGTGCAACACCTGAGTGATTTGACTCTACTGCCTTGACCCGGCCCACGTATGAGATTGTGACATGTAACTGGACACAGAACCTAGGTCATGTGACTCTATTTTCCTTCCGTAGCACTGCCCACAGAGGGCATTTTGACTTCATTGAGACTTGCACCTGGGTGATGCGTCTCCTCTCACGCCTTGATACTGCACTGTAACATATCACTTGGTCCTATGCCTATTTGATTTAACTTTCTTGCCTAAGCCCTGCCTATACAAAAATTGTGACATATCATGGGCCTATCACCCAACTGATGTGACTATCTGGTCCTGGCTCACACGGGAAAATGTAACATATGGCTTGGTCCAGTACCTAGCTGATGTGACTCTTCTCTTCTGAGGTTTTGCTTGCTGGGGAGATTGTGACATCATGCTGGGCCCAACATGATCATAATGTTACTCTTTTTCCCAAGCATTGCCCTCAGAAGGCATTGTAACATATTAGTGTTACCAGCACCAAGGTGACGTGTGTCTCATATTTGAACCCTGCCCACATGGGGGCATTGTGGCATATCTCCGGGACCATCAACTATTTAATTTGACTCTCCCTGCTTACCATGTCTTTGCTCATAAGAAATGTGGTGTTGGCCTGGTGCGGTGGCTCAAGCCTGTAATCCCAGCACTTTGGGAGGCTGAGGCAGGTGGATCACAAGGTCAGGAGACTGAGACCACCCTGGCCAACATGGTGAAACCCCGTCTCTACTAAAAATACAAAAATTAGCTGGGTGTGGTGTCGTGCGCCTGTAGTCCCAGCTACTCAGGAGGCTGAGGCAGGAGAATCGCTTGAACCTGGAAGGCAGAGGTTGCAGTGAGTCGAGATCTTGCCACCGCACTCCAGTCTGGGCAACAGAGCGAGACTCCGTCTCAAAAAAAAAAAAAAAAAAAAAAAAAAGAAATATGATGACATATCTCTGGGCCCAGTACCTAAGTAATGTGATGCTCCTCTCTTGCCTGGGCCATGCCCAGAGAAGAAAGAGTAATATATTGCTGTTCATCTCCTAGGTGAAGTGACCTAGCACAAAGGTGATGTGATACTCTTGCCTGGTTCCTGTCAATAGAGCTAATGATGATATATCACTGGGCCCATAGCCTAGATTATGTGAGTCTCCTTTTCTTCTTTGAACCTGTCCACAGTGGAAATTATAAAATATCACCAGGCCTTGCATTCAATTTTTCTGACTCTCCTGCTTGTGCCATGCTTACATGGGGCATTGTGACATATTTCTGAATCCAACACCAAAGTGATGTTACTCTCTTGTCAGAGCCCTGCCTACAGGGCATATTGTGACATATCTCTGCATCCATCACCCAGGTGATTTGACTTTTTTCTCCTACCTGGTCCCTAATCACAGAGGGGACTGTGACAAATTACTTGGCTCAGCACCTACATCATGTGACTGTCCACTCATGCCTCAACCATGCTCACTAGGGTGATTGTGAAATATAACTTGGTCTATCCCATAGGCTTTATGACTTTCTTTTTCTTCTTCCTTAGCCTTAATGCAGGATGCATTGTGATATACCTCTGGGCCTCTCACCTAGGTGATGTGACTCTCCTGCCTGGGCCCTCCCCTTAGGGTATATTGTGACATATTGCTGGGGCCAGCACCTAGGTGATGATGTGACTCTCTTCTACTGCTTGGGTTCTGTCCAAGAGATTGTGATGTATCACTGGGCCAAGAGGCTAGGTGATGTGACTCTCCTCTCCTGCCTGGGCCCTGCATACATTTTACATTGTGACATATGGCTGGGATCAAAACATAGGTGATGCAACTCTTTTGCCTGTGCTTTGCCCGCAAGGGTATTATGACATGTTATTTTGTTCATCACCTAGGTGATGTGACTCTTTCCTTCTGCCTGGGCCCTGACAAAAAAGGGGATTGGAGCGTGTCACTTGACCCAACACCTAGGGGTGATGTGACTGTCTTATTTGCCTGCACCTTGCATATATCGGGTATTGAGTCCTATGGCTGAGCCCTACATGAATGGGATTTAAGACTCCTGCCTTGGCCCTGCCAACAGGGGGCATTGTAAAGTATCCCTGCATCTGTCACTGAGATGTGACTCTCCTGTTCTGCCTGCATCCTGCCTATAAGGAAGATTGTGACATATTGCTGGGTCCACGATTGAGACAATGTGTCTTTCCTGCCTGGGTATTGCCTACAGGGAGCATTGTGACATATCACTGGGCCCAGCATGCAGGTATTGTGACTCTGCTTTCTTTGCCCTGATTTCCAGAAGGAATTGTGACATTTCCCTGGCCTGGTACCCAGATGATGTGACTCTCCTGGTGCCAGTCCTCAGGGAATATTGTAACACGTCTTTTTCCCAGCACCCAGGTAAACTTACTCTCCTGCTTACTCTCTACCCACAGCTGGAATTCTGATATATATCTTGTCCAAGCTCAGAGGTATGATGATGACTTTTATTCCTTGAGCCTGCCAATATGAGCAATGCTGTCTCTTGTACTGAGGCTTAGTGTAACGGGTAAGACCCTGGGTCTCCTCTTTATATAAAAGTTATGGGCAGCCTGGCGCGGTGGCTCAGGTCTGTAATCCCAGCACTTTGGGAGGCCAAGACGGGTGGATCATGAGGTCAGGAGTTCAAGACCAGCCTGGCCAAGATGGTGAAACCCCATCTCTAATAAAAATACAAAAATTAGCTGGGCGTGGTGGCGGGCGCATGTAATCCCAGCTATTTGGGAGGTTGAGGCAGAGAATTGCTTGAACCCGGAAGGCGGAGGTTGCAGTGAGCTGAGATTGCACCACTGCACTCCCGCCTGGGCGACAGAGTGAGACTCCATCTCAAGAAAAAAAAAAAAGTTATGGGAGCTGGGCGCAGTGGCTCACGCTTGTAATCCCAGTACTTTGGGAGACCGATACGGGCAATCTCCTGAGGTCAAGAGATGACAACCGTCCTGGCCAAAATGGTGAAACCCCGTCTCTACTAAAAATATAAAAATTAGCTGGGCATGGTGGCACTTGCCTGTAGTCCCAGCTACTTGGGAAGCTGAGGCAGCAGAATCGCTTGGACCTGGGAGGTGGAGATTGCAGTGAGCCGAGATCGCGCCACTGCACTCCAGCCTGGCAACAGAGTGAAACTTCATCTTAAAAAAAAAAAAAGTTATACGGGATTACCACTCTCACATGTTACATAATGCCCTTCAGCGATACAGAGCGTGTCATCACAGGGCCAAGCACAAAGGTGAGATTGTCTTTTTTGCATGCACACCCAGCTGAATGTTAGGATTGTCACCCTCACACATGAAAAGAACAAATTGGTTAAGTCTTGAATCTCACACATAGATGCAGTATGCAGCTGAATTTTTGACTCTCACATGTCAACATCCAGCCACAGTTGAAATGGCAACTTATTTTTAAATCCAGGTCATAGGTAAGTGTGAACTCTTTTATCAGAAGCTAGCTAATTAGGCTGGGCATGGTGGCTCACACCTGTAATCCCAGCACTTTGAGAGGCCGAGGTGGGCAGATCACCAGAGGTCAGGAGTTTGAGACCAGCCAGGCTAATGTGGCAAAAACCCATCTCTACTAAAAACACAAAAATTAGCTGGGCATAGTGGCTTGTGCCTGTAATCATAGCTACTCAGGAGGCTGAGGCTGGAGAGTTGATTGAACCCAGGAGACGGAGGTTGCAGTGAGCTGAGATGTACTCCAGCCTGGGTGATAGAGTAAGACTCTATCCCCACCACCCCGCAACCCAGAAAAAAAAAGAAAGAAACAAACAAAGAAACAAAGAAAAAGAAACTAGCCAATTGGAAAGGTATTTACTCTTATACACGGGCTCAGAGCCACAGGTATGATCATGGGGCCTGCACAAATTACAACTCTCATGCATTCTGTATAAAGCTCTTGGGTGATAAAGGGAGTGTTCTCACAGAGCTCAGCACAGAGTTGAGATTGTGACACTCCTGTGCAGCTACACTGTAGTAAAAACTGGCATCCTTCCACATGAACACAACCCATTTTTGAGGTTCTGAATCTTCCACCCAGAAACAGTCAAAATCTGGAGAATTGACTCTCTCTCTCTCTCTCTTTTTGAGACAGAGTCTTGTTCTCTCATCCAGGCTGGAGTGCACTGGCACGGTCTCAGCTCAGTGCAAACTCTGCCTCCCAGGGTCAAGCGATTCTTGCGCCTTAGCCACCCAAGTAGCTGTGTTTACAAGCATATGCCACCACACCCGGCTAATTTCTGTATTTTTAGTAGAGAGGGAAGTTTACCATGTTGGCCAGGCTGGTCTCAAACTCCTGGCCTCAAATGATCCACCCACCTTGGCCTCTCAAAGTGCTTGGATTATAGACATGAGCCACCATGTCCAGCTGAAAATTGACTCACACGTGGATTTGGTCCACATGTGAGTCAGTGACCCTCAGACCAAGATTCAGCACGTGTGAGGCTGTGACTCTACTAAGGAGGTCACAGGAGGAATTGAGACTCTCATGCAGAGATTAAGTTTACCATTAAGATTCTTACTCATAGCCGGATGCGGTGGCTCACGCCTGTAAACCAACACTTTGGGAGGCAGAGGCGTGCAGATCACCTGAGGTCAGGAGTTCGAGACCAGCCTGACTAACATGGTGAAACCCTGTCTCTACTAAGAATACAAAAATTAGCCGGACATAGTGGTGAGTGCCTGTAATCCCAGCTACTCAGGAGGCTGAGGCAGGAGAACCACTTGAACCTGGGAGGCAGAGGTTGCAGTGAGCCGAGATCGTGCCATTGCACTTCAGCCTGGGTGACAGAGTAAGACTCCATCTCAATAAATAAATAAATAAATAAAACTAAAATAAAAAAAATTTTAAAAAGATTTTTACTCATGTGCTTAGACCAATCACACACAAGGTGTTGACTCTCACACCTAAAGCTGGAACATGTGTGGGATTGTTCATCTCATCCCTGGACTTTCCTACAGGTGTGGTTCTGACACATGCCTGTGCCGAGTATCTGACTGATTTGACTTCCCTTCCTAGGGCACGCCCACAGATGGAATTTTAATATTTCTCTGGGCCCAAAACTCAGGTGATGTGATCTATACTCCTGCCTTGGAGCTGCCCACAGAGAGGACATTTGTGACATATTGCTTGGCCTCTGAGCCCAGGTTATGTGACTCTTCTGCCTGTGCCCTGCCCACATTGACCATTTTGACATATTGCAGTGTCCAAGACCCGGGTGATGTGACTCCTCTGCCTGGGCCCTTTTTACAGGGAGCGTTGTGACATATCTCAGCACTCATCACTCAGGTGTTCTGACTCCCTTTTCCTGCCTGGTTTCTGCTCACAAGGGGCTTTTCACCTATTGCTGAACCCTGCACTTAGCTATTGTGACTTTTTTCTTTTTCTTAGGTTCTGCCCACAAGGGAGATTTTGACTTATTGCTGTCCTCAAAATGAAGGTGATGTGACACTTTTGCCTTGGACCCACCCTTGAAGACATTGTGACATATTTCTTAGCTCAGCATCAAAACGATGTGTCTTCTTAGTAGACTCTGCCAACATGGGGCATTGTGACATATCTTTGGGCCCATCAGCTATTGATGTAACTCTCTTCTCTTACATGGACTTTGCTCACAGAAGAGACTATGAAATATCTCTGGGCCCAGCAAATAGGTGATGTGACTCTTCTCTACTGCTTGGGCTCTGCTCATGAGAAAATTGTGATGGATTGCTGAACCCAGCACCTAGGTAATGTAACTCTCTTCTCTTGCCTGGGCCCGGCATAAATTGTGTATTGTGACATGGGGCTCGATCACAAACCTAGGTAATGCTACTCTCTTGCATTGGCTCTGCCCACCAGGGTATTATGACACAACTTTTCATTCATCGCCTAGGCGATGTGACCCCCCGCTTCTGCTTGAATCTTGCCAAAAGAGGAAATGATAACATATCACTATACTCAGCACCTAGGTGCCATGACTTGCCTTTTTCCCCAGGCAATGCATATATTGGGAATTATGACATATCACTGGACCCAACATGTAGGGAATAAAAGACTCCTGCCTGTGTTCTGCTGACCTAGAACCTTGTGAAATATCTCTGCATCTATCACCCAGAGAATCTGACTCTCCTTTTCTGCATGTACCCTGTCCACAAGAAAGATTGTGACATGTCACTAGACCCAATAACCAGGTGGTGTGTCTCTCCTGCCTTGATCTTTCTCACAGGGAACTTTGTGAAATATCACTGGGCCCAGCACCCACGTGATGTGACACTGCTGGCCTGTGTCCTGCTTTCAGGAGGGGATTGCAAAATATCCCTGGCCAAAAACCCAGATGTTTTCTGGGTTTTGTCCCTGTCCTCAGGGGAGATAGTGACATAGGCCTAGCCCAGCACCCAAGTAATGCGACACTCTTATTTTGCTCACTTCCTACAGGTGGGATTGTGACATATATCTGGGGCCAGGTCACAAGTACAATGATGACTCTCAAATCAGCCAATAGGAGAGACACTGTTACTCATAGCTAGCTTAGAAAAATGGGTAAGATCCTCGGTCTTCTCTTTGTATGAAGGTTATTCAAGACTACTGCTCTCTTGCATATCACATAAAGCCCTTGGGTGGTAGAGTGTGACATTCCAGAGCCCAGCACACAGGTGAGATTGTGTTTCTCATATGCACACACCACCAACCATAAGGATTGTCACCCTCAAACATGGACAGATCCCACTAGTGAGGTCCTGAATCTTACACGGAGACATAGTTCACAATTGGAATTGTGATTGTCATTTGTTAACATCTGGCCACAGTTTGAATGGTGACTCACTTCTAAACTTACCACATGGGCAGGTGATGACTGTATTATTTTCACACAGCCAATTGAAAAGATGCTGACTCTCATACCTGGGCCTAGGATCACAGCTACAATCATTGGTCTGTACCAGCATGAAGGTATCAGAGCATATTGTGACTCACGTGTATATTATATAAAGCCCTCGAGTGGTATAGAGAGTGTCCTAACAAGGCCCAGCACACAGGTGAGATTGTGACACTGGTATGCACACTAAGTTGACAGTAAAACTTGTCATCTTTCACATGAACACAGCCCACTATTGAGGTTCTAAATTTCAGACCCTTAAGCAGTTAAAAGTTTTAAAATTTCTTCTCATACCTGGATCTGATCTCCAGGTTAGTTGGTACTGTCAGAAACAAATTCAGCACACCCGTGAGGCTGTGGCTCCACTAAAGCAACACAAATCTGCAGAAGGGATTGAGGCTGTCATGCGCAGATACAGTTTACCAATGAGATTGTAACTCGTGTAGTTAGACAAAAAGCGCAGAAAGTGTTAATGCTCACGCCTACAACCAGGACATGTGTGGAATTGTTAGTCTCATCCCTGGACTTTCCTGCAGGTGTGATTGTGAAATATACCTCTGCTCAGCACCTGAGTGAATGACTCTTCTGCCTAGGCCCAGCCTGGAGACGGAATAGTGACATATGGCTGGACCCACCATCTACTTAATGTGACACTATTCTCCTGCATTTGATGCTGCTCACAGGAGGCATTTTGAAACATTGCTGGGCTTTGCACACAGGGGATTTGAGTCTCCTCTCCTGCCTTGGTGCTGGTCACAGAAGAATGTTGTGACATATAACTTGGCCCTTCACCCAAGTTATGTGACTCTTCTGCCATGCCCTGGCCACCTTGGCCATTGTAACATACTGCTGGGTCCATTACCAGTGTTATGTTGCTGCTGGGCTCTTCCTACAGGGGGCATTGTGATGTATCGCTGCACCCATTACCCAGGTGTTGTGACTATGCCTTCTTCCTGCTAACAGAGGTGATTGTGATCTTTCACTGGGCCCAGTACTTAGTTGATGTGACTCTTTTTGTCTTCCTAGGTCCTGCCAAGAGAGGAGATTGTGTCATATTGCTGGGCCCAACAAAAAGCTGACATTACTGGCTGGGCGCGGTGACCCATGCCTGTAATCCCAGCATTTTGGGAGGCTGAGGAGGGTGGATCATGAGGTCAGGAGTTCCAGACCAGCCTGGCCAAGATGGTGAAACCCTGTCTCTACTAAAAATACAAAATTGAAAATTACAAAAATAAAAAATTAGCCAGGCGCAGTGGCAGGTGCCTGTAATCTCAGCTACTTGGGAGGCTGAGGCAGGAGAATTGCTTGAACCTGGGAGGTGGTGCTTGCGTAAGCTGAGATTGCACCACTGCACTTTAGCCTGGGCAACAGAGCAAGACTCCGTCTCAAAAAAAAAAAAGAGCTGAAGTTACTCTTTTGCTCAGCCCTGCCCTCAAAAGGCATTGTGACATATTGCTGAACCTAGCACCAAGGTGATGTGAGTCTCCCTGTAAACCCTGCCCACAGGTGGCATTGCGGCATGTCTTCTAGCCCATCAACTATTTGATGTCATTCTCCTCTCTTACCTTGGCTTTGCTCATAAAAGAGATTGTGACATATTTTTAGGCTGAGAACCTAGGTGATGTGACTCTCTTCTCTTACCTGGGCCATGCCCACAAAATAAAGTGGCTTATCACCAGTACACAGGTGACGTGATTCTTCTGCCTGGTCCCTGCCCACAGAGGTAATTTTGACTTATCTTTGGGCCCATCTTATAGATGATTTGACTTTCTTCTTACTGGGATCTATCTATGGTTAGAATTGTGACATATCATTTGGACCAGCACCTGTGTTATGTAACTTTTTTTCCCTGAGCTCTACTAACAAAGGTCATTGTGACATATCTCTGGGCCCCTCACCTAGGTGATGTGAATCTCCTGCTTCATTCTTTCCCTCAGAAAGTATCGTGACATATTTCTTGACCCAGTATCTAGGTGATGTAATTCCCTTCTACTGCTTGGGCTCTGCCCAAGTAGGGATTGTGATGTATGCCTGGGCCCAGAACCTAGGTGACATGACTCTCCTCTCCTTCCTGGGTCCAGTATACTTTGTGTATTTTGACATATGGCTGGGACCAACATCTAAGTGATGTGACTCTTGCCTTGGCCCTGTCCACGGGTGTATTATGACATATCTCTTTATTCATTACCTAGGTGATGTCACTTTCTTCTGCTGCCTGGGCCATGTCAAAAGGGAGGATTGGGACATATTACTTGACCCAGGAGCTAAGTGATATAACTCTCCTATTTGCCTGGGCTTTGCATATGTTAGGTATTGTGACAAATCACTGGGCCCTACATTTATAGAATTGGAGGCTTCTGCCTTGGCCCTTTCCACAGAGGGACTGTTTACATCTCCCTGCATCCATCACCTAGAAGATGTGACTTTTGTTCTTCCTGCATCCTGCCCACAAAGAAGATTGTGACATATTGCTGGGTCCACCATTAAGGTAATCTGCCTCTCCTGAGAGGGTGTTGCTCATACTGAGCATCGTAAGATATTACTGGGCCCAGAACCCATGTGATGTGACTATGCATTCTGTGCCTTGCTTTCAGGAGGGGATTGTCAAATAAGATCCCTCCCTGAGCACCCAGGTAATGTGACTCTCCTGCTAATGTGACTCTCCTGCCTGGTCCCTGTCCTCAGGGAAGACTGTAACATATCACTTGCCCAGCACCCAGGTGATGTGACTCTCATGCTTGCTCTCTACTGGATTATGACATATATCTTGGTCCAGCTCACAGGAGAGCTGACGATCCTCTTCCTACAAGCCAGCCAATGTAAGAGATACTGTCATAGCTAGGCTTAGTGAATTAGGTAAGAGCCTGGGTCTCCTCTTTGTATGACAGCTATGGAGAAAGCATTGTGACATATTGCTGGGCCCAGAACAAAGGTGATTTGAGTCTCTTACCTAGACCCTGATTACAGGGACATTGTGACATATCTCTGGGTCCATCAACTATTTGATGTGACTCTCCTCTGTTCCCTGGCCTTTGCCTATAGAAGACATTGTGACATATCTCTGGGCCCTGCACCAGGTGATTTGGCTTGCCTTTTCTACCTGGGCCATACCCACAGATAAAGGGTGACTTATCACAGAGCCCAGCACACAGGTGATGTGGTTCTTCTGTCTGGTCCCTGCCCACAAGGGTTATTGATACATATCAATACATATACATATGTGTGGCCTCAACATGTAGATGATGTGACTATTTTCTTTTCTTTTTCTTTCTTTTTTTTTTTTTTTGAGATGGAGTTTCGCTCTTGTTGCCCAGGCTGGAGTGCAATGGTGTGATCTTGGCTCACTGCAACCTCCACCTCCCGGGTTCAAGTGATTCTTCTGCCTCAGCCTCCTGAATAGCTGGGATTACAGACGTGTGCCACTATACCCGGCTAATTTTGTATTTTTAGTAGAGATGGGGTTTCACCATGTTGGCCAGGATGGTCTTGATCTTTTGACCACGTGATCCACCTACCTCAGCCTCCCAAAGTACTGGGAATACAGGCGTAAGCCACCGCACCCAGCCTAATTTATATTTTATGTAGATCATTTTATCTCTTCTATAATGATAATGGAATGCACAGCTTTTTAATAATAGAAGCTTTAAGAACTCAGGAATGAACAACTGGCTGTTGGCTGTCTAGGTTCTTCATGGGTCCACACTGAACATTAAATTTATGTCCTCTTAAGTACGAAGTTTGTGTCTCCAAATTAGGTGCATAGGACAAATAAATGAGGGGTTCTTATAGGTGATTTGACTTGGACCGCAGAGTTTATTCAAATGGCATACTAAAAAATTTTAGCGCAGCTTCAGCAGACTTAAACATCCCTGCCTGACGGCTTTGAAGGGTGCAGAGGACCTCCCAGCTCAGCGTTTGAGCTCTGCTAAGGGTCAGACTGCCTCCTTATGTGGGTCCCTGACCCCCATGTATCCTGACTGGGAGACACCTCCCAGTAGGGGCTGACAGACACCTCATACAGGAGAGCTCTGGCTGGCATCTGGCAGTTGCCCCTCTGGGTGCTTCCAGAGGAAAGAACAGGCAGCAATCTTTGCTGTTCTGTAGCCTCCTCTAGTGATACACAGGCAAACAGGGTCTGGAGTGGACCCTCCAGCAAACTCCAGCAGACCTGCAGCAGAGGGGCCTGACTGTTAGAAGGAAAACTAACAAACAGAAAGGACTAGCACGTCCACACAGAGACCCCATCCGAAGGTCACCAACATCAAAGACCAAAGGTAGATAAATCCACAAAGATGGGGAGAAACTAGCGTAAAAAGACTGAAAATTCCAAAAACTGTAACGCCTCTTCTCCTCCAAAGGATCACAACTCCTCGCCAGCAAGGGAACAAAACTGGACAGAGAATGAGTTTGATGAATTGACAGAAGTAGGCTTCAAAAAGTGGGTAATAACAAACTCCTTTGAGCTAAAGGAGCATGTTCTAACCCAATGGAAGGAAGCTAAGAACCTTGAAAAAAGGTTAGCCAATTTGCTAACTAGAATAACCAGTTTAGAGAACATAAATGACCTGATGGAGCTGAAAAACACAGCACAAGAACTTCATGAAGCTTACGCAAGTATCAATAGCCGAATCAATCAATCAGAAGAAAGGATATCAGAGATTGAAGATCAACTTACTGAAATAGAGCAAGTAGACAAGATTAGAGAAAAAAGAATAAAAAAAGGAATGAACAAAGCCTCTAAGAAATATGGGACTATGTGAAAACACCAAATCTACATTTGACTGGTGTACCTGAAAGCAACGGGAAGAATGGAACCAAGTCGGAAAACAGTTTTCAGGAGATTATCCAGAACTTCCTCAACCTAGCAAAATAGGCCAATATTCAAATTCAGGAAATACGGAAAACACCACAAAGATACTCCTCGAGAAGAGCAACCCGAAGACGCATAATCGTTAGATTCACCAAGGTTGAAATGAAGGAAAAAATGTTAAGGGCAGCCAGAGAGAAAGGTCGGGTTACACACACAGGGAAGCCCATCAGACTAACAGTGGATCTCTCTGCAGAAACCCTACAAGCCAAAAGAGAATGGGGGTCAATATTCAACATTCTTAAAGAAAAGAATTTTCAACCCAGAATTTCATATCCAGCCAAACTAAGCTTCATAAGTGAAAGAGAAAGAAAATCCTTTACAGACAAACAAAGGCTAAGAGATTTTGTCACCACCAGGCCTGCCTTACAAGAGCTCCTGAAGGAAGCACTAAATATGGAAAGGAACAACAGGCACCAGCCACTGCAAAAACATACCAAATTGTAAAGACCATCGACACTATGAAGAAACTGCATCAACTAATGGGCAAAATAACCAGCTAGCATCATAATGACAGAATCAAATTCACATATAACAATATTAACCTTAAATGTGAATGGGCTAAATGCGCCAATTAAAAGACACAGACTGGCAAATTGGATAAAGAGTCAAGACCCATCAGTGTGCTGTATTCAGGAGGCCCATCTCACGTGCAAAGACACACGTAGGCTCAAAATAAAGGGATGGAGGAATATTTACCAAGCAAATGGAAAGCAAAAAAAAGCAGGAGTTGCAATCCTAATCTCTGATAAAACAGACTTGAAACCACCAAAGATCAAAAGAGACAAAGAAGGCCATTACGTAATGGTAAAGGGATCGATGCATCAAGAAGAGCTAACTATCCCAAATATAAATGCACCCAATACAGGAGCACCCAGATTCATAAAGCAAGTTCTTAGAGACCTACAAAGAGATTTAGACTCCCACACAATAATAGTGGGAGACTTTAACACCCTGCTGTCAATATTAGACAGGTCAACGAGACAGAAAATTAACAAGGATATTCAGGCCTTGAACTCAGCTCTGGACCAAGTGGACCTAAAAGACATCTACAGAACTCTCCACCCTAAATCAACAGAATATACATTCTTCTCAGCACCTCATTGCACTTATTCTAAAATTGACCACATTATTGGAAGTAAAGCACTCCTCAGCAAATACAAAAGAATGGAAATCACAACAAACAGTCTCTCAGACCACAGTGCAATCAAATTAGAACTCAGGATTAAGAAACTCACTCAAAAGCGCTCAACTACATGGAAACTGAACAACCTGCTCCTAAATGACTACTGGGTAAATAACGAAATGAAGGCAGAAATAAAGATGTTCTTTGAAACCAATGAGAACAAAGACACGATGTACCAGAATCTCTGGAACACATTTAAAGCAGTGTGTAGAGGGAAATTTATAGCACTAAATGCCCACAAGAGAAAGCAGGAAAGATGTAAAATCAACACCCTAACCTCAAAATTAAAAGTACTAGAGAAGCAAGAGCAAACAAATTCAAAAGCTAGCAGAAGACAAGAAATAATTAAGATCAGAGCAGAACTGAAGGAAATAGAGACACAAAAAACCCTTCAAAAAATCAATGAATCCAGGAACTGGTGTTTTTGAAAAGATCAACAAAATCGATAGGCTGCTAGCCAGACTAATGAAGAAGAAAAGAGAGAAGAATCAAATAGTTGAAATAAAAAATGATAAAGGGGATATCACGACTGATCCCACAGAAATGCAAGGTGCTGGAACTACAGGCATGAGCCACCGTGCCTGGCCAAATTCTCACAATCTTTACCTAATTCAAACAATATAATTCTAACGTTATCAGAAATCTGTGCTCAACTCATCTGGGCCTTTTCCATCTTTTCATGAACCTCCTTGAATACACAGTACTCTAGGATTTTTCATGCTTTTAAAGTTTTTAGAAACTACATCAGAATTAAGCCATTAACTGTGGAAATGACTTTCATGGTTATAAAGAAACAAATTAAAAGAAATTGATTATATCTGTTGCCTACAATAATTTATCATAATAACCATAATTATGAATAAGAGCGTATACTCAGATACATTAGAGTTTTAGAAATTTCATACAATTTTGACATAAATATTAATAACATATTTATTAAAATATAAGTCGAAGGAGGTCAAATATATATATATAGTTTTAAGACAGAATCTCGCTCTGTCACCCAGGCTAGAGAGTAATGTCACAATCTCAGCTCACTGGAACCTCTGCCTCCTGGATTCAAGCGATTCTCCTGCCTCAGCCTCCTGAGTTGCTGGGATTACAGGCACCCACCACCACGTCTGGCTTAATTTTTGTATTTTTAGTAGAGACAGGGTTTTGCCATGTTGGCAAGGCTGGTCTTGAATTCCTGACCTCAGGTGATCCATCTGCCTCAGCCTCCCAAAGTCCTGGGATTACAGGCATAAGCTACCACGCCTGGCAAACATTATTTTTATTTTGATAATGCTTCCATGTAAGTTAACTTTTTTTTTTTTCAGTCGAAGTTTTGCTCTTGTTGCCCAGGTGGGAGTGCAATGGAGCGATCTTGGCTCACTGCAACCTCTGCCTCCCAGGTTCAAGCCATTCTCCATTCTCCAGCCTCAGCCTCCTGAGTAGCTCAGATTACAGGCGCTCACCACCATGCCCAGTTAATTTTTGTATTTTTAGTAGAGACAGGGTTTCATCATGTTGGCCAGGATGGTCTCCATCTCTTGACCTGGTGATCTGCCCGCCTCCCCCTGCCTGTTTATCACTCTTTTGCATGCTGCATTGACACTCTATAGCATCCAAAAGTTTGGGGTGTAAAAAAAAGACACTTTTAAAGCAAAATTTGATGTTGGGAAGCCTGTCAAATATGTCATAGGGTTAAAACACTTCACTAAAATAGGACCACAGATCACCATAAAATAATAGTCATTTATTTATCCAAAGTGATAATTAAAAGATTTTAAAAACAAAATCATTTACTGTTTGATACAGGAGATTCAGTTTTCCAGTCAAAAAACCTGAGAAAGACTGCATGAGAAAAATTCTCTTTTTTACTTTCTTTATTTTAAAATTTATTCAAAAGGTGGACAAAAATATTGTACTATGTCATATTGATATGTAAAATTTTTGTTCAAAAGAAAATCAACTTTTACTTTTGTATTACTGTATTATTAATACTAAAGCTAACTTTAATAAAACCTTATAAATAAATCCATCAAATGTGTCATTTTTGGCTACTGTAGATTTTCATAAATATTTTATAGTCTATTATAATAAATTTTTCAACTTTTTATATTATATTTTTGGTTTTTTCTTTTTTCAATTTGAAACAATCATTAAGTAATTTCAAACTAGATAAAATGTTTCTAACTTTCTTCCTTAAAAGCATATTTTACTTTTGTTTATACATTCTCTATGCAGAATTGTTTTTCATACATCTAGTAGTTTTAATTATATACATATTAATTACATTAATTCTTAACAACCTTAGGTTATTTTATTCCTGCTGTCCTCTGCTCTTTTTATGGCCACGGTCTGTTCCACCTCAGAACTGAAGAGAGATGTTGGTAGGGAGAGGCTCTTCCCTCACCTCTGGCAGAAAAGGAATGTTCAGGCCCTTCAAACCCCTGTTGTCAAAGCTGCACTTTAATGTGACAGCTATTGGCCATGTATGGCTACTGGGTGTCCGGAATGTGGCTGGTCAGAACTGCGATGTGCTAGAAAGGTAAAATACAGAGTTAAAGATTTAGTTCCAAAAATATACACACTTTATTAATAATTACATATTGCTCAGATATTAATATAATATTTTTGATATAGTGGGTTAATTAAATGGTTAGAATGAATTCCACCTGTTTCTTCTTCCTTCCTTTTTTTTTTTTTTTTTTTTTGAGACGGAGTCTCACTCCGTCGTCCAGGCTGGAGTGCAGTGGCACTATCTCGGTTCACTGCAAGCTCTGCCTCCTGGGTTCACACCATTCTCCTGCCTCAGCCTCCCGAGTAGCTGGGACTACAGGCCCCCGCCACCGCGCCGGGCTAATTTTTTGTATTTTTAGTAGAGACGGGGTTTCACCGTGTTAGCCAGGATGGTCTCGATCTCCTGACCTCGTGATCCGCCCACCACGGCCTCCCAAAGTGCTGGGATTACAGGCGTGAGCCACCGCGCCTGGCCTTCTTCTTCCTTCTTGAAGTTTGACTGCTAGAAAATTTAGAATACACATGTGGCTCACGTTTTATTTCAGAGGATTGCCTCCTTTTTAAACTCTCAATCGGCCTGCTCAAAGGACCAGAATTCAGAAAGGGCATAAAATCTGGAATTTTAAAATAATTGTTATATTATTTTCATGTGTGAATAGCCACATAATATATTATTTATAAATGCATATGACTTTATATACAGGTTAAATGCAAATGCCTTCTGGGGTGGACCTGGCTCAACTCAGGGAGGAGCCCTGCCTGAAAAGGCTGCAGCTTAGGTTTCACTTTATCTTCTTCCAGCCCAGCATCTGAGCACAGCTTCTGTCACTCAGGGCCTGAGGGAGCAGGGCAGCAAACGTTATCCAATCAGGACTGCTGGGCTGGGAACCGTCCAATCAGGCACGCAGCTGGAGCGGACAGGACGGCTTCCGGGATTTGGCGGGGCCTTTGTCTCTGGCTGCAGCCGGAGCTCCTGCTCTCCTCCTCACTGCTCAGTGTCCTCTGCTCCTAGAGGCCCAGCCTCTGTGTCCCTGTGACCTGCAGATATTGGGAGATCCACAGCTAAGACGCCGGGACTCCCTGGAAACCTAGAAATGGTGAGAGTGCTGGGTCCGACATCCCGAGAGAGGGGGAGGGGCTGGTTGGAACCGATCGGAAGTGGCTGTGGCTGGACTCGGGCCTCCAAAGTCCGCGGCCCCAAGTTCTCCTTGGCGCAGCTCGGCCCTCAGTCCCCCGCGGCCCCGAGTTCTCCTTGGCGCAGCTCGGTCCTCAGTCCCCTTCAGCCGTAAGATGGCGGCTGGGCTGACAGCCGGGACCCTGGGCGTCCTGTCTCCTCCCTGCTCAGTGACTGTGCCCTGGCCTGGAGCCCTCTCCGGGCGGCTTTGCACCCGCAGCGCGGCATCTCTCCCCGATTGTGCAGGGATGCCGGGAGGGTCATCAGGGGAGAATCCTGACTCGGGATGCGGGGTTCATGAATGGGAAAAGCTTTAGTCTGTGGGGTTCCTAGTCCATCTTTTTTCTCTTAAAAATCTATGGAAGTCACCACAAAAATGTTAAAGAATTTAATCAAAGAGTAATTGAAGAATTATAGAGCACCCAGCTGTGGTTTGTAGTTTATTTTCCATGGGAGGGGCTTGAAGAAAAGACTTTTAGAAGGTGCATGATAAAGGAAAGCAAACTCAATAATTGGTTAGGTAGAGTTACGTAGTTTCTTAGTTTTAGATGAAGGTGGAAATTTTCTGGTCACGTAATCAGAGCTTAATTGGCAGTTCATGGTTGATTAAGTCTAAATTTTGTTTTCCCCAATGTAGTAATTTACAAAAAAAAAGCATTTGAGTTAGATTTTTTAAAAAGTAAAAACCCTGGGACTAGAGCCACCTCAGTCTAATTGCCTGCCATTTAGTTATTTTCACACTCCACAGGGGACAGATTTTCCCCTGCAACTTTCACGTGTCTCAAGCAGGGTCTCAAGACTACTCCCTATTCCCCATTCTTTTAGCCTAACTGACTTTCAGTAAAATGCTAAATTTCCAGTTTCCTTTGACATTCCCAAATCCCAGCTTCCCCTCCCTAATTCACATTATCAACTATTTGTCCTTTAGTGTACATTTTAGATACTGTATTTTAATTAATCATTGTTGACAAATTATTGGGTGGCACTTTAAACAAATTGTTTGCTGTTTGAAAATATTTCCAATGAGAAGAAAACAAAAAATAATCCCCTGACACTGTATTGTAAAAAAAAGTCTGTGCCTATTTTCCTTTTATCTTCCCTAGGCGCAGAGATCTTATCAGAATGTTTTTGGGTCAAGGTTTCCCTTTGGAAACTTTACAGGGTGATGTGTCCTCAGCCACCTTTCGGTTTTCTCCTGGTCCTGGGTTTCAGTACTGTCTGGGGATAAATCAAGATATCAACTGTGGCTGTGTATGCTAGAATCTCTAGTAAATTTCAGCTCCTGGCCTGGAATGGAACTCTGGGTATCTGGGAATGGGAGACAGAGGACAATCTGAGGTTGGAGTGTAGCCTCTCAAGGGAGCAGGTGGATGCCCTGGGGCTGAGAGGAATCTCCTGGTATACCCTTCCTTTGGAAAGCTAACCCTTTGAGGCATTAAGATTGTGTTCACTCAACCCGACTTCCATTTCTCAGAGGTACATTGCTGGTCAGCCAATCAGATGCTGGTATTGAGAGGAAAACTCAGAAATAATTTCTGCCCCCTGGATTCTCTAAGATTTGTGAAAGAAAAAATAGTATTCCAGAAGACAAAAAAAAAAAAAAATCAAACTTGACCCCAGTGAGATGGTACAAGAACTTGCAAAATGAAATGCACTTGGAGTAGTCACTGAGGCATAGGGCAGTGTCTACAGAGAGGGTGGTCATTGGGCACTTAAATGAGCAGGATGGGGTAGGAGAATCTAGTGTTTGGGTGGCCTGACTTGACACATGAGTCAGACACATCTGTTTTCTTTTTTTTTATTATTATTATACTTTAAGTTTTAGGGTACATGTGCATAACGTGCAGGTTTGTTACATATGTACACATGTGCCCTGTTGGTGTGCTGCACCCAGTAACTCGTCATTTAGCATTAGGTATATCTCCTAATGCTATCCCTCCCCCCTCCCCCCACCCCACAGCAGGCCCCAGTGTGTGATGTTCCCCTTCCTGTGTCCATGTGTTCTCATTGTTCAATTCCCACCTATAAGTGAGAACATGCGGTGTTTGGTTTTTTGTCCTTGCTGAGAACGATGGTTTCCAGCTTTATCCATGTCCCTGCAAAGGCCATGAACTCATCAGACACATCTGTTTTCTAATCAGCCCCGCCACTCCCTGGGTTTGTCACCTTGAAAAGATTTGTTCACTTATTTTGATTTCAGTTTTATAACTGTAACTTGCATTTTATTAGTATGATTTAAAAGTTAAGAAAATATTTACAGAGCATAAAAGAGGTGAGTTTCAGAGAAAAATAATATCTAATCATATATTCCATTTATTAAGAATTCTCATTTACCTTTTTCTTTCCCAGACTTAGTTTAGGAATTTACTCAGGTGTGTTTTTTATGGCTGGGTGATGTCCAACGGTATTCCAAGGCTTAGTTTTTAGAGTGCTAGCAGGGAAACAAAAAGGAAAAAAACCTCTCTTCCATTTTGACTGTAGAAAATGAATACATTTTTACAAGAAAATGTGGTAGATAATTGATGAGTTACATAGATTTATGAAAGCATCAGTTCCTCTTTTTGCAGGGTACTTTTGTTACAGTAAATACCTCTGTTCTATATCCTATCATCTTGATTTGTGAGGATAACGCTAATTTTTTTTTTTTTTTTTTTTTTTTTTTTTTTTTTTTGAGATGGAGTCTCGCTCTGTTGCTCAGGCTGAAGGGCAGTGGTGCGATCTCGGCTCACTGAAACCTCCGCCTTCCGGGCTCAAGCAATTCTCCTGCCTCAACCTCGCAAGTAGCTGGGATTACAGGCATGCACCACCATGCCCAGGTAATTTTTGTAGTTTTATTAGACACGGGGTTTCACCATGTTGGGCAGGCTGGCCTTGAACTCCTGACCTCAAGTGATCTGCCTGCCTTGGTCTCCCAAGGGATTACAGGCATGAGCCACTGCACCCAGCTGGTTAATGCTAAATTTTATGAGATGAAAGTTGGTACCTCCTAGAAGTATGACTTCTTGATTACTAATCCCATATGACTAATTGATTACTACCTAATTTTTAATGAAAATAATAGAATAATACATTTATCGTCTGAAAGAAATAAATACTTTGCATTTCTTACTGAGGTATGAAATGTAAGCACCTTAAAATTTCCTTCCCTTGGTTGGGTGCAGTGGCTCACGCCTGTAATCCCAGCACTTTGGGAGGCTGAGGCAGGCGGATCACCTGAGGTCAAGAGTTCAAGACCAGCCTGGCCAACATGGTGAAGCCCCGTCTCTACTGAAAAATTAGCCAGGTGTGGGTGACAGGCACCTGTAGTCTTAGCTACTCGGTAGGCTGAGGCAGGAGAATCACTTGAATCTGGGAGGCAGAGGTTGCAGTGAGCCAAGAGTGTACCACTGCACTCCAGGCTGGGCAACAGAGCGAGACTCTGTCTCAAAAAAAAAGAAAAAATAATTTCCTTCCCATATATAAATACTGTGCATAATTTTGCTGAATTTTTAAAGCAGTTTCAAAACCCAAGTGAATAACCTTGACATGGAAATTAAAGCTTATGCCCAGTGATTCCAAGCTAAGGCTAATATTGAGCCTGCAAAGGGAAGGGAGGTTATTAAAGGCCCAGTTAGTTCTTTCTTGGAAGCCTCCCCTGCTCACCCCAGCCATGGAAGAAGCCTTTATTCTGAGAGAAGCTACAGAGCCCTGGACGTCGGGGGACCCACAGGCAGATGCAGTTAACGTTAAGATGGAAGGGGAATGAGAGAGTCTTACTAAAGATGAAGTTGTTATCGTTTTGAGGCAGTATTTTACTTTTTGTAAAAACAGAATAAGGTTTCTGTAAAAAAAATTCTGAATTTTAAAGGAGTATTGCAACAGAAGGAAATACCAACTAAAAGATCTTTAAGAATTGCAAAGTTTAGGCAGACAAAGACTTTTTTTTTTAGGGAGGAGCAAAGAAGGTTAGAAAGAAGGTCACAGGGGAATGGCAAATGGAGGGTGAAAAAAATCAAATACTAGATTAGAACACTTTTATCCTGAAGTCATCAAGTCTTTAGGAGGGACAAAAAATGGGGTTGTATGTTGGCTCAGACTGAGGGTACCTCAAAGTTCAGGAGCCTGTGGAAAGGAGATAAACTTAAGTGAAGTTTGATTAAGAAGAACTTTCTTTTGACCACTGAAGAAAAATTCAGCTAATTTTTTAATATGAAAAAGAAAATATGCAGAGTGAGTGTTTGGTTATTAAACAGTTAAGAAAAAGAGTACCATCTAAGTCATAATGGGAAGGGTGTTTCTTTTCATAAACTGTTCCTGGAGAACACAAAGGATGGGGACTTTTATTAATCGCAGCTATTTACCAGGATTATCTATGTGCTTCATCTTTCCCCATCTCTTTTCTTTGTCCTATACATTTTTTCCATTTGAATTTTCCTGGGTTGTATCTTGTATAGTAAACTGGTCGACATAACCACAGTGTTTTGCAGAGTTCTGTGAGTAGCTTTATCAAATTATTGAACTTGAGGGAGTTATGGGAATTCTAAATTTTCAAACAGTAGTTTAGAAGCACTGATAGGCCCGTATGGTTTTTGACTGGCATCTGCAGTGAGGACAGTGTTGTGGGACTGAGCCCTGAATCAGGGTCTGCTGACTCTGGGGTCAGAATTCAAATGTTAAACAATGTGTTAGTTTTGGAGAATTGCTTGGTGTTAAGCAAACTTTACAGATTTGGTGCCAAAAGAAAGATATCACAGAGGCCTGGCCTGGAGTGGAACTCTGGGTGTCTGGGAATGCGACGCTCTACCCTCCTGTACACAGACTGTCACACTGCCCATTGTCCTGTGATTCCAGGTCTCCTTCCATGGTGAGAGAGGACTGAAAACTTAGAGGAAAGGAGGTCTGATTATAGACCCCCTTTTCTCGCAGCTGCCATCCCAGAATTTCCACCCACTCACAAACATACCCATTATACATTGATGTGTCCACACCCCTCCCAGGACTAGGCACCGCCCTTAGGAATTTCACTACAGCATTTTTTTATTCTAGTGTTTTTTGCCAAAAACCCACCAAAGTGTCTACAAGTCTCCTGACATATTCCTATTCCCAGACACTGAATCTGCAGCAGCAGCCTGCTCTCTCCACCAACCAAGGATTCTGGACCACCTGTTCATAATCTCATCTGCCTGCATGGACGCAAATAAATCAGAGGACAGCCCCATCTGGGCCACTATCTGTAGCACAGACCATTCCTCCCACCTACATGGCATTCTCCCCCACCCATGGATTTTTTTCCTTTTAACTTTTATTTCTGTTTTGGAGTACACATGCAGTTTGTTATATAGGTAAAATTGTGTCAGGGTGGTTTCGTGTGCAGATTATTTTATCGCTGAGATACTAAGCATAGCACCAAACAAGTATTTTTTTGATCCTTTTTGTTCTTTTTTTTTTTTTTTTTTTTGAGGCAGAGTCTCGCTCTGTTGCCCAGGCTGGAGTGCAGCGGCGCGATCTCTGCTCACTGCAAGCTCTGCCTCCCGGGTTCAGGCCATTCTCCTGCCTCAGCCTCCCGAGTAGCTGGGACTACAGGTGCCCGCCACCAAGCCCAGCTAAATTTTTTTTTGTATTTTTTAGTAGAGATGGGGTTTCACCGTGTTAACCAGGATGGTCTCGATCTCCTGACCTTGTGATCCACCCGCCTCGGCCTCCCAAAGTGCTGGGATTACAGGAGTGAGCCACCGCGCCCGGCTGGCGACCCTTTTTGTTCTTTCACCTTCCACCCTCAGCTAGGCCTCTGTTGTTCCCCTCTTTGTGTCCATGTGTTCTTATTATTTAGCTCTTATACATGAGAAAATATATTTGGTTTTCTATTCTGCATTAGTTTTCTATGGCTAATGGTCTCCAGCTTTATCCATGTTGCTGCAAAGGACGTGCTCTTGTTCTTTTTTATGGCCACATGGTATTCCATGATGTTTATGTATCATATTTTGTTTGTATTAAATATTTTGTTTTATTTTATTTTTATTATAATTATTTTTGGAGACAGGGTCTCATCTTGTCACACAGGCTGAAGTGCAGTGGTGTGATCTTGGCTCACTGCAGCCTCAACCTCCCTGGCTCAAGCAATCCTCCTACCTAAGCCCTCCAAGTAGCTGGAACTACAGATGTGTATCATTATGCCCGGCTAATTTTTCTTTTTGTATTTTTTGTAAAGACGTGGTTCTTCCACATTGCTCAGTCTGGTTTTGAACTTTTGAGTTCCGCAAATCTGCATGCCTCAGCTTACGAAAGTGCTGTGGTTACAGGTGTGAGCCACCGTGCCCTACCATACCATATTTTCTTTATCCAGTCTACCGTCGATAGGTATTTGGTTGATTCCGTATCTTTGCTATGTGAATAGTGCTGCAGTGAACATGCATGTGCATGTGTCTCTGTGATAGAATAATTTATATTTCTTTGGGTATAAACCCAATTATGAGGTGTCTGGGTCAAATGGTAATTCTGTTTCTAGTTCTGTGAGGAATCACCACACTGCTTTTCACAATGGTTGAACTAATTTACATTCCCACAGGCAGTGTACAAGCATTCCCTTTTCCCTTCAACCTTGCCAGCATCTGTTATTAACAACAGCCATTCTGACTGGTATGAGATGGTATCTCATTGTAGTTTTTCTCTGCATTTTTCTAATGATTAGTGATGAGCATTTATTTATTTATTTATTTATTTGAGATGGAGTCACACTCTGTTGCCCAGGCTGGAGTGCAGTGGCACGATCTTGGCTCACTGCAACCTCTCCCGCCTGAGTTCAAGCGATTCTTCTGCCTCAGCCTCCCGAGTAGCTGGGATTACAGGTGCCTGCCACCGTGCCTGGCTAATTTTTGTATTTTTAGTAGAGATGGGGTTTCACCATCTTGGTCAGGCTGGTCTCAAACTCCTGACCTCGTGATCCACCCGCCTTGGCCTCCCAAAGTGCTGGGATTATAGGCATGAGCCACCGCACCTGACAGAGCATTTTTAAAATTTACTTTTTAGCCACATGTATGTCTTCTTTTGAAAAGCATCTGTTCATGTTTTTTGCCTACTTTTTAATAAGGTTGTTTGTGTTTTTCTTACAAATTTGTTTGTTTCTTATGGATGCTGGATATTAGACCTTTGTGAGAAGCATAGTTTGCAAATATTTTATTTTATTCTGTAGTTTGTCTGTTGATAGTTTCCATTGCTGTGAAATAGCTAGTTTAATTACATCCTATTTGTCAGTTTTAGCTTTTGTTGCATTTGCTTTTGGCATCTTCGTCATGAAATCTCTGTCAGTTTCTATGTTAGAATGGTATTTCCTAGGTTAGTCTTCCAGGGTATTTTATAATTTTAAGTTTTACATTTAAATCTGTAACTCATGTTGAGTGATTTTTATATATGGTGTAGGAAAGGTATCCACTTTCAATGTTCTACATAGTGTTAGCTAGTTATTCTAGCATCATTTATTAAATACGGAATTCTTCCCGCATTCCTCATGTCAGCTTTGTGAGAAGACCAAATGGCTGTAGGTGTGTGGCATTATTTCTGGGCTCTATTGTGTTGCACTGGTCTATTGGTCTGTTTTTTGTTGTTGTTGTTGTTGTTTTATTTTTATTTATTTATTTTTTACCACTACCATGCTTCTTTGGTTACTGTAGCCCTGAAGTATAGTTTGAATTCAGGTAATGCAGTGCCTCCAGCTTTGTTCTTTTTGCTTGGAATTGCCTTGGCTATTTGAGCTCTTTGTTGTTCCATATGAATTTTAAAATAGGTGTTTTTTTTTTTTAAGTTCTGCTAAGAATGTTTTTGGGAGTTTGATGGGAATAATATTAGATCTGTACATTTCTTTGGGCAGTATGGCCATTTTAATAATTTTGATCTTTTCTATCCAAGAGCATAAAACGATTTTCCATTTATTTGTGTCATATCTAACTTCTTTAAGCAGTGTTTTGTAATTGTTGTTGTAGAGATCTTTCACTTTCCTGGTTAGCTGTATTCCTAAATATTCTTTTTGTAGCAATTGTGAATGAGATTGTGTTTTTGATTTGGTTTTCATCTTGGATGTTGTTGATGTAGAGGGATGCTACTGATTTTTGTGCATTTATTTTGTATTCTGAAATTTTGCTTCAGTTATTTTTCAGTTTAAAGAGCTTTTCTGTGAGGACTATAGGCTTTTCTAGATATGTTGTCTGCAAACAGGGATAGTTTGACTTGTTTGCTTACTATTTGGATGCCTTTTATTTTTGTCGCTTGCCTGATTGCTCTAGTGAGGACCACCAATTCTATGTTGAATAGGAGTGGTGAGAGAAAGCATCCTAGTCTTGTGCCAGTTTTCATGGAGAAATGCTTCTAGCTTTGTCCATTCCATATGTTGGTTGTGGGTTCCTCATAGATAACTCATTATTTTGAAGTATGTAGCTTCAGTGCCTACTTTGTTGAGGGCCTTTAATTATTTTAATGCGAAGGATGTTGAATTTTATTGAAAGCTTCTTCTGCATCTATTGCGATAATCTTGTGGTTTTTGTCTGTATTTCTGTTTATGTGATGAATCACATTTATTGATTTGTGTATGTTGAACCAACCTTATATGCCAGGGATAAAGTCTACTTGATCATAGTGGATTAGCTTTTATGATGTGCTGCTGGATTCAATTTGCCAGTATTTTGCTGATGATTTTTGCATAAATGGTCATCAAAGATATTGACCTGAAGTTTTCTTTTTTTGTTATATCTCTGTCAGGTTTTGGTATCATATGATACTGTTCTTATATAATGAGTTGGGAAGAGTGCCTTCTCAATTTTTTGGAATAGTTTTAGAAGAAATGGTACCGGCTCTTCTTTGTACATCTGGTAAAATTCAGCTGTAAATCTCTCTGGTCCTGAGCCTTTTTTGGTTGCTTGGCTATTTATTAGTAATTTAGTTTTGGAGCTTGTTATTGGTCTATTCAGGGATTCAATTTCTTTTTCTGCTCAGTCTTGGGAGGATGTATTTGTTCAGGAATTTATCCATTTCTTTTAGATTTTCTAGTTTGTGTGCATAGAGGTGTTCATAGCAGACTTCAACAGTTATTTGTGTTTTTGTGGGGTCAGTGGTAATGCTTCTTTTGTCATTTCTAATTGTGTTTATTTGGATCTTGTCTTTGTCATGAATCTAACTAGTGGTTTATTTAACTTATTAATTTTTTCAAAGATTTAACTCCTAGGTTTCTTGATCTTTTGTATAGTTTTTCATGTCTAAATTTCCTTTGGTACAGATGTGATTTTGGTTATTTCTTGCCTTCTGCTAGTTTAGAAGTTGGTTTCCTCTTGCTGCTCTCATGCTTTTGTTTATAATGTTAGTTTGTTAAATTGAGATCTTTTTAACTTTTTAATGTGAACATTTGGTGCTATAAATTTCCCTCTTAACACTGTGTCAGCTGTGTTGCAGTACTTTGTTCTCATTTGTTCCAAAGAATTTCTTGATTTCTCCCTTAATTTTGTTATTTACCAAAAAGTCATTCAGGTGCAGGTGTTTGTTTTGTGAGACAGAGTCTCACTCTGTCACCCAGTCTGGAGTGCAGTGGCACAATCTCGGCTCACTGCAACCTCTGCCTCCCGGGCTCAAGTGATTCTGTGCCTCAGCCTCCTGAGTAGCTGGGATTACAGGCATGCACCACCACGCCCGGCTAATTTTTGTATATTTAATAGAGGCAGGGTTTCACCATGTTGGTCAGGCTGGTCTCAAACTCCTGACCTCAAGTGATCTGCCTGCCTCTTCCTCCCAAAGTGCTGGGACTACAGGCATGAGCCACCATGCCCAGCCCAGGTTTTTTAATTTGTATGTAATTGTATGGTTTCAAGTGGTTTTCTTTGTATTCAATTATATTTTTATCAGGCTGTGATCTAAGTTTGTGGTTGGTATAATTTTGGGATGTTTGAATTTGCTGAGAATTGTTTTATTTCTGATTGTGGTCAGTTTTACAGTATGTGCCATATGGTGATGAGAAAAATGTATATTATGTAGTTTGTAGATGAAGAGTTTTGTAGCTGTCTATTAGGACTATTTGGTCAAGTGTTACATTTAGGTCCTGATATCTTTGTTAATTTTTTGCCTCAGTGATTTATTAGTGTCTGTGGGGTGTTGTAGTCTCCCACTATTACTGTGTCAGAATCTAAGTCTCTTTATAAATCTCTAAGAAATTGCTTTATTCATGTGCACCTGTGAAAGCAAATTAAATCTTGGGACTCCAAACTCATTAAGCCAAAGAGAGAAGTTAATCTGAGAACTGGGTCACACAAACCTGCCTTTCCCTTTTGGTTCCTAAATAAGATGGTTAAAAGATGAAAAGCTGCATACCTCCCCCCATATGTGTCCACAGTAAAATTCCTAGTGAGCTGCAGATCTTTACCCCAAGGTGTTTCTGTTAAAATTTTATCATAGAAATGTAAATTGATAGTTTATAGGTTCAGTCACTCCCCTTTCCATCAGACACAGATGCCTATCTGTTCCTCTGCCCCATTTTGTCTATGTTATCTTATGTAAAAATTCAGGTTCCCTGCATTTTTCTTCTGCCCTATTTGTCTGTGTCATCTTATGTTAAAAAAAATGCAGATTCACTGAGCCAGACAAAGGCATGAATGACTGTATTTTTCTATCCTCTTCTTACATGAAAATTGTATACTTACCAACATCCCACCCTTTTCCTTTTAAATATGAAGTCCTCAAAATGATCTTAGAAGAAAGACATAGACTTGTCTCCAGGGCACACCTCCTTAACTTTGGCAAAAAACCTCCTAAAATGATTGAGATTTGTCTTGTCATTTTTCTGGATTAACATACCCATGGATTTTTTTTTTTTTGAGATGGAGTTTCACTCTTGTTGCCCAGGCTGGAGTGCAGTGGCATGATTTTGGCTCACTGCAACCTCCATCTCCCAGGTTCAAGCCATTCACCTGCCTCAGCTTCCCAAGTAGCTGGGATTACAGGCATGCATCACCATGCCTGGCAAATTTTTGTATTTTTAGTAGAGACGGGGTTTTGCCATGTTGGTCAGGCTGGTCTCGAACTCATGACCTTAGGTGATCCACCCGCCTTGGCCTCTCAAAGTGCTGGGATTACAGGCATGAGCCACCGCACCTCGCCGGATTTTTTTTTTTATAACACCTTTCTCTCTTCTATTTTTTTTTCTGATAACATTCTTTCAGTTGCATACAGTGTGCAAAATTAAGATGTCCAAGAGTTCGGCTAGGCGTGGTGGCTCACGCCTGTAATCCCAGCACTTTGGGAGGCCGAGGCGGGCGGATCATGAGATCAGGAGATCGAGACCATCCTGGCTAACACGGTGAAACCCTGTCTCTACTAAAAATACAAAAATTAGATGGGCGTGGTAGTGGGTGCCTATAGACCCAGCTACTTGGGAGGCTGAGGCAGGAGAATGGTGTGAACCCGCAAGGCGGGGCTTGCAGTGAGCCAAGATCAAGCCACTGCACTCCAGCCTGGGCGACAGAGCAAGACTCTGTCTCAAAAAAAAAAAAAAAAAAAAAAAGGATGTCCAGGAGTTCAAAAACATGTCCAGAGACCTGTCTGTTGTAGGAGAAAATAAAAATTAGAAATAAGAGGCTTTATTCTCCTATGTGAAAAATAAGGGAGGATATTTTGCTAATCTCTTTTTTCTTAAAGGATTTAAATTATACATAGATTTTTGTCTTTGTTGTTTTGAACGATACATAAATTATATTAACAGCTAAATAAATTTTTGGTCATTGTTCTTGATTTGGGATTGTCTTTATCTGAGACCTCAGGTTTATTGCTTTGTTTTTGCTTTGGCAAATTTTTTAAAATTTTTTAATCTTTTAAAGTAGACACAGATTTGTTTAAATCAAAACTCATTTTAAGAGCACACAAAAGTTGAGCACAAAGATAGTATTAAATTTAGCAGTACTGAATAATGAGGACTAAAAAATGCTGAGTAAATTCCTTTGACAGAAAATGGATTATCCAACGTAATTATCTAATATTTGCAGGCTAAAATACTTCCATTGCAAAAGCGAGGTTCAGTGTATGAACCGAACAGTGGAGTATGTAGTTGTTCTTTGGTTTCTATTTATTACTTCAGAACAATTAGCATAGTTAGGTGTAGCATTTGTAGACAAACTGCATTCATATCAATTGAACAGTATTTTCTACACTAGTATAAATGTAAGGCCACAATATTTACTTTGAATGAATCCCTTAGTCATTTTAGTATTGTTATTCATACTTTCAAAACATAAAGTGTTTTAATTGAATTATGGTTACAGACAATATTTTAAAATCCTACATACATTATGACTAGTACACTAAAATTATTTATACTTAGGTATTTTATCCAATGTGAAAGAAAATTTACTACCAAATTATTATAGTAGATATTAGTATGATATGCTTACTAGTTTATTCAATAGAGATAATATTAGGGAAGCATGATTTTAGTGTCTTTTATTTCACTAAATTGGAATGCTGCTATTACAAGACAAATAAGGGTGATGTGGCCACTCAAAAACCATAATAGCTCTTCACTTAGCCATGATGCAAGCTCAAATATATTCCACTATATTAACAAAGTCATATTCCAATTGTTCATCAAAATGTTTTGGTGGAAATTGTCAGGCATATTCCAGTATAGATCTCCCATTCAATGGCTAGAAGATAAGAGAGCAGCAGAGATGAAAGAGGAACCTTACTTTGTGTTATGGTGTAGTCTGGATTGAAGAGACGACCCAAGCAGGCTTTGTGTGAGCAGTGAGGCTATTTATTCACTTGGGTGCGAGCTCACACGAAGCCTGCTTGGGTTTTCTCTTCAATCCAGACTGTGCCATAACACACATTTGATGCTGAAATCCGGGATAGGGGAACTCCTTTGGGAGTCGTGTCCCTTAACCCCTTCCCCCGACTTCTTGAAGAGACCCACCCGCGACCTCGGTACCTCGGACCAGCTCTGTAAAAGCCCCGCCTCTGCCTTCGGATAGGTAAGAGACCTCCATCCTTTCTCAAACTTTCCTTTTCTTAGAGAGGAGAGGACACTCACTGTCTGTGTTTCCTAAATCTAACATTGGTCATGGATTATCTCTGGGAAGACAGGCTTCCCTAGGTGACTGGTCAACCACAGGGACATGTGCCTTGGCCACTCATCCACTGCACAACCCAGATGGGGACACCTGCTGAAGGTCCTTGTGGTTGCTCTCCTCCTCGTTTCTCTCTCCCTGTCTCTCTGTTTCTTCAGTCCTCCGCTGTTCATTATGGGCACCCTTCCACCCTCCATTCCTCCTCCTTGTCCTTTGGACTGTGTCCTTAGGAATCTAAAACCGCTCCGTCTTTCACCTGATTTGGAACCTAAACATCTCATTTTCTTCTGTAATATGGCCTGGCCCCAATATAAATTAGACAGTGGCTCTCAGTGGCCAGAAAATGGCACTTTCAATTTCTCTATTTTGTGGGACTTAGACAACTTTTGTCACAAAATGGGCAAATGGTTTGAGGTTCCATACATCCAGGCATGTTTTACACTTCGGTCCCTCCCCAGCCCTTGTTCCCAATGCAATTTGTCTCAAATTCTCCTTCTGTCCCGCCCATCTGCTCCCCTACCACCCTCTGGCGACAGCGAGTCCTTCTTGTCCACAGACCCTTCCGATATTTCTCCTCCCTGCCCGTCCGACTCCGGTCCCAACCCTTCTCCAGACCCCAGTCCCCCTTCTACCCATACCATGCCTCCCTATATCCCTTCTGTCCCTACTCTGCCCCATACCCGAACTGGCTGACAATTTGGTCCCACTTCTAATCCCCCTCCTCCCACCCCACTATTTCCCCTTTGAGAGGTGGCTGGAGCTGAAGGGATAGTCCGAGTTCATGTTTCTTTCTCCCTGTCTGACCTGTCTCAGGTCAGCCAGTGTTTAGGTTCTTTTCCATAAGACTCCACTAAATATATCCAGGAATTTCAATATTTAACTCAGTCTTATAACCTCACCTGGAGTGACTTAAATGTCATCCTCACTTCTACACTCACTCCTGAAGAATGGGAGGGTGTTTGGGCCCTAGCTCAGTCCTATGCAGGTGACCACTGGCGCCTTGAGCCAGGTCTCCAGGGAGGTCCCCCGTGAGGACCCCCAGTGGAACTATCAAACAGGATCTCCTGGTATGGCCGGGCGAGATTATATGATCACTTGCTTAGTAGAGGGACTCCAAAAAGCTGCGTATAAGGCTGTCAATTATGATAAGTTAAAAGAAATCACTCAGGGCAAGGACGAAAATCCAGCCCAGTTTGTGGCCCATCTGGCCATAAATCCAGCTTTAGACCCTGAAGGGCCAGGGGCCAGAAGGCCGACTCATGCATTTTATTACCCAGTCAGCTCCCGACATTAGAAAAAAACTTCAAAAATTAGAGTCTGGCCCTCAAACCCCACAACAGGATTTAATTAACCTTGCCTTTAAGGTGTTCAGTAACAGGGAAGAGGCTACCTGGTGGCAGCGTGTTTCTGAATTACAGATGCTTGCCTCCGCCGTAAGACGAACCCCAGCCACACCAATGGCCTGTAGGGATTTCAAGGCATCCAGACCGCAGCGCCCAGCAGCCCCTCCAGGGCCATGCTTCAAGTGCCATAAAAATAGTCACTGGGCCAAGGAATGCCTGCAGCCTGGGGTTCCTCCTAAGCCATGCCCTGTTTGTGCAGGCCCTCACTGGAAGTCAGACTGTCCAACTCAAGCTGCCATCCCTAGAGCTCCTGGAGCTTAACCCCACAGCCCCCTGGCTGACTCCTTCTCTGATCTCCTCGGCTTGGCGGCTGAGGAATGACACTGCCCGAACACCTCGGAGGCCCCATGGACCATCATGGACCTCGGGTAACTCTTAAGGTGGAGGGTAAGTCCATCCCCTTTTTGATCGATATGGGGGCCACTCACTCCACCCTGCCCTCCTTTCAGGGACCTGTCTCCCTAGCCTCCATGACTGTTGTGGGAATTGACGGCAAAGCCTCCAGACCTCTCCAGACTCCACTTGTGTGTCAACTAGATCAGCACTCCTTTTTGCACTCCTTTTAGTCATCCCCACTTGTCCAGTCCCTCTCCTCGGCTGAGGCATCCTAACAAAACTGTCTGCCTCCCTCACTATTCCTAGGCTACAGCCACACCTCCTTGCCACCCTTCTCCCCAACCCTTCACCATCCCCACAAGCTCCTCTAACGTCTCCCTTCCTCAACCCCAGGGTCTGGGATATCATCTCTCCCTCCCTTGCTACAGATCACTCCCCCCTTATCATCCCTTTAAGGCCAAACCATCCTTACCCTGCCCAATGCCAGTATCCTATCCCTATGCCACCCCTAAAAGGCCTAAAGCCTTTTTACCCACTTTTTACAACATGGCCTCTTAGTACCCATTAACTCTCCCATCCTTCCCTTTCAAAAACCAGACAAGTCCTACATATTAGTTCAAGACCTTCGTCTCATCAATCAGATTGTACTTTTCATCCATTCTATAGTGCCAAACCCATATACTCTCTTGTCCAGAATACCTCCCACCACTACCTATTATTCCGTTCTCAGCCTAAAAGATGCCTTCTACACCATTCCCCTACATCCCTCCTCTCAACCTCTTTTTGCCTTCACCTGGACTGACGCTGACACCCATCAGTCCCAACAACTAACCTGGACCATTCTTCCCAGGGCTTCCGGAATAGCCCTCATTATTTTAGCCAAGCCCTTGCCTGCGACCTACTCTCTTTTCAGCCTTCCTTTTCCTACCTCATCCAGTATGTCGATGATCTCTGCAGTCTCTCCTAGGAATCCTCCCAACAGAATATCCTCCTACTCCTTCAGCATTTAGACTCTAAAGGGTACCGAATGTCCCCTTCTAAAGCTCAAATTTCTTCCCCTTCTGTTATTTGTCTCAGCATAATTCTCCATCAGCACACCCGCACTCCCCCCGCTGACCGTATTCACCTAATCTCCTAGACCCCAGTCCCTTCAAAAACAGCAGCTTCTCTCCTTCCTAGGCATCATTGGGTACTTCCACCTCTAGGTACCTGGTTTTGCCCTCTTAACAAAACCCCTTTATAAGCTTACAAAAGGCAACCTAGCTGACCCCATAGACCCCAAACCTTCCCTCATTCATCCTTTCACTCCCTGAAAAAAGCTCTTGAGACAGCCTCCTCACTGGCGTTCCTCGACTCCACCCAGCCCTTCTCTCTACATGGCAGAGGTAAAGGGATGTGCAGTTGGGGTCCTAACACAAGGGCCAGGCCCACGACCAGTGGCCTACTTATCTAAACTTGACCTCACAGTCCTAGGCTGGCTGCCCTGTTTACATGCTGCAGCGGCCACTGCCCTAATACTCCTAGAATCCCTCAAAATCACTGGTTACACCCCAGTTACCCTCTATAGCGCTCACAACCTCCAGAGTCTCATTTCTTCCTCTCACCTCACACAACTACTCTCCTCCCATCTCCTCCAGCTTTATTCACTCTTTATTTTAAACCCCATGCTAACCATTGCTCTTGGACCCAGTTTCAACCCAGCCTTTCACTTAGCACCCAACACATGTCCTGAGCCACATGACTGCATCTCCTTAATACACATGGCATCCTCCCCCTCTCCTCACATTTCTGTTTTTCCAGTCCCAAACCCAGATCACACTTGGTTTATTGATGGTAGTTCTTCAAGACCCAACCAATTTTCGCCAGCCAAGGCAGGTTATGCTATTTGTTGTGTCCCACACATCTGTTATCGAGGCTGCTGCACTTCCACCCTCCACCACCTCTCAGCAAGCTGAACTAATTGCTTTAACTCACGCTGTCTCTCTCTAAGGGAATGCACGTCAATATTTATACTGATTCCAGGTATGCTTTCCACATCCTTCATCACAGTGCTGCCATCTGGGTGGAAAGAGGTTTTCTAACCACACAAGGGTCTTCCATTATCAATGCCTTTCTCATAAAGGCCCTCCTTAAGGCTGCTCTTCTGCCAGCCAAGGCTGGAGTTGTCCACTGCAGAGGATGCCAAAAACCAACAGACCCTATCACTAAAGGAAATGCCCATGCCAGTAAAACAGCAAAAGAGGTGGCAAACACCTCAGTGTCTGCAGACGTTCCAGTCTCTGCTCCAAAAGACCAGTATATTTCTTTCTCATCTATTATCCCTACCTACTACTCTTCTTCTGAAAACCTGCTCTGCTAGTCCTTTCCAACTCACAAGGCAAGTGGTTCTTAGATCATAGAAAGTTCCTTCTTCCTGCCTCACAAGCGCAATCTATTCTCTTATCCCTCCATGACCGCTTCCATGTAGGATACAAGCCTTTGGCTCGCCTCCTAGAGCCCCTTATTTCTTTCTCATCATGGAAGTCCGTCCTTAAACAATCACTTCTTAATGTTCTGTCTGCCACTCCAAGGTTTTCTTAGGCCCCCTCCTTCCCCAGCACATCAGGCCTGAGGGTTTACTACTACACAAGATTGGCAAATTGACTTCACTCATATGCCTCGTGTCAAAAAATATAAGTACCTCCTAGTTTGGGTTGATACCTTCACCAGATGGGTCGAGGCCTTCCCTACTGGATCTGAAAAGGCTGCAGCAGTTTTTACCTCTCTTCTAACAGATATTGTTACCTGTTTCGGCCTCCCTACTTCCATCCAATCTGACAGTGGTCCAGCCTTCATTAGCCAAATCACCCAGGCAGTTTCCCAGGCCCTTGGCATCCAGTGGAATCTCCACACCCCATACCATCCTCATTCCTCAGGAAAGGTTGAAAGAGCCAACGGCCTCTTAAAAACTCACCCTCCAACTCCGAAAGGACTGGACTGTTCTCCTACCACTTGTGCTTCTCAGGATCTGAGCCACCGCCCATGAACCTACCAGGTATAGCCCATTCGAACTCTTATATGGTAGTACTTTTCTACTGGGGCCCAACCTCATCCCAGACACCAGTCCTCCAACAGGCTAGGAATGAAATCTGTCAGGCTGCTAACCTTCTTTTACCCACCTCAGATACCCAGCCATATGAGGACACTCTGGCCAGACAGCCCATCCTGATAAAGAGCTTAACCCCCTGATCTCTACAACCTCAGTGGACAGGACCCTTCCTGGTCGTTTATGGTACCCCAATGGCTGTCTGCTTACAAGATCCTCCTCAGTGGATTCACCCTTCCAGAGTAAAGCTGTGTCCATCTGACACTCAGCCTGACCCTTCTTCCTCCTCTTGGAAGTCGCAAGTACTCTCCCCGACCTCGTTAAAACTCACCGAAATCCCTGAAGAAACTTAAATGTCCTGCTCCTGTCCGCCCTGCTTCTTCACCCTCTTCCTCCACTCTATTTGCCAAGACATCTCCTGGTTTCATCCCCAAACTCCCACCTTAGATTCTCTCTTAAACTGGATAGATGATCTCATCTTTTAGGGCACTCTGTATAACTTCTTCCCAGATGAGACGCCTCTGTTTACCTTCCTACTCACTCTTTATCTATCCCTCCTGCTCCTTTGGCTACCTGGCATGGCCGCACTCCCACTTCCAGTAATGCCTAATTACCTCTACAAAACTCTCAACCCACTCTCTGTTAAACCAGTCCAACCCTTCTTTGGCAAAGGACGCTGGCTTTGCATTTCTCTATCAGCTACCACTTACGTTGCCACTCTCATTCCCACAAAAAACTGGGTAGTTACTAGCTTAACCTACCACCCTCGTAATGAAGGAAAAAGCCCCTTCTAACTCCTACATATGCAGTCATTGGCCAACTTCTCCATCAATGAAATGACCGAAAATACCCTGACAGGTCGTGCAGTTCAACTTTTACGCTCCTACATGTCCAGCCTCACCCATTACACAAGTAATGAAAAGCCCATACACGGCCCTGTGACTACAAACGCTGTCTTAACTTTCCAAGCCCCTTTATGCATCCAACACAACCTGTCATCAGGCCTACCTCTAGGTCACCTACTGTTCCATCAGTGCAACTACGCCTTGCAGCTTCAAGCCCCAACTGACTGTATTAACTTCCAGGTCTCCCAAACAGCTACATTCAAACAGCCTGTCCGCTTCTCAAAGCCCCCAGAAGTCATCAGCACCTCTCTGCTTAACAAACAATCCGGGTTTTGTAATGGCAGGCATACGCACTGCATGACCATTCACCCCTGGACCTCCTGCAGCAGCACTCCCACCACTGACGAATGCCTCCTTATCCCCTCTTTCGATTACCCTTCTGAGTGGCTCCTAGTAGATACAAAATGATTTTTCCTCCAATGGGAAAATAAAACACAGGGAGCCACTCAGCTTATCCCAAACATCCCTTTTCAGCCGCTCACTGGGGCCGCCTTGGCAAGTACCCTAGGGGTGTGGGAAAATGAAAACAAATTCACACACCTTTTTAACATACACAGCCAGTTCTGCCTACCCAGCCAAGGCATATTCTTCTTGTGTGGAACTTCAACCTATGTCTGCCTCACCACTAACTGGACAAGCACCTGTACCCTAATCTTCCTAAGCCCCAAAATTGACATTGCCCCTGGAAACCAAACCTTACCAGTCCCTGTCAGAGCCCAAGTCCATCAGCATAGGGCTGTGCAGATAATACCCTTGCTTATAGGACTAGGAGTTACCAATGCCACAGGAACTGGAATAGCAGGTTTGTCCCCTTCCCTGTCCTACTATCATACACTCTCAAAGGATCTCTCAGACAGCCTACAAGACATAGCAAAATCCACCCTTACTCTCCAATCCCAAATAGACTCCTTAGCAGCAGTAACTCTGCAGAACCACCGTGGCTTAGACCTCCTAACCGTCGAAAAAGGTGGGCTATGCACCTTTTTAGGGGAAGATTGTTTTTCCACCAACCAGTCTGGACTAGTACGAGATGCTGCCTCGCAGTTAAATGAAAAGGCTTCTAAAATCAGACAATGTCTTTCAGACTTTTAACACCAATCTTTGGAGCTGGGCGTTGTGGCTTCTCCCTATAGCTGGGCCCCTCATTTCCATCATTCTCCTTCTCCTATTTGGACCCTGCCTCTTCCGTCTAGCCTCTCAGTTCCTACAAAATCTCATTCAAGCTATTACCAATCAATCTATGCGACAAATGCTACTCCTAACTGCCCCTCAATGTCACCCCCACCCCAAGATCTCTCTCCCAATTAGGAGTCCATGCCGCCCCAAGTCCCGCTCGAAGAATCCCTGAGAAACATCACCCCGTCCACTTCTTTTCTTATTAAAACAAAAAGACAGGAATGTCATATCCCACAAATATGGCTGCATTATTGCCAGCAGGCCATTATTGACGGTGGGCCATTAAGAACTCTGTGACCAGCACATATGCCTCCAGACTTCCTGGAACCAGAAAACCTGCAACAACCAAAAACCACAAAAGAAGAACAACGGGTTTCTGTTCCAACTGGTTGATCAACTTCTTGAGTCAACAAGTCCCAAAACCATGTTGTAATTTTCCACCCGCCACTTTGCCCTGTAAAGACTGCTCTCCCTCACACCTCCGGGCTGACTCCCTTTTCCGATTCAGCCCACTAACACCCAAGTGAATAAACGGCCTTGTTGCTCACACAAAGTCTGCTTGGGTCTTCAATCCAGACCACGCTGTAACACACACTTACAAAATTCTGCTGAGAATATGCCCCCCGTTATTCATAATGCTCATGTTTTTCATACTGAGGGTAGCTGTGCACTTTGGGTTTTTACAGAGAAATGTGTTTTAGGGGAAGTTTTTCTGGCTGACTTGTTCAATCATATCTAATCTGAGTTTTTTTCTTAAGATGCTTTTCTTTTTTTTTCCCTCTCAATATAATCATTTTCAGAGTGAGCTGTTTTTCTCTTGAATGCATTGGGTGTCTGTTTTGGAAGCCCTATTACTATCCCATGGTGTCTGTTAATGAGGTGGGCTGTCATAGTGAGAACTCTTGGAGCTATCTCTATATGGACTCATGCTGGAAATCCAGCAGAGTGATTTCCATGTCACCATTACAAATAAAAAACTGAGGCTTAAACACTGCACCCATTCCCATTATTGTGAAGGTGCAATTCTACCCAGGAGGCCTGCAGGCTCTCCTCCTGCAACTCAGGCTTCATTCTCTGATGTGGCATTGAAGTGCTGCTGTGGCAGTTGGGGTTATATATAGGGTGCCAGGTGTGAGCTGTGTGCTGGGGGCTCTGCCTCAGTGGCAGATGGTAGGAGTCAAGAGAGGACACAAGCTACCAGGAGACGGCAAGCAGGAGGCACCTGGCTTTAAGTTGCAAAATTACCTTTTGTCATGAAGATGTGAAAAGTGTATTTTGTCATTGATTATAACCAATTAGCATATATGGATGACCTCCCAAATTACCAGGTGAATTTATGATGAACTATGTATGACATGTGCTGTAAATTTTTCTACTTGTGGACTAATTATTGTGACCGTCTTTCTGTCTTTGCAATCTCTTAAGCAGATTGACTGTGATGCATGTCACATTCTGGTTGAATTGTGTAATAAAACAGCTTTCTTTCTGTTCTATCATTGTGGAGTTACTCTGGAGCTGGAGAAAATTTTTCTTTTATTTATATTTTCCAAACACTGTCTAGAATTACCACACATGATATAAACATATAAGGTGCCAACCAAGCTTTAATCCAGAGGAGGCTTTTCCTTTCAGGCTTCCAGTCAACTCACAATTGTGCTGCAAAATGCATGCTGTCCCCTAAATATGCAGGCAGAATTGTGTCTCTGTCTATTTGGTGTTATAGTCCTCTACAGTCACCTCTAGAGAGCTAGGCCAGATTTCTACATACTTCACAGGGCAGCAGTTAACCATTTTACCTCTTTCAATGACTCTTGTATCTTTAGACCAGAAACTGCTTCAGAGATCATGGGACCCAGAAACCCAGAGTAACGTGTGCCTTAAGTAGACATGAGAATCTCCATATTTTTTCCCTTCCTCCTCTTTTTTTTTTTTTTTTTGACATGGGTTCTCACTCTGTTGCCCAGGCTGGAGTGCAGTGGCATGATCTCGGCTCACTGCAACCTCCACCTTCTGGGTTCAAATGATTCTTCTGCCTCAGCCTCCTGAGTAGCTGGGATTACAAGCACGCACCAAGACGTACAGCTAATTTTTGTATGTTTAGTGGAAGGGGGGGTTTCACCATGTTGGCCAGGCTGGTCTCAAACTCATGACCTCAGGTGATCTGCCTGCCTCGGCCTCCCAAAGTGCTGGTGTTACAGGTATGAGCCACCACACCCAACCCCTTCTTCCTCTTCTTAAAATACCCACAAATGTGTGGATGACACCTACTGCTACTGCACCCATCCAGGAACTAAATTTGCAGCTCCAAATTCTGAATCAGGGTCTTAAGATTTGGGAAAAAATAAAACCTTTTATCTGAGAAATGCAAATTCTTTTAGTTATAAGGTTCAGAGACATTAAAATAATACCACAATTATGTATTTCTCTGTTCTTTGAGCTAAGAATTTATCTCTTGAAACTGCTTGCTATTGCCACAAGTAGGTATAAATTAAACTAATAATGACACACTGGATCCTGTAACCCACACCCTATAGCTTAACAATGTTTATCCAATCAATAATCAATCTTATTTTTTTGTAAACAAATGAGAGTTTCTGACAAACAACTTTGTATCAGCCCACCCTCTTTCCCTCTCTTTTTGCCTTTACAAATCCACTTGCAGCTGCGCTAATCAAAGTGTAGATTCCTGGCAACATGAATCTTTGATCCCAGGTTACAATTCCCAATCTTGGCTCAAATAAACTCTCTACTTATATTCATGTAGCTTCAGCTTTTTCCTTTCAAGTAGACATATTATTTAGAATGTGCTAGAGCAGCCTCTATGAGGCGATCTCTCCTTTGGTTGTGCTCCACTTGCTGTAACACCCAAAAATGCAGAGGCAGGCTGCTCCCACCTAGAATCTGTACATAAGGTCTGGCCTCTCCCTGGAATTTACAAGACAGGGCCAGACTCTGGTTTGAGAAAGTACAGAAAACCAACAGGAGACATTTTCTGCATTGTGAGATGTCAACATAGACATCTTAAAGCTTCCCTTTGAGAGTGTTGCTCTTAGAACTTTTCAGATCTTGTTCAGTGACCTGCTACAGTTATGTGAGAGGATCCAGGTGTAAATAGAATCTGATGACAGATTCTGTAAGCGTAAACAAGCATCTTAGGGGTGAGAGATGAAGGCCACAAAGTATCGAGAGTCATGATCACAATTATACCTACCCGTAAAATGTAATACTGGACTAGAGTATTTTTTCTTTCCTTTTGCCCAAGAGCTAGCTAATTAGGACCCGTAATCTGGAGCTCCACTGTGGCAGTTCCACTTTCTATTTAGAATCAGCCTGAGTCTCTCCTGCCTGCCTTATCCTTGGCCATCAGCCCAGGGTCACTGGGAACTCTCTCACAATCACCTAGGCATCTTTGAGATATTTGAGGATGTCCAGAGCAGAATTGTGTCAGGTTGACAAGAGTGGTTAATTCTGCCTCTGTCTCAGTGTAAGAGAAATGAGACATCCTGTGTTTGCTCCTCCCCTCATACAAGAGATGTCTTTGGTTGGTATCCAGTTGAGAGTTTCCCAGTTTCCTGATAGTTGGATGAAAAACAAGGAGGAGGTCTGGAGACTCAAGCAGATAAACTAATTGCTACCATTTCATATGGCCCTTAGAAAAATAGATAAAGCAGTCATGGTCCCTACCATCTAGGAACTGTTAGTCTAGACTAGCAACTGAATACGTGGTTGAATTAAGCATCATATGGTTGGCAAAGTGAATAGATGTGTGGGAAAACGTGTGGGCTTTATTTGGGCCACTTTCTTTATATCGTTGTGACTTCTGAGGTCATCATTTGAATGAATGTTTATGACCACAAGAGTTTTAAATATTTTTATTTCTTTTACTTTGCTAAGAATACATATTTATCTTATAATAAAATTACCCTAGAAAACCCCAGGAGATTTGTTTAAATGGCTAATTAGTATATTTACACAGTTGATGGGTTGAGCAGAGTAATATATAGGGTTTACTCCCAGCTGCAGTTCTGTTCAGATTCACCCTTTTTGGAGGCTTTATTTAGGTCTGGCCCCACCCTGGAGTCTTGCCTCACAGAACTGATTAGAAGAGATCAGAGTTTTGGCTGGTGCCTTTCCGGAGTGGTTGCTAACAATTCCCGAATTCCACAAGGAGATAAATGGGAAAAAAAGGTATGCATTTTAGGGTCCTAATTTTTAAAATTTTTTATTAAAACCAGTATTTGCAGAGACATTCCATTTAGCAATGTGTTTTCTATTCCTGCAGATCCAGTAGTTTCCCACAAGTCACAAAAAAATAAACACAGTGAAAATTTATCTAAACCACATTAAACTGTCCTTTTCTGTATCCCTCTCATCTGACTATATTTAGCTTTTATCCTATACATTTTTTTATTCTTTTTTTTTTGAGACAGAGTCTCACTCTGTTGTCAGGCTGGCGTGCAGTGGAGCAATCTCAGCTCACTGCAGCTTTTGCCTCCCGGGTTCCAGCAATTCTCCTGCCTTAGCCTCCCTAGTAACTGGGATTACAGACATGTGCCACTGCACCCTGCTAATTTTGTATTTTTAGTAGAGACGGGGTTTCACCATGTTGGTCAGGCTGGTCTCGAACTCTTCAACCTCAGGTGATCCGCCTCTGCCTCCTAAAGTGCTGGGATTACAGGCGTGAGCCACCGCGCTCGGCCTAATTTTTGTATTTTTAGTAGAGACGGGGTTTCACCATGTTGGCCAGGATGGTCTCAATCTCTTGACCTCGTGATTTGCCTGCCTTGGCCTCCCAAAGTGCTGGGATTACAGGCATGAACCACAGTACCCGACTATCCTATACATTTTTTTAAAAATTCAATGACAGCTTATGGCTGCTTGGTAAATGTGTGTGTGTTTGTGTTTTTCAGGAACCACTGACATTTAAAGATGTCGCCATAGAATTCTCTCTGGAGGAGTGGCAATGCCTGGATACTGCACAGCGGGATTTATATAGGAATGTGTTGTTAGAGAACTACAGAAACCTGGTCTTTTTGGGTGAGGATAACTTCAATACACAATTCCCAAAATACCCTTAAAGTTTTATTTCTCTATTTCTGTAGACTGTTTTCTGGTAATTTATGCTTTGCATAAATGAGTTTCAGATCTCTGTTTTCAAGAAAATCCTTGAGATTTCTTTGTGTAGAAAATAATTCCTTCAAGATACTTCATCTTGACCTGAACTTTTCACATTAGTGAGCTAATCTGTATTTTTCACTCTAGATTAGTGATAATTCCAGAAATTTAGTGGCATGAAATATTGTTGCCCACGCCTTAAAATCTAATTTCCAACACCAATTTTTGATTCAATAGTACCAGATAGTAAAATTTAAAACCTACACATTTAAAATATTTTCTGAATATTTAGAAATATATGTTATAAATTAGTATTTATTCTATTACATCCTCTTTACTGAGCACCTTACTGGATTAGTAATTGGAGAATATGATTAAGATTCATGTTATATATTTATTTTCAATAAAACAGGTATTGCTGTCTCTAAGCCATATCTGATCACCTGTCTGGAGCAAAAAAAAGAGCCCTGGAATATAAAAAGACATGAGATGGTAGCCAAACCCCCAGGTAGGTGAGAGTGAAAGTGAATACAACAGATGACAAAGATGAAAGGTCAAAGGTCAAAGAAAAAGCCAGTCCTTAAAATATGATTTGGGAAGCTGTGTTCCAAAGGAAATAGTTTCTGGAAAGCCTGAGTTTTTTTTTCTTTTGCTGTCACATAGGGCATCTTCTGTCTTATGCTTTTAAATTCTCTAAGGATTCTACTTTCCCTTCAGTGATCTTTCTTCAAGTTCACAGTGACAGCCAAAGTTCTTTTCATGGCATATAAGAGAGTGCACAATCTGACTTTTTTATTGTTTTGGGGGACACACATACATCTGCATAATTTTGAAAACCTCTATGTTAAACTTTTTTAAGTTATTTTTTGCATCATATCTGAAATGTGTGAGTAGTGGTTTCTGTTCCATTGGGTTTTCTTTTATTTGTTGATTTTTCTGCCATTCCATTCTGTTGTTATTACTATAGTCTTGAAATATAGTTTGAAATTATAAACTATGATGTTCTTCTGCTTTGTTCTTTTTTCACAAAATTGCTTTGGCTCTTCAAAGTTTATTGTAGTTTCATGTAAATTTTAGAATTCTATTTTTCATTACTGTGAAAATAATGCCACTGGAATTTCAATAGGGAGTTTATTGAATCTATAGATCACTTTGGAAAACATGGTGCTTTATCAATATTTATTATTTCAATCCATATTCATAAAATATTTTAAAATTTATTTGTGTCTTCTCTAATTTCTTTCATTGTAAATTTTTTTTACCTCCTTGGTTTAATTTGTTCTCAAGAATATATTATCTTAATGGTATTATAAATAGGATTGTGTTCTTCCTCTGTTTTATCAGATAGTTTGTTTTGAGTGGATGGAACCATAATTTATACTTGTATGTTAATTTTATATTTTGGTAATTTGCTAAGTATATTTATCAGTTTTGATGGGTTTTAATGTACTGTTTATGGTTTTGTATGTGTAAGAGTATATGATCTGCAACCAGCAACTTTTTACTTGTCTTCAATTTCAGTGTTGTTTTATTTTATTTTATTTTTCTTTATTTATTTATTTGTGAGACAGAGTCTTGCTCTGTCGCCCAGGCTGGAGTGCAGTGGCGTGATCTCGGCTCACTGCAAACTCTGCCTCCCGGGTTCACACCATTCTCCTGCCTCAGCCTCCTGAGTAGCTGGGACTACAGGCGCCCTCTACCACACTCAGCTAATTTTTTTTTTTTTTTTTTTTTGTATTTTTAGTAGAGATGGGGTTTCACCATGTTAGCCAGGATGGTCTCGATCTCCTGACCTCATGATCTGCCCGTCTCGGCCTCCCAAAGTGCTGGGATTACAGGCGTGAGCCACCACGCCTGGCCAGTTTTTTTTTTTTTTTTCTTAACTAATTCTTTTGCCACATACTTTCAGTGCTATGATAAAAGCATTGACAATGGGCACAATATAGTTTTGCACTGGTGTCTGTGAATTTGAAAGAGCAAAAACCTCTTTAAGTTTTTATAAACTAATTTTAGGAGGTAAAGATCTTTTGTTGAGCCCCCAGGTGATGGGATGCCCTCTGGGTTTGTAGTGGAGAGGGGTTGTAGCTTAGTCACAAGGATGTTGGGTCTGCACTAGGGTCCACCTTTATTGGCTTGTTACTAGAAGCTTGGGTAGTTTTAATTCCCATTTTAGTTTTGGATAGACTGAATGTCCTTCAGGATGTTGCTCTGCAGGGCAGATATTAGGGCATGTTTTTGCAGTCGGGTCTGCATATGGTAGGCCTTATATCAGGATGTGGATGAGTATGGTTTTCACTGAATACCAGAGAGGATTTTTCCAGGTCACTGTGTGGGTTTTTTGTTTGTTTTTTTTGAGATGGAGTTTCGCTTTTCTTGCCCAGGCTGGAGTGCAGTGGCGTGATGTCGGCTCACTGCAACCTTTGCCTCCCGGGTTCAAGCGATTCTCGTGCTTCAGTCTCCCAAGTAGCTGGGATTACAGATGTGTGCCACCACGCCTGGCTAATTTTATATTTTTAGTAGAGACGGAGTTTTACCATGTTGGTCTGGCTGGTCTCGAACTCCTGACCTTAGGTGATCCACCCATCTCTACCGCCCAAAGTGCTGGGATTACAGGCGTGAGCCACCACACCCAGCCACTGTGTGGGTTTCTATGTAGGCAGAACTGACCATGAACTGTGGATCAGGGAGCTGGAACTGAGTCATTGAACTGTTTCAGGGACCACAGTAGAGGCCAAGGTCTGCAGGCCTGCCTGCATGGCTACAAATGAGTGTTCTCCTCCAGGCCTCTGGAAAGACAGGACCTCTCGCAGACTGTGGCTGGGAGAAGTTTGAGGTGATGACAGAGTTCAGAATTAGTGGGACCAAGTTGGGAGGGCCATTTCCTGGTCTGTAGCCAAGTACAGGGGTCTTGTAGTTTGCCTCCTGAATAAGGACCCGCCTTCTGAAAAGGAACACTTCTCAATCTTTGGCTCTAGCAGAGTTTCACAACTCCCTTCCTGGAACTCGGAGCTCTCTTAAAGGCACTTATTTTTTATTTATTTTCTTTTTTCTTTTTTTTTGTTTTTTTTTGTTTTTTGTTTTTAAAGGCACTTATTTTTTAGATGGGTTCTTGCTTTATAACTGAGGCTGGTCTTTAAATCCTGGTCTGAAGCAGTTCTTCAACCTGAATATACCATTTAGCTGTCATCGCAGGTGTGATACATGATGCCTGGCTCTCTCATAAATACATTTTTTTTGGTCAGGGATGGCTGATAAATGTTTTTGCTGTTGGGATATAAGAAAGTAGGGCACCTTTTATTTTTCCATCTTACTGATGTCACTCTGTATACATTTTTGTTTTTTATTTTCTACTTCAAATTTGTCTATAACTTCAGATTCAGACATTTAGGGCAATGTACTAGAATTTACAAGTTATGCCTAAAATAAATTAGATAATTAGTAGGCATTCTATATTTACTAAAATAGTTACTTACAAATTTGAGCTAGCTGTCGTTATAAACAAATTATAGGATTTTCACCCACTTTCTTCAGCCTATATCTAAATAATAATATAACTTATTCTCAAATACTTTTATATATTAGAGACTCTAACCATATTCTGTGCACACACACACACATACTTACACATATAAATATATATTACATACCCAAATAAATATATATATACATACACATATATTTTCTCTTTAGCAATGTAAGGGTATTCTTTGCTTCTAAAGTAAGGTTACAGAAGTTTTATTTTGTGTAAGAATAGCATATATTTTAAATATCAGAATTATCTCCACTTCCTTTTAAATACTCATTTATTAAAATTTTCTCATTAGCATCTTCTATTTATGATTATACTGCATTTTCTCTGAACTTTTACTGCCACACAACACATGCCAGTGATTCAAAATACCTGTCTTCCATGAGTACACACTTAAATATTGCAGTTATCTAGACAAATTCTTTCTTAATGGTACATCAATATTGCAAAAAAGATTTCATGAATAAACATTTTTCTTATTGTTTTGTAGTTCCATATTAGTGTGGTTTTTCAGTGTAGGTTTCTTAACATCAGATTATTGTGTTTTGTTTTATTTATGTAATTTTAGATAATTTGCAATTCTGTTTGTACACTTTTAAGTCAATGTGGGGTTTAAAAAATAAATTAGCCATATGTCTATTACAATCAGATTATATATGTGCGTGTTTTATATATAAATATGACCCAAATTTTGGTTATGGCTTATCTTGTTTATATTCTTTCTTAGCTGATTTTAAATGGTGGTTTTAGCTTGTCTAAGTAGTCATGGAAATCATCTTTTCACTGTGTGTTTAACGATGAATTTATATTTCCTTTGTGTGAGAGAAACAGTTTTGTGATTTGAGGCAATTTTTGAAAAGATTTATAATTCTATATTTTTTTCAGTTTTTCTTTAAAATATTGTTGTAAAAACTCATTACATAAAATATACAGTTTTAAATCTATTGAAGTGTACATTTCAAGGCCAGGCATGGTGGTGGCTCACATCTATAATCCCAGGATTTTGGAAAGCCAAGACAAAAGGATCGCTTGAGCCCAAAAGTTTGAGACCAGCTTGGAAAACATATGGAGATTCCCTCTCTACAATTTTTTTTTTTTTTAGATGGAGTCTCGCTCTGTTGCCCAGCTAAACATGATCTTGGCTCACTGCAACCTCCGCCTCCCAGGTTCAAGTGATTCTCCTGCCTCAGCCTCCCAAGTAGCTGGGATTACAGGTGTGCACCACCATGGCTGGCTAATTTTTGTATTTTTAGTAGAGACGGGGTTTCACCATGCTGGCCAGGCTGGTCTCGAACTCCTGACCTGATCCACCCGCCTCGGCCTTTCAAAGTGCTGGGATTACAGGCATGAGCCACCGCATCCAGCCTACAGTTTTTTTAAAAAAATAGCCAGGCATGGTAGTGTGCACCTGTTTTCCCAGCTCTTTGGGAGATTGAGAGAGGAGGATTACTTGAGCCTGGGAGTTAGTGGCTACAGTGAGTGATAATTGTGCCACTGCACTCCAGCTTGGGTGACAGAGTGAGACCTGGTCTCAAAAAAATATACTGTTCATTTCAGGCATGTTAAGTATATTCACATTGTTATTTAACAGACTTCTAGAAATTTTACATCTTGTGAAACTAAAATTCAATACCCGTTAAGTAACAACTGCCCATTTTACCCCTTTTCCAGCTCTTGACAAACACCCTTCCACTTTTGGTTTTTATGAGTGTGACTACTTAAGTTATCTCATGTAAGTGGAATCATGTAGTATCCATCAGTTTTTTACTAGCTTATTTTAGTGACATAATATTCTCAAAGTTTATCTTAAAATGTGACAAGATTTATTTATTTATTTATTTTTTATTTTTTATTATACTTTGTTTTAGGGTACATGTGCACAACATGCAGGTTTGTTACATATGTGTACATGTGCCATGTTGGTGTGCTGCACCCAGTAACTCGTCATTTACATTTGGTATATCTCCTAATGCTATCCCTCCCCCCTGCCCCCACCCCACAACAGTCCCCGGTGTGTGATGTTCCCCTTCCTGTGTCCAAGTGTTCTCATTGTTCAGTTCCCACCTATGAGTGAGAACATGCAGTGTTTGGTTTTTTGTCCTTGCGATAGTTTGCTGAGAATGATGGTTTCCAGCTTCATCCATGTCCCTACAAAGGACATGAACTCATCCTTTTTTATGGCTGCATAGTATTCCATGGTGTATATGTGCCACATTTTCTTAGTCCAGTCTATCATTGTTGGACATTTGGGTTGGTTCCAAGTCTTTGCTATTGTGAATAGTGCCACAATAAACATACATGTGCATGTGTCTTTATAGCAGCATGATTTATAATCCTTTGGGTATATACCCAGTAATGGGATGGCTGGGTCAAATGGTATTTCTAGTTCTAGATCCCTGAGGAATCGCCACACCGACTTCCACAATGGTTGAACTAGTTCACAGTCCCACCAACAGTGTAAAAGCGTTCTTATTTCTCCACATCCTCTCCAGCACCTGTTGTATGTATATGTTAAATTTTTTGATGTGTTTATAAGTAAAGGAACACCTGGGTTCCTTCAGCCTTTTGGCTTTTGTGAATACTGGTACAATAAACATAGATGTTCAAATATGTCTTTCAGGTCCTGTTTTGCATATTTTGGATATAGATTAAGAAATAGGATTTATTATTTGATACAGTATTTTATTTTTAATTATTTTAGAAACATAGCATTTTTTTTTTTTTTTTGAGACGGAGTCTCGCTTTGTCACCCAGGCTGGAGTGCAGTGGCTCAACCTCGGCTCACTGCAAGCTCCGCCTCCCGGGTTCACGCCATTCTCCTGCCTCAGCCTCTCCGAGTAGCTGGGACTACATGCGCCCGCCACCACGCCCGGCTAATTTTTTGTATTTTTTAGTAGAGACGGGGTTTCACCGTGGTCTCGAACTCCTGACCTCGTGATCCGCCCACCTCGGCCTCCCAAAGTGCTGGGATTACAAGCGTGAGCCACCGCGCCCGGCCGGTAAAACATAACATTTTAAAACAATGGCTGCATTCTTGTTTTTCACCAGAAGTCAATATGGGTTTCATTTTTATTGCATCATCAACAGATTTGGTGTCTTTAAAAAATTGATAATGGCCATTCTAATTGGTGTGAGGTGATTTTGTTTTTCATTGTGATTTTTATGCATTTCTCTACAAATGATAATTTACTGTGTTCTTTCAGTTGCGTTTTCTAATTTGTGTATCTTTTTTGATGAAAATTTAATTCAATTATTTGTCCATTTCTAAATGAAGTAATTCAACTTTATTGTTCAGTTTTAAGAGTTGTTTGTATATTTGTAATATTAACTTCTATCACATGTGATTTGCAAATATTTTCACTCATTTCCTAAGAGGTGTTGTCACTCTATTGAATGTTGTCTGTGATGTGCATTAATTTTAAATATAGTATAGTTGAATTTTTCTTTTTTTTTTTTCTTTGAGACTGTCTTGCTCTTGTTGCCCAGGCTAGAGTGCAGTGGTGTGATCTCAGCTCACTCCAACCTCTGCCTCCCAGGTTCAAGCATTCTCCTGCCTCAGCCTCTCCAGTAGCTGGGATTACAGGCTCCTGCCACCATGCCCAGATAATTTTGTATTTTTGGTAGAGACAGGGTTTCACCATGTTGCCCAGGCTGGTCTTGAACTTCTGACCTCAGGTGATCTGCCCACCTCAGCCTCCCAAAGTGCTGGAATTACAGGCGTGAGCTACCATGCCTGGCTTGTTGCTCTTGCATTTAATGTTGTATTTAAGAAAGTAATGCCAAGACCAATGTCATGTATTTTCTTTATATTCTTTTCTAAGAGATTTGTTATTTTTTATTTCTAAGTATTTTTTTAAAATATTTTTTGTATTTTCAAAGAGAATGGTTCAAAGAAATGATCCAACTTTATTTCATCAGTGTTGATATCCAGTTCTCAACATTATTTTTTGAAAAGATTATCTTTTCCCTCTTTTGTACTCGTGGCAACTTTGTAGAAGATCATTTGATTATATACAGATGGGTTCATTTCTGGTCTCTTCTGTTCTTTCATCTGTTTATCTGTCTGTGTCAGTACCACATTGTTTTTGTTATTATAGCTTTTAATTGTTTTGAAATCAGGAAGTATAATGCCTCTTTGTTTTTTTCCATGGGTGTTATAGTTTATAATAAAAATTTAAAATTTTAAATAATATTTCTGTAAAAAATTGTGCTATTAAGATTTTTATAAAAATTATATTGAATTTGTTCACCACTGTATGTTATATTGACATCTTTTAAAAATTAAATTTTTTTACCCTTGAGCAAGAATATGTTGAACAGTGTGTTTTATTTTAATATATTTTTGAGTTTTCCAGCTTTACTTTTGCTTTTAATTAGTAGGTTTATTCAGTTTTGTCAGAAAACATGGAATGTATGATTTTGGTCTTCTTAAATTTATTTGTTGTTGTCATTGTTTTGAGACAGGATCTTACTCTCACCCAGGCTAAAGTGCAGTGGTATGATGGCATGACTGGCTCACTGCAGCCTCAGCTTGCTGGGCTCAAGTGATTCTTCCACCTCAGTTTCCTGAGTAGCTAGGACTACAGACATACTATGGGACCACCATGTCTGGATAATATTTTTATTATTTGTAGGAACAGGGCCTCACTAAGTTGTCCATGCTGGTCTCAAACTTCTGGCCCCAGTAATCTTCCCACGTTGGTCTCATGAGCTCCTGCAGTTCACTGGTATTTTTAAATTTCATAAGACTTGGTTTGATTCCTAACAGAATACGCCAGGTGCAAATAAGAATATTGTACATTCTCGGCCGGGCGTGGTGGCTCACGCCTGTAATCCCAGCACTTTGGGAGGCCGAGGCGGGCGGACCACTAGGTCAGGAGATCGAGATCATCCTGGCTAACATGGTGAAATCCCGTCTCTACTAAAAATACAAAAATTAGCCGGGCTTGGTAGCGGGTGCCTGTAGTCCCAGCTACTCGGGAGGCTGAGGCAAGAGAATGGTGTGAACTCAGGAGGCGGAGCTTGCAGTGAGCCGAGATCATGCCACCGCGGCTGGGCGACAGAGTGAGACTCCATCTCAAAAAAAAAAAAAAAAGAATATTGTACATTCTCTTGCTTTTGACTGAAAAGTTTTATACATGTCTGTTAAGCTTAGTTGGTCTGTAATATGGTTTGCATGTCCATGTTCTGCAAACCTCATGCTGCAATGTACTCCTCAATGTTGGATGTAAAACCTGGTGGCAGGTATTTGGGCCATGGGGCCAACTTCCTCGTGAATAGCTTGGCGTCATCCTCTTGGTAATCAAAAAGTTTATACTCTGTTAATTCAAATGAGAGCTGATTCATTAAAATAAACTAGCTCCTTCACCTCATACTTCCTCTGTCTATTACCATGTGATATGTGTATGTTCAGTTATTCTTTGCCTTCCACCATGATCGTAAGCTTCCTGAGATCCTCACCAGAAGCAGATGCTGGCATGCACTTCTTGTACAGGTGCAGTCTGTCAAACCAAGCCAAATAAACCTTTTTTTTTTTTTTTTTTTTTTTTTTTTTGAGACTGAGTCTTCCTCTGTTGCCCAGGCTGTGGAGTGCAGTGGCATAGGCTGGAGTGCAGTGGCGTGATCCCAGCTCACTGCAACCTCAGCCTCCTGGGTTCAAGTGATTCTTCTGCCTCAGCCTCTGAAGTAGCTGGGATTACAGGTGCCTGCCACCATGCCTGGCTAATTTTTGTATTTTTAGTAGAGATGGGGTTTTGCCATGTTGGCCAGGCTGGTCTCGAACTCCTGACCTCAGGTGATCCACCCGCCTTTGCCTCCCAAAGTGTTGGGATTACAGGCGTGAGCCACCATGCCTGGCCATTTTTTTCTTTATAAGTTATCTGCTCTCAGGTATTATTCTATATGTAAAAAAATTAATACAGTCTATAATGTTTTCTAAGTTTGCTGTTATTGATCTTTTATCTGAACTGTTATTGAAAATAGGGTCTTGATGTCTACAATTATGTTGCTATGTATTTCTTGCTTCATTTTTGTCAGTATTTTCTTTATATATTTTGAAGCCCTATTGTTATATATACATGTACATATAGATAAATATAATAGTTACATGTTCCTGGTGAATTAACCCATTTTACTATTATATAATATCAATCTTTGTCTCATGCTAATACTTCACTTAAAGCATATTATGTCTAATATAATTATGACTACCTCACCCAATTGTGGTTACTATTTGCATAGAATAAAGATATTTTCCCCATTCTGATATTTTCAACCTATTTGACTCAATGCTAATATGAGTTTCGTTTTTTTTTCTTTTTGAGATGCAGTCTTGCTTTGTCACCCAGGCTGGCTCACTGCAACCCCTGCCTCCCAGGTTCACGTGATCTCCTGCCTTAGCCTCCTGAGTAGCTGGGATTACAAGGGTGTGCCACCATGCCTGGCTAATTTTTGTATTTTTTTTTTTTCTAGTAGAGACAGGGTTTACCATGTTGGCCAGGCTGGTCTTAGCCTCCCAAAGTACTGGGATTACAAGTGTTAGCCACTGTGCCAGGCCTAAAATTAGTCTCTTATAGGCAGCATATTGTATGCTTTTTTCTTAAGTCATTCAGGTATTTTCTTTTTTTTTTAATATATTTACTTACTCATTCATATTTAAGATAGGGTTTCACTCTGTCAATCAGGCTGGCTTGTAGTGGTGTAATCACAACTCGCTGCAGCCTTAACCTCCCAAACTCAGATAATCTTCTTATTTCAGCCTCTCAAGTATCTCTACTACAAGTAAGTGCCATCACACCCAGCTAGATTTTTTGTATTTTTTGTAGAGACAGGGTTTTGTTATGTTGCCTAGGCTGGTCTTGTAATCCTAGGATCAAGTGTTCAGCCCACCTTGGCCTCCCAAAATATTGGGATTACATTTCTTCTTATTAAGTAGTTTAGTTAATTTATATTTAAAATGATTGTTTAAATAAATGAAGCTACTATTATCATTTTATTATTATTGTTTTATGTGTTTCCTGTAGATGTTTTTTCTTCTGTTTTCTTCAATTTAAATTTTAATTGTGTAGTGACATACTTTATTTTTAAAATGTTTTTCATACATTCTATAAATATTTTCATAATGGTCATGAAAAATGGAGATTACATAAAACATCTTAAAGTTAAAACAGTTTTATTTTTTTTTTTGAGACGGAGTCTTGCTCTGTCGCCCAGGCTGGAGTGCAGTGGCATGATCTCGGCTCACTGCAACCTCCGCCCCACTAGGTTCAAGTGATTCTCCTGCCTCAGCCTCCCAAGTAGCTGGGATTACAGGCACACTGTAATTTTTGTACTTTTAGTAGAGACAGGGTTTCACCATCTTGGCCAGGCTGGTCTTGAACTCCTGACCTTATGATCCACCCGCCTCAACCTCCCAAAGTGCTGGGATTACAGGCGTGAGCCACCGCGCCCGGCCAATATTTTTAAACTCTTAACAACTTCAATTAAATACAAAAACTAAACCTCTATATTTTTCAGTTGTTGATATTACAAATTATTTTATATTGTGTATTTGTTAACAGATTAATATTTCATTTTTCATGTACTTTTTTTTTTCTTGAGACAAAGTTTCGCTCTTGTTCAGGCTGAAGTGCAGTGGTGCGATCTCGGCTCACCACAACCTCTGCCTCCCAGATTCAAGCGATTCTCCTGCCTCAGCCTCCGGAGTAGCTGGGATTACAGACATGTGCCACTATACCCAGCTAATTTTGTATTTTTAGTAGAGACGGGGTTTCTCCATGTTGGTCAGGCTGTTCTCGAACTCTCCCGACCTCAGGTGATTTGTCTGCCTCAGCCTCCCAGAGTGCTGGGATTATAGGCGTGAGCCACCGCACCCAGCCTACCTCTTTTTTTGGGAAGTCTTTATTTATATTTTGTGTTTGAAGTAAAATAATTTTGAATTAAGTCTTACTGGTTAAAATTTTTTTATTACATCAAAATTTGGGAAGTTATCCGCCTTTTATGTCTTCAAGTAACCTTTCTATTACTTTTTTTCTATATTCTTCTTCTAATATTTCTTTCTTGAATATATTGACATACTTGATGGCATTCGATAAGTTTTGCATTCCATGCTTTAATTTTGTTTTGCAATTTAATATTTTTATGTTATATATTTTAGGATGTGCCACCTCACACCAGTTAATTGTATTTTGATAGTTTATATTTTAATTGTGTATGACAATATTTAACTCTGCAATTTAAGACAGTGTGGAGCAAAATCAACTATGAATTAACCATATTCATTGTCTACTGCCAATGTAATTATCTGTTTGTATAAATATTATCCCTGTATTTTTTTATGATTTGTATTTTTCTGGCACAGGTTTGTTGTGAATGGTTGTTCAATTTTGTCTAGGTGAGCAGTCATAAAAATTCTCCTAATTTCAACATTTAGTTATATTTGAATCCATATTTTTGTGTGGGAGCAAAACGTTTAGATTGAAAGATAATTTGAAGGCTAAAGTGCAGTGGTATGATCTCAGCTCACTGTAACCTCCACCTCTCAGGTTCAAGCAATTCTCCTATCTTAGCCTTCTGAGTAGCTGGGATTACAGGCACCCACCACCATGCCCAGCTAATTTTTGTATTTTCAATTGAATGGGGTTTCACCATGTTGGCCAGGCTGGTCTTGAACTCCTGACCTCAGGTGATCCACCTGCCTCAGCCTCGCAAAGTGCTGGGATTAAAGGTCTGAGCCACCGTGCCTGGCCAAAAGTTTGTCTCTTGATTTTATAGATATTTAAATAAAGTGAATTATATATATATTTAAATAATCTTCTGAAACAGAAAGACTTGCTAACGTTATTGTTTAATTTGATTCTTGTATCTTTGTCCCTTATTTTCTGTCTTTCTTTCTTCCTTTGTGTCTTTTGATTTTTGTATTTATATGCTTTTCTTTCTTATTTGGTTTTGTATATCTACACAGATATATTCTTTGTGGTTCCTTGGGGATTACATAAAACCTCTACAAGATAAAACAGTATATTATAATCTAGTAAAAAAAAAATCAACTTTATTTGCATACAAAAATTCTTATTCATTACGTCTGCCCTCAACTTTGTCATTGATGTTAATTATATATTTATATGTTGTATATTCATTAGCAGGTGTTTATAATAATTCCTGTGCTTTTTTTACATTTTAGATAATAATTAAAAATGCTTTATGCGCCATTATGATAATGCTGTGAAATTCTGTTTTTGTATATGTGCATATCTTTCCCAGAAAGTTATTTATTTATTTTTTTTAGATGGAGTCTCACTCTGTCGCCAGGCTAGAGTGCAGTGGCGCGATCTTGGCCCACTGCAACCTCCGTTTCCCAGGTTCAAGTGATTCTCCTGCCTCAGCCTCCTGAGTAGCTGGGATTACAGGCATGCACCACCACACCTGTCTAATTTTTGTATTTTTGGTAGAGACAGGGTTTCACCATGTTTGCCAGGATGGTCTCAATCTCTTGACCTTGTGATCTGCCCGTCTCAGCCTCCCAAAGTGCTGGGACTACAGGCACGAGACACCGCGCCTGGCTGAAAGTCATATATTTTCATATGATTATGTGCTGTTTTCTTGCATCATGTTATTTTCAGTGGAAGGAACTCCTTTCAGTATCTTTGATATGTAGGGCATAGGCAGTGCCAAAATACATTTTCAGAATTTTGTTTTTTGTTTATTTATTTCGAGATGGAGTTTCACTCTTGTTGCCCAGGCTGGAGTGTAGTGGTGTGACCCCGGCTCACTGCAGCCTCCACCTCCAGGGTTCAAGCGATTCTTCTGCCTCAGCTTCCCAAGTAGCTGGGAGTACAGGAGTGCACCACCATGCCTCACTAATTATTTTTTATATTTTTAGTACAGATGGGGTTTCACCATGTTGATCAGGCTGGTCTTGAACTCCTGCCACAAGTGATCCACTTGCCTTGGTCTCCCAATGTGCTGGGATTACAGACGTGAGCCATCGCACCCAGCCAAATTTTGTTATTTTGGAAGGTGTTTTTCTTTTATTTGGCAGGACAGTTGTTGGTATTATTCTCACTTGACAGCTATTGTTTTCAGCACTTAGACTATATCATACTTCCCTTCTGACCTGCAAAATTTTCTTGACGTATTCACTGGCTATCTTATAAGCCTATTATTATAAATGACATATCACTTTCATCTTGCAGTTCGCAAGATTCTGTTGTCTGTGACTTTTGAAATTTTGCTTATATATGTTTTATAAATATCTTCGTGTGTATTCTAGTTTGTTGTCTTTATTTTTACATTAATTTTTCTTTTATATTTTTAAGTTTTTTTTGCATTTTTACCTCCACAATTTCTGTTTTTTGCTATTTTTAATATTTTTGTTGGTATTCTCATTTTTCTGATTTTCAATAGTTGTTTGTGTTCCTATTCACTCATGGAGTGTTATTCAATTTACTTTAAAATTTTAAAATTAATTTGTACATTTTTATTTTTTAATGGTTGCTTTCTGAAAATTTTATAATTTTTGTGGGGCTGTATTGCCCTAATATTTTTTATACGTTGTAATCTTTAATTGAAATTTGGAAATTAAAAACAAGTTGTCCATCACAATCTTTATAATGTAGCTTTGTCCTGGCATAGTTGGAAACCATTTGTCTTGAGTAGTGATTCTGAGAGTCTTTCAGACATGTTCTTAAGATGTGTCTTGTCTGAAATTTTCTAGCTTTTTTTTTTTTTTTTCAGTTAAAAGAGTTTGTTCATGTTTCTTCTTGATAGTCGGTAATCACTTGCTACAACTGTTACCTGTCTGTAGTACTGCAGTCTCTTCACTGCTGTAACATTTACCTTTGATCTCAGCAACTCAAAATGTCATTCCAAAGTATACCACCATTTCTTTCAGCCCTCTATGTCATGGGAGACCGAAACCAATATCTGCAAAGGCACATAGAAGCCAGAAATAAAGATGTATATGTTTGTTATTATTTTTCTTGTCTTTAAAAAAAAAAACACTAAGAGTTGGCAATTTACTTCTAAAGGCACTATGTTATATTGGGGAACAGAAAGAGCTTTGTTGGGTAAATAAAACAGACTTGTCTCTTTCTTCTATGTGGCTCTTTGCATTGTGCTCACCTAGGGCACTGCACACACTGAACTCATTTATAAATTTTCCACAAATGTATTTTGGTGTTTATGTTTTTGTTACATTTATATGTCTATGAAGAAATTAGAGCCTGTGGTATTTTGCTATGCAATCTGGCTTATGTAGTTTGTATAATTTTATAGATTAGATTTTAAAGTACATTTATCTGAGTCTAGCAAGTGGAGTAATTTATTATTTTTATTTCTTTCAGTAATGTCTTTTCATTTTGCCCAAGACCTTTGGCCAGAGCAGAACATAAAAGATTCTTTCCAGAAAGTGACACTGAGAAGATACGGAAAATGTGAATATGAGAATTTACAGTTAAGAAAAGGCTGTAAACATGTGGATGAGTGTACGGGGCACAAAGGAGGTCATAATACAGTTAACCAATGTTTGACAGCTACCCCAAGCAAAATATTCCAGTGTAATAAATATGTGAAAGTCTTTGATAAATTTTCAAATTCAAATAGATATAAGAGAAGACATACAGGAAACAAACACTTCAAATGTAAAGAATGTAGCAAATCATTTTGCGTGCTTTCACAACTAACTCAGCATAGAAGAATTCATACTAGAGTGAATTCCTACAAATGTGAAGAATGTGGAAAAGCCTTTAACTGGTTCTCAACTCTTACTAAACATAAGAGAATTCATACTGGAGAAAAGCCCTACAAATGTGAAGAATGTGGCAAAGCCTTTAACCAGTCCTCACAACTTACTAGGCATAAGATAATTCATACTGAAGAGAAACCCAACAAATGTGAAGAATGTGGCAAGGCCTTTAAACAGGCCTCACACCTTACTATACATAAAATAATTCATACTGGAGAAAAACCTTACAAATATGAAGAATGTGGCAAAGTCTTTAGCCAGTCCTCACACCTTACTACACAAAAGATACTTCACACTGGAGAGAACCTCTACAAGTGTAAAGAATGTGGAAAAGCTTTTAACCTATTCTCAAATCTTACTAACCATAAGAGAATTCATGCTGGGGAGAAACCCTACAAATGTAAAGAATGTGGCAGAGCTTTTAACATATCCTCAAACCTTAATAAACAGGAGAAAATTCATACTGGAGGGAAACTCAACAAATGTGAAGAATGTGACAAAGCTTTTAACCGATCCTTAAAACTTACTGCACATAAGAAAATTCTAATGGAAGAGAAACCCTACAAATGTGAAGAATGTGGCAAAGTCTTTAACCAGTTCTCAACTCTTACTAGACATAAGATAATTCATACTGGAGAGAAACCCTACAAATGTAAAGAATGTGGCAAAGCTTTTAACCAATCTTCAAACCTTACTGAACATAAGAAAATTCATACTGCAGAGAAATCCTATAAATGTGAAGAATGTGGCAAAGCTTTTAACCAACACTCAAACCTAATTAACCATAGGAAAATTTATTCTGGAGAGAAACCATACAAATGTGAAGAATGTGGAAAAGCTTTTAATCGATCCTCAACCCTTACTAGACATAAGAAAATTCATACTGGAGAGAAACCCTACAAATGTGAAGAATGTGACAGAGCTTTTAGCCAGTCTTCAAACCTTACTGAACATAAGAAAATTCATACTGGAGAGAAACCCTATAAATGTGAGGAATGTGGCAAAGCTTTTAACCGATTCTCAACCCTTACTAAACATAAGAGAATTCATACTGGAGAAAAACCCTATAAATGTGAAGAATGTGGAAAAGCCTTTAATCAATCCTATCAACTTACTAGACATAAGATAGTTCATACTAAAGAGAAACTCAACAAATGTGAAGAATTTGGCAAGGCCTTTAAACAGTCCTCACACCGTACTATACATAAAATTATTCATACTGGAGAGAAACCCTACAAATGTGAAGAACATGGCAAAGTTTTTAACCAGTCCTCAAACCTTACTACACAAAAGATAATTCATACTGGAGAGAACCTCTACAAATTTGAAGAACATGGAAAAGCTTTTAACCTATTCTCAAACATTACTAACCATAAGATAATTTATACTGGAGAGAAACCCCACAAATGTGAAGAATGTGGAAAAGCTTATAACCGATTCTCAAACCTAACTATACATAAGAGAATTCATACGGGAGAGAAACCTTACCAATGTGCAGAATGTGGCAAAGCCTTTAACTGCTCCTCAACCCTTAATAGACATAAGATAATTCATACTGGAGAGAAACCTTACAAATGTAAAGAATGTGGCAAAGCTTTTAACCTATCCTCAACCCTTACTGCACATAAGAAAATTCATACTGGAGAGAAACCCTATAAATGTGAAGAATGTGGCAAAGCTTTTAACCAATCCTCAAACCTTACTACACATAAGAAAATTCATACTTCAGAGAAACCCTACAAATGTGAAGAATGTGGCAAATCCTTTAACCAGTTCTCATCTCTTAATATACATAAGATAATTCATACTGGAGAGAAACCCTACAAATGTGGAGATTATGGCAGAGCTTTCAACCTATCCTCAAATCTTACTACACATAAGAAAATTCATACTGGAGAGAAACCCTACAAATGTGAGTATGGCAAAACTTAATTGATCCTACAAGCTTACTACACATAGGAAAATTCATACTGGAGAGAAACTACAAATGTGAAGAATGTGTTAAAGCCTTTAACAAGTCTTCAACTTTTTCTGCACACACGAGGTATTTTATACTGGTGAGAAACCTTACAATGTAAAGAATGTGGCACAGCTTTTAACTAATCTTCAAACCTTACTGAAAGTTGAGAAAATTCGTACTGGAGAGAATCCTACAAATGTGAAAAATGTGGCAAATCCTTTAACTGATCCTCAACTTTTACTAAACATAAGGTAATTCATACTGGAGAAAAGCCATACAAATGAGAAGAATGTGGCAATGCCTTTAATCAGTCCTCACACCTTTCTACACATAAGATAATTTATACTGGAGAGGAACTCTATAGTTGTGAAGAATGTGGCAAAGCTTTTAACCAATCCTCATACCTTACTATACAGAAATTCATACTGGAGAGAAAGCCTACAATTGTGAAGAATGTGGCAAAGCTTTTAACCTTCCTTAACCCTTAACTGTAGATAAGAAAATTCATACTGGAAAGAAACCCTACAAATGTGAAGTCTGTGGCAAAGCTTTTAACTGATTCTCAACTCTTACTACATGTAAGAGTATTTATACTGGAAAGAAACCCTACAAATGTAAAAAACGTGGCAATGCCTTTAACTGGTCCTCACACCTTGCTACATATAAGACAGTTTATACTTTGAGAGAAACCCTGCAAATGTGAATAATGTGGCAATACTTTAAACCAATCCTCAAACCTCACTAAACATAAGATAATACTGAAAACTTTACAAACCTGAATGATGTGACAATAATTTTGACAACACCTCGAACTTTCTAACATAAATCATACTGGTGAAAAATCCTAGAAATGTGAAAAATATCACAAAGCCTTTAAATGGTTGTCACACTTGATTGTAGGTAAGAATCCATACTGAAGAAAACTCCTGGAAGTGTAAAAAATGTGGCAACACTTTTAATAAATGCTCACCCCTTATTGCACAGGAAAGCATTTATACTTCAGAAAGATTGTACAAATACAAGGAATGTGGAAAAGCCATTATTATCTGCTCAGATTTTACTCAACATTAGAGAGTTAGTACGTAATAAAAGCATTATAAATGCAATTTTTGTCAAGAGATCTTTCAGAAAATATAAGCCTTTAAAGTGAAGAAGAGGAGCCAGTTGTGCTGGCTCACATCTGTAATGCCAGCACTTTGGGAGGCCAAGGTGGGTGGATCACCTGAGGGCAGGAGTCTGAGACCAGCCTGGCCAACATAGCAAAACCCCATCTCTATTAAAAATTTTACAAAAATTAGCTGCGTGTGGTGGCAGGCCCCTGTAATCCCAGCTAATTGGGAGGCTGAAGCAGGAGAATTGCTCAAACCTGGGAGGCGAAGATTGCAGTGAGCTGAAATCACACCACTACACTCCAGCCAAAGCAACAAGAGCAAAAACTTCGTCTCAAAAACAAAACAAAAAAAGAGTATTCATTGTGAGGACAAACAATACAAATACGAAGAGGGTTGTAGTACCTTTACTTGTATCACAGATACTTTTGTACCCATTTTGCACTAGAGGAAAACCATGAAGCAGTTGCTCAAATGTTGTTCAACACCAGAAAATTTATATTGGAGAAAAGCACTGTAAATGTAATGCATTTGTGAAAACATTTTTTAAAAAACTACAGCTTAGAAAATACCAGAGGCCTCATACTAAAATATATTTTTGCAAGTGAAGTAAATATAAAAATAATTTAATCCAAAATTAAGTCTATATAAATATCAGAGAATTCACAGTAGAAATATCTAAGGTACTGACACTTCAGACATTGCTGAGTATAGAATCAGAATGCTGAGTATAGAAAATAATTTAAAACTAAAGTTGGTAGGTAAATAATGTGTATATAACTTTAAAAGAAGTAGAATTTTTTTGTAGATGTATAATTACATTCAAATTATATTTTTTCTTGAAAAATTAGTTTTTGAAAAGCAAATGATGTAATTCAACTCAAATTCATGCTCTTCATTCCTATTGTATTCACATGTGAAAGCATGTGATTAATTTTTCATGCATCAAAGATATGAGAAATCATTTCTGTTAGGTCGGTATTATTTATGACACTTTCTATGAAAGAATAAGGACATTAAAATGTAAGATGCATGATGAAAACCTGAGTGAAGAGGCTGTTTGTGTTTAACTTATAATATTGAGTGATCCATGAAGTAGGTTTTCAGAGCAATATTCTTCTGCATTATAGTAAGAGAAAACCATTTTTAATCTTAGTTAAAATTAAAGTGAATTAGTAGTATATCATTTTACTATTTGTACTTTTATGTAATAAAATGCAATGTGTTTAAAAATTTTTGGATTATGCGTGAACTTAGTTTTTTAATTAAACTTTTTTTAACATGTTAAAACTATTGTGCATTCAATGAAGTGTTTTCATGCCACTGACTTTACCTATCCCACATTACTCAAGGGTTTAGGTAAAAGAGGGTAACAGTATACTACTTGATAACATAATGGGCTAACATCTCTAATAATTATTTTTGCTAGTGACTTTAAACTGCTAATAAAGAATATTGTTCCCATAGGTTAGATTTTTATTCTTTTTAAAATTTAAACTTATTTCTCTTAATTTTTGTGGATACATAGTATGTGTATATCTTTATGCCATGTATGGCATATTTTGATACAGGCATATAATTTTATGTATTAATCACATCAGGGCAAAAGATGTATCCATCAACTCCAGCATTTCTCCTTTGTATTACAAACCAATTCTGCACTTTTAGATACTTTAGAATGTACAGTCGTTACTACAGGGTCATTTTATGGTTATAATAAAAATTATATACAAGTATAAATAAACCATGAGAAAATTCTGAGTTCTGAATAAACATTTAAAAAATGTTATATATTTTTCTTTGAACATGTGACCTCTCTGCCTGCAAACATACAGCATTTTAGTTTTGATTTACATACACTTAACTATACACATATATTACTCTAAAAATGAACCTTAGGTATGAGAAAATTATGGAGCAAGTAAGTGTGTTTGTGTATTAGCTTGTACCTATTTTCAGAAGACGAGCAATATTGGAACAAAACTAATCTTTTTTTTTTTCGAGACGGAGTCTTGCTCTGTCGCCCAGGCTTGGAGTGCAGTGGTGCGATCTCGGCTCACTGCAAGCTCCGCTTCCCGGGTTCACGCCATTCTCCTGCCTCAGCCTCCCGAGTTGCTGGGACTACAGGCGCCCAGCACCACGCCCGGCTAATTTTTTTGTATTTTTAGTAGAGACAGGGTTTCACCGCATTAGCCAGGATGGTCTTAATCTCCTGACCTCGTGATCCGCCCGCCTCGGCCACCCAAAGTGCTGGGATTACAGGCGTGAGCCACCGCGCCCGGCCAAAACTAATAATTTTTAAAAGGTGACTAATTTACTAGACAACTGAAAACCTCAAAAATGCTGAAAGCAAATCTATACCCTCTGCTTTGCATTGAATTCATTTCTGTAAAATCTGGCTTACGATTTAGAATCTCCCCATGCAAAGTTTTTGTTTATACTTGCGTGATACTCATGCTACACCTTTAATTTTCTTGTTACTTATGCGTTTTTCTTTTATAATTTATCAGGTATTCATCATGTGAGCTGGTCATGGATTATAAGAATGATTTTTATAAAGTTTAGGAGTACACACAAAATAACTTCTAGATGTGTTTCCAAAATTTGTGTATTATATTTTATTTAGAACATTCTATTTCTTCTTTCCATTGTAGAATCCTATATAAGCCTACTTTTCTTTAGTTAGTATTCTTTTGTCTTGTTATAGGTGACATAAGTAAATTTATTTATTGAGCTAGTTCAGGTAAGAACTAGAAAGACTTCATAAGTCATGAAAATGTTTTTATATATAGATGTAGCAAACAAACATGACATTGCTTATGGTGTAACAGATGCTCCATAATGAGCCATATGTATTTCTGCTGGTGTTAGTTTGTAACTAACTTCAAGTCAGAGATGGAAAATATTAATAGTGAAGAACTAACATTGATTTTTTATGTGGAGAGAACATTTTTTTTCAGGCTGCAAAGCTGAATCTTGCTGTTTTTTTTTTAATTTCCTAATTATCTTCAGTTTTGTTTATCTTATGTGTCTTCAGTGTATTCAACACAGTCCTTCTTTTTCTGTGTTATTGCCACAGTTTTCTCACTGTTGTCTTCATGCCATGTCAATTCACATGGTACTTTGTAGGCTTTGATGAGAAAGTTGGTATTTTTTAATGCACTGAAAAATTGGTTATAACTAGAGAGTTTGCTTATCAATATAACTTTCAGATTAGTTAAGAAAAAAGGCATTTAATGTCCACAGGTGAGAGGATTAAATCAGCATTGTTTTCCCCTGTTTTTAAAAGGAGCATCTTATTAAATTCTTACATAAAGTGTGGCAAATATTAAATTTACTAGAAAATAGATCTTAGAAATTAAATTTTTAAGAGAGCTAATGGTAAGTGAAGAATTTTAAATTTAATTTTCCATGATATAGCACAGCATACTTTTTTTTTGCAGAATCTTCTATTTTAAAGGGTGAATATTCAAGGTTGCAAAGTAATATGACCTCTGTTGATTCAATATTTGGAATACTATGTCTTTTCTATATTGATAGGTACAATTCAGAAAAATTTCTCACTCTTTATATAATTATTTTAATAACTGGTTTAGTCTACAGTTTTTATTCTTAGTCACCTAACTAGCCAACTTCTTATTTTCTATGGAAAACTTTTGGAGATAATGGCAGCTTTTGGATTAAAACGTTTTCTGTTATTTTGCATGCAAACTTATTTACTGTGTTAACAGAGTAGTTAGTCATGAGACCATAAGAAACACCTCTTTTTCAGTGTCTTTCATTCCATTACTGTCTGCAATAAATAAATGTGTATTTGCTCTGTAAAACATTATGTTTGGAAGTATATATACATTGTCAAATGCTTAATTTTAGGTCATTAAAGTTTTACCTCACAGAGTTAACATTTTTGTGGTGAGAGCAGATGACATTGTCAGCATTTTCCAAAAATACTAATATATTATTATAATCTATAGTCACCATGCTTTAAAAAAAAAAACCTCCTGAACTTCTTTCTATCCAACTATAGTTATGTATTCTTTGACATCTTTCCACCCTCCCTTTTTTCTAAATACGCTGGATTCTGGTGGTCACCAGTTTACTCTCTACTTCAATGAGATTACATTTTGTTTATTTATGTATGTATTTATTTATTTATGAGACAGAGTCTCACTCTGTCACCCAGGCTAGAGTGCAATGGTGCTATCTCAGCTCACTGCAGCCTCCGCCTCCCAGGTTCAAGTGGTTCTCCTGCCTCAGCCTCCTGAGTAGTTGAGATTACAGGCATTCACCACCACCTCTGGCTAAATTTTTGTATTTTTAGTAGAGACAGGGATTTGCCACATTGCCCAGACTGGTGTCGAACTCCTGAGCTTAGGCAATCCACCCCTCTTGGCTTCCCAAAGTGCTAGGATTACAGGCATGAGCCGCCGCACCTGGCCGAGATTATGTTTTTTGGAATCCATGTGTACGTGAAATCATGAAATGGTCATCTTTCTGTACCTGGCTCATTTCAACAAATATAATGTCCTCCAGTTTAATTTATGTGATGGAAAATAATAGAATTTTCTTTTTTGAAGATGAATAGTATTCCATAGTATGTACCACATTGTCTTTATTCGTTAAATGTTGAACTATTGATTCCATATTTTGAGAATTGTGAAGAGTGTTGCAAGCAGTGTAGAAGTGCAATTATTTCTTCATTCTGATTTCATTTGTTTGGGATATATAAACAATAGTGAATTTTTTTTTTTTTTTTTTTTTTTTTGAGACAGTCTAGGTCTGTTGCCAGGCTGGAGTGCAGTGGCGCGATCTTGGCTCACTGCAACCTCCACCTCCCCGGTTCAAGTGATTCTTCTGCCTCAGCCTCCCGAGTAGCTGGGATTACAGGCATGCACCACCACGCCCAGCTAATTTTTGTATTTTTAGTAGAGACAGGGTTTCATGACATTGGCCAGGATGGTCTCGATCTCCTGACCTCGTGATCCACCCACCTCGGTCTCCCAAAGTGCTAGGATTACAGATATGAGCCACTGCACCTGGCTGAAATTGCTGTATTATATGGTAGTTTAATTTTATTTTTTGAGAAATATTTAGTTTTTTATAATGACTGTCCTCATTCACATTCAAACCAGTGTGCAAGCATTCCCTTTTCTTCACAACCTATTTTCTTTGTAATAAGAGTAATTCTCACAGGAGTGAATGGATACCTCAAAGAGTTTTGGTTTATTTTCTCTGATAATTGATGTTGAGCATTTTTTATATATCTCTTAGCCATATGTATGTCTTTCCTTGAAAAATATTTAAGCCTCTTGCTCATTTTTAATGGTTATTTGTCTTTTGTTGTACAGTCATTTAAGCTTTTTTTAAAATATTAACCCCTTGTCACATGTGATTTGCAAGCATTTTCTCTCATTTTTTAGTTGTCTTATCCTGTTGGTCGTATCAGATTCTGTGCAGCAGCTTTTTAATTTGAAATAGTCTGACTCATCTATTTTTTCTTTGATTCCCTGAGAGTTTGAGGTTAAGTTAAAAAAGTCACTGCCTAGACCAATGTTATGGGGATTTCACTCTATATTTTTCATAGTAGTTTCAGAGTTTCAGGCCTTACATTTAAGTATTTAATTTATTTTGAGTTGATTTTTATATATAGTGTAATATGGTCTCATTTTATTTCTCTGCATGTGGATATAAAGTTTTCTTGACACCATTTGTTGAAGATACTATTTTTTCCCTAGAAAATGTTCACCTACGTCTAAAATTAGTTAACTGTAAATACATGAATATACTTCTGGTCTCTCTTTTCTGTTCCATTGGCCTATGTGTCAATATACACAACTTCCCATGATTTAATCAGGAAAAAAGAGAAGTCTTAAACAGAGCAAAAATGTATTAAATGTATAATAAAATTGAATTTGTAATAAAACAAAAACCCTACAAAATAAAACAAGCCCTGGATCAGATGTATTTGCAGCCTAATTTTACCACAAATACAAATATGATCTGGTACTAATTCTACTGAATATATTCCAAAAATGAAAGTGGGTTTCCTTCCCAACTTGTTATATGAAATCAGTATCATCTTGATACCAAAATCTGCTTAAGACACAACAAAAAAAATCTACAGGCCAATATTCCTGGTGAACATTGAAACAGAAATCCTTCCTGAAATACTAGCAAGCTGAGTTCATAAGCAAATCAAAAAGTTATTTTGCCACAATCATGTGAGTATTATTTTATGACTGCAAAGATATTTCATCATATGCAAGTCAATAAGTGTCATTCACCATGTGAAGATAATTAAACTCATAAGATCAGATGATTATAACAATAGATGCAGAAAAAGCACTCAAGAAAATCCAATATTCGTTCAAAAATCCTCAACAAACTGGGCATTGAAGAAACATATCTCACAATAATAAGAGCCATCTATGACAAATTCTCAGCCAACATCATACTGAACAGGTGAAAGCTGGATGCATTCTTCATAAGAATAAAAATAAGAATATCCACTCTAAATACTCCTATTCAACATAGTTTTGGAAGTCCTAGCCAGAGCAATCCAACAAGATAAAGAAATAAAAGTCATCCAAATAGGAGAAAAGAAAGTCAATTTTCTACCAGGGAAACTTTAGAGATTTCACCAAAAGACTCCTAAGTCTAAAAAATGACTTCAGCAAAGTTTCAAGATACAAAATTAACATACACAAATGAGTAGCATTTCTGTACACCAATAACATTCAAGCTGACAATAAAATCAAGAGCACAGCTTTATTTAAAATAGCCACACCAAAAAATTAACATACCTAGGAATGCATTAAGTCATGGAGGTAAAATATCTCCACAGGGAGAACTACAAAACACTACTGAAACAAATCAGAGACGACACATAGAAATGGAAAACATGGCTGGGCGCGGTGGCTCATGCCTGTAATCCCAGCACTTTGGGAAGCCGAGGTGTGTGGATCATGAGGTCAGGAGTTCAAGACCAGCCTGGCTAACATGGTGAAACCCCATCTCTACTAAAACTACAAAAATTAGCTGGGCATGGTGGCGCGTGCCTGTAATCCCAGCTACTTGGGAGGCTGAGGCAGGAGAATCGCTTGAACCCAGGAGGCAGAGGTTGCAGTGAGCCGAAATTGCGCCACTGCACTCCAGCCTGGCAACAGAGCGAGACTATGTCTCAAAAAAAAAAAAAAAAAAAAAAAAAGGGAAAACATTCCATCCTCATGAATTTGAAGAATCAATATAATTAAAGTGTCCATGCTCCCTAAAGCAACCCACAGATTAAGTGTTATTTCTATCAAACTATCAATGCCATTTTTGGTGAACCTAGAAAAAAAAAACTTTGAAATTCATATTAAAGAATAAAAGAGCCCATATAGCCAAGGTATTCTTAAAAAGAATAAACCTGGAAGCCTAATATTACATGACTTCAAACTGTACTACATGCTACAGTAACCAATATAACATGGTTCTGATACAAAAAAAATACATCCTCTCCCTCTCCCTCTCCCTCTCCCTCTCCCGTCTCCCCACAGTCTCCCTCTCCCTCTCTTTCCACGGTCTCCCTCTGATGCCGAGCTGAAGCTGGACTGTACTGCTGCCATCTCGGCTCACTGCAACCTCCCTGCCTGATTCTCCTGCCTCAGCCTGCCGAGTGCCTGCGATTGCAGGCGCATGCCGCCACGCCTGACTGGTTTTCGTATTTTTTTGGTGGAGACGGGGTTTTGCTGTGTTGGCCGGGCTGGTCTCCAGCTCCTAACCGCGAGTGATCCGCCAGCCTCGGCCCCCCGAGGTGCCGGGATTGGAGGCGGAGTCTCGTTCACTCAGTGCTCAATGGTGCCCAGGCTGGAGTGCAGTGGCGTGATCTTGGCTTGCTACAACCTCCACCTCCCAGCCGCCAGCCTTGGCCCCCCAAAGTGCCGAGATTGCAGCCTCTGCCCGGCTGCCACCCCGTCTGGGAAGTGAGGAGCGTCTCTGCCTGGCCGCCCATCATCTGGGATGTGAGGAGCCCCTCTGCCTGGCTGCCCAGTCTGGAAAGTGAGGAGCGTCTCTGCCCGGCTGCCATCCCATCTAGGAAGTGAGGAGCGTCTCTGCCCGGCCGCCCATCGTCTGAGATGTGGGGAGCGCCTCTGCCCTGCTGCCCCATCTGGGATGTGAGGAGCGCCTCTGCCTGGCCACGACCCCATCTGGGAGGTGAGGAGCATCTCTGCCCGGCCACCCCGTCTGAGAAGTGAAGAGCCCGTCCGCCCAGCAGCCGCCCCGTCTGGGAAGTGAGGAGCGTCTCCGCCTGGCAGCCACCCCGTCCAGGAGGGAGGTGGGGGTCAGCCCCCGCCCGGCCAGCCGCCCCGTCCGGGAGGGAGGTGGGGGTCAGCCCCCCCCAGGGCAGCCGCTCCATCCGGGAGGGAGGTGGGGGGTCAGCCCCCACCCGGCCAGCCGCCCCGTCCGGGAGGGAGGTGGGTCAGCCCCCGCCCGGCAAGCCGCCCTGTCCGGGAGGTGAGGGGCGCCTCTGCCCGGCCGCCCCTACTGGGAAGTGAGGAGCCCCTCTGCCCGGCCACCACCCCGTCTGGGAGGTGTACCCAACAGCTCATTGAGAACGGGCCATGATGACAATGGTGGTTTTGTGGAATAGAAAAGGGTGAAAAGTGGGGAAAAGATTGAGAAATCGGATGGTTGCTGTGTCTGTGTAGAAAGAAGTAGACTTGGGAGACTTTTCATTTTGTTCTGTACTAAGAAAAATTCTTCTGCCTTGGGATCCTGTTGATGTATGACCTTACCCCCAACCCTGTGCTCTCTGAAACATGTGCTGTGTCCACTCAGGGTTAAATGGATTAAGGGCGGTGCAAGATGTGCTTTGTTAAACAGATGCTTGAAGGCAGCATGCTCGTTAAGAGTCATCACCACTCCCTAATCTCAAGTACCCAGGGACACAAACACTGCGGAAGGCCACAGGGTCCTCTGCCTAGGAAAACCAGAGACCTTTGTTCACTTGTTTATCTGCTGACCTTCCCTCCACTATTGTCCTATGACCCTGCCAAATCCCCCTCTGCGAGAAACACCCAAGAATGATCAATAAAAAAATAAAATAAAATAAAAACAAAAAAACAAAAAAATACATATAGACCAATGGAACAGAAGAGAGAGCCCTGAAATAAAGCTACACTTCTACAAACAACTTATTTTTGGCAAAGTCAATAGAAATAAACAAAGGGAAAGTAACTCCCTATCTAATAAATGGTACTCGGAAACCTGGTGAGTCATATGCAGAAGAAAAAAACTGAACCTGTACCTCTCACCATATAAAAAACATAAGATAGTTTAAAGACTTAGTTGTGAAGCTTCAAGCTATAAAAATCCTAGATGAACACCTAGAAAGTACTCTTCTAGACACTGGCCTCTGGAAGGAATTTAACACCTTAAAAATAAATGCAACAGGCTGGGTGCAGTGGTTCATGCCTGTAATGCCAGCACTTTGAGAGGCTTAGGTGGGCAGATCATGAGGTCAGGAGTTTGAGACCAGCCTGGCCAACACAGTGAAACCCTGTCTCTACTAAAGATACAAAAAACCAGCTGGGTGTGGTGGTGCACACCTGTAATCCCAGCTACTCGGGAGGCTGAGGCAGAATTGCTTGAATCCAGGAGGCGGAGGTTGCAGTGAGCTGATATCATGCCATTGCCCTCCTTCCTGGGCGACAGGGTGAGTCCTTTGTCTTAAAAAAAAAAAAAATTGAAAATTGACATCTAATCTAGAGCTTCTGTACAGGAAAATAAACTATTGACAAAGTAAATGGACAACCTACAGTATGGAATAAAATATTTGCAAACTGTGTACAATAAAAATTAATATATAGAATCTATAAGAAATTTAATAGGAAAAAAGCAGACAAATGATATGAATAGATACTTCTCAAAGGAAGACATAAAAACTGGCAATAAACATGCAAGAAAATTGCTCAACATCTCAAATTATCAGAGAGATGTCAATCAAAATGACAATATGATACCATCTCACAACAGTTAAAGTGGCTGTTATTAAAAAGTCAAAAAATAACACGTCGTAGTTGTGGAGAAAAGGGAATCTTTACACACTGTTGGTGGCAATGCAAATTAATTCAGCCCCTGTGGAACACAGTTTGGAGATTTCTCAAAGAACTAAAGATACAATTGCCATTTGACCCATCAACCTTGTTACTGGGTATATGCTTAAAGAAAAATAAATTATTTTACCAAAAAGACACCTGCACTCAGATGTTTACTGCAGCAGTATTCGCAATAGCAAAGGCATGGATTTAAACCAGGTACATATGAATCTTAGATTGATGTTTCACGTTCATTTGCTTAGATTAAAGGCCTGCTGTAGCCACGTTGCTGCAAAGAACATTACTTTTTCTTTTCTATGGCTCCATAGTATTGCATGTGTATAAGTATCTCAAATACCACATGTTCTTATTTATAAGTGGGTGCTAAACCTTGGGTGAACCTGGAAACAAAAATAAAAACAATAAACACTGGGAATTCTAAAAAAGAAAAAAAAAGGAGATAAGCTTTGAAAAAACTACTTATCAGGTATGATGTACTCTACTTGGGCAACGAGATTATTAAATACCCAAACCTCAAAATCATGCAGTATACCTATGTTACAAATATGTATGTGTACCCCTTGAATCTAAAATAAAAGTAATAAAACACTTTGTGGAATAATGACATATTACATTTCTCCAGTTCTAAGTTAATAGTTGGAATTAGGAGTGAAAGAGAATTATGTTCACTTTGGGCATAGGGGCAAATGTTTCTGTTTTTTTTTTTTTTTTTTTTTTTTTTTTTTGGGTGGGGGGACAGATTCTCACTCTGTCGCCCAGACTGGAGTGCGGTGGTGCAATCCTGGCTCACTGCAACCTCCACCTCCCGGGTTCAAGTGGTTCTCCTGCCTCAACCTCTCGAGTAGCTGGGATTACAGGCACCTGCCACCACACCCGGCTAATTTTTGTATTTTTAGTAGAGACAGGGTTTCACTATGTTAGCCAGGCTGGTCTCAAACTCCTAACCTCAAGTGATAACGCCTGTCTTGGCCTCCGAAAGTGCTGGGATTACAGGCATGAGCCACCACGCCTGGCACGAGGGGTGAATGTTTCTATACCAGGTCTCCCCACATTCTATAAGCTAACATATTTGAAAGCTCTTGGCCTGTAGCCCAAGAAGTGTTTTATTCCCAATTGTGCAGCTAAAATAAATGACTCAATATCTTTGTTTTTCATTTATTTACTGTACACTAGACTATAGAGTTAATTTGTTACTCTACTTTTTTGGGGAGAAAAATGTTAAGTTGTTCAATCATATTTTGTTGTTGTTGCTCACGCTGGAGTGCAACGGCGCGATCTCCGCTCACTGCAAACTACCCCTCCTGAGTTCAAGTGATTCTCCTCCCTCAGCCTCCCGAGTAGCTGGGATTACAGGCCTGTGCCACCACGCCCAGCTAATTTTGTATTTTTAGTAGAGACGGGGTTTCTTCATGTTGGTCAGGCTGGGCTCAAACAGGATGGTGACAGAGTGAGACTCCGTTTCGAAAAAAAGAAAAACAATACTGTACTTCAACAAAAGTTGCCATAAATTTCAAGTTAATATGCTCACACATATATTCTCCCTAGAAGGGCCTTGGTGTGTTTGGAATCAAGGTATAGCATTTCTGGCCTTTCTTGTGCTTCTTTGTTTATGTAAAATAGGAAGACAAGAAGCAAAACAGTCAACCATGACATATCTAGTTTCTACAACCACAGCATCTGAATTCTCACGTTATGTCAACTAGAAATATTGACAGTATTTCATAACTGAAAAAAATTGATACTTTATATTTTTACTTTTTTTAGTTTATAAAAATTTTTAGTTTCTGAATTGTATAAGTTAAACAACTTGAACATGCAGATACCTAAAATTTTTACCTAGATAATAGTATTAATATTTTGGCCAGGCACGGTGGCTCGTGCCTGTAATCTCAGCACTTTGGGAGGCCGAGGCGGGCGGATCACCTGAGTTCGAGAGTTCAAGACAAGACTGACCAACATGAAGAAACCCCGTCTTTACTAAAAATACAAAATCAGTCGGGCATGGCGTCGCATGCCTGTAATCCCAGCAATTTGGGAGGCTGAGGCAGGAGAATCGCTTGAACCCAGGAAGCAGAGGTTGCAGTGAGTGGAGATGGCACCATTGCACTCCAGCCAGGGCAAGAAGAGCGAAATTCTATCTAAAAAAAAATAGTATTAGTATTTTAATATCTTATGATTGTGAGTCACAGTTGCCCCATTTGGTTTACTGGAAAGCAGTTATTTATCTTCTAAATGTAAACAGAGAATAGACTTTCTATAATCCTAAGCATACAGATCTTTTAAGATTAGCACTGTGTTTATGTAAAATTCATAGCTTTGTAGTAACAGAAATGTTAATATTTTTTCTAATGAAAGTGAAAAATCAATAGAAATAACTTGTTAAAATGAGTTTAAAAGAAACTTCACGTGTTCATTAAATAACATTTAAAACCCCATTGTAAGTGACTGATTATTCCAATATATTTCATTTTAATCACTGAGAAAACTTAATATCTTTAAATTCTTCAGTTGGAAAAAGTATTCTTATAGTAGTGTTTCTGAAAGTTTCAGAAACTGTTGACCACTCAATAGATGAGGAGGCACATACAGATCACAAATTTTCTATATAATAGGCTCATCCTAGCTTCTTCTTTTTTTTTTTTTTTTTGAGACAGAGTCTCCCTGCGATGTCCAGACTGGAGTGCGATGGCACGGTCTCAGCTCATGGCAACCTCCACCTCCTGGGTTCAAGTGATTCTCCTGCCTCAGCCACCCGAGTAGCTGGGATTACAGGCATGTTCCATCAAGCCCAGCTAATTTTTGTATTTTTAGTACAGACGGAGTTTCACCATGTTGGCCAGGCTGGTCTCGAACTCCTGACCTCGGGTGATTCACCCACCTCCGCCTCCCAAAGTGTTGGGATTACTGGCGTGAGCCACTGCGCCCAGCCATCCTAGCTTTTAATATAAAAATTAAACATATTTCAAAAGTAAAATTAGTGGCTCTTTTAAGTCATGAGAAGGATATCTTTGTTAGAATCAATTTGCCAAAGTATTTACGTTAAGCTTAGTAATAAGTGCTTTAAACCAAAATTCAAGTTCTACATACTCTCTCAGGATAAAAAGTGGCTTTTATTTTTTTACCAATAAAATATTTTTTAAACTGTTATTTCCAATTTAGAGGGGGTATACTTAACCTTTCTAGACTCCCTCAGTAATTGGTAAATTACTCTTTTTATTTTGTTATTATTACTTTTTTCTTTTTCCTTTATTTGAGAGAAAGGGTCTCATCCTGTCACTCAGGCTAGAGTGCAGTGGTGCAATTATAGCTCACTGCAGCTTCAAACTTGTGGCCTCAAAAAATCCTCCCTCCTCAGCCTCCCGAGTAGCTGGGACCACAGGCACAAGCCAGTGTTCCCAGCCCATTATTATTACTTTTAATGTCTGCTAGTTCTAGGGGTGCACGAAGATTTAAAGGGCACATTTTTCCGGGATTTGGCCATAACATGAGCACTGGAAATGAAAGAAATAGGTCCCATAGGGAAGGCAGTGCCCGTGAGGGTAGAATCTGGGTGTGGGTGTGACCACTCCCCATCCCAACTTGGCTCTATCTTGTCCTTTGAAGAGACAGAGTAATAGCAAAAGGCAAGAAGGGGACTTGGGTTTGGGGTCACAAGGCCTGATTTTAGGTCTGGAGTTGGCCTCTTAAAGGCTATGTGAAGTTGGCAATGTCTTCAGTCCCTCTCCTGCATTTGCAAAATGAGGAAGGTGAGGCTGGATGAGTTCTGAGGTTCCTTTCAGTCTTTTTTAAAAAAATTTTTATTTCCATAGGTTTTTGGGGAGCAGGTGGTATTTGGTTACCCAAGTAAGTTCTTCAGTGGTGATTTGTGAGATTTTGGTGCACCCATCACTCAAGCAGTATACACTGAACCCAATGTGTAGTATTTTCTCTCTCACCTTCTTCCCACCCTTTCCCCCTGAGTCTTAAAATCTGTTGTGTCATTCTTATGCCTTTGCATCCTCATAGCTTAGCTCCCACTTATGAGTAAAACATACGAGTTTGGTTTTCCATTCCTGAGTTATTTCACTTAGAATAATAGTCTCCAATCTCATCCAGGTTTCTGTGAATGCCATTAACTGATTCCTTTTTATGGCTGAGTAGTATTCGATTATATATATATTTGATTATATATATATATTTGATTATTATATATATTCGATTATATATATATATATATCCACTTGTTTATATATAGTTTTCATCCACTTGTTGATTGATGGGCATTTGGATTGGTTCCACATTTTTGCAATTGCAAATTGTACTGCTATAAACATGCCTGTGCAAGTATTTTTTTTGTATAATGACTTCTTTTCCTCTGGATAGATACTCAGTAGTGGGATTGCTAGATCAAATGGTAGTTCTATTTTTAGTTCTTTAAGGAATCTCCATACTGTTTTCCATAGTGGTTATACTAGTTTACATTCCCATCAGCCGTGCAGAAGTGTTCCCTTTTCGCCACATCCATGCCATCTATTTTTTTTAATCTTTTGATTATGGCCATTCCTGTGAAAGTAAGATTGTATTGCATTTTGGTTTTGATTTGCATTTCCTTGATCATCAGTGATGTTGTGCACTTTTTCATATGTTTGTTGGCCATTTGTGTATCTTCTTTTGAGAATTGTTTATTCATTTTCTTAGCCCACTTTTTGATGGGATTGTTTGTTCGTTCTTGCTATTTTGTTTGAGTTCATTGTAAATTCTGGATATTAGTCCTTTGTCAGATGTATAAATTGTGAAAATTTTCCCCCATTCTGTGGGTTGTTGTTTACTGACTGTTTCTTTTGCTGTGCTAACGTTCTTTAGTTTAATTAAGTTCCACCTATTTATCTTTGTTTTTATTGAATTTGCTTTTGGGTTCTTGATCATGAAGTTTTTGCCAAAGCCAATGTCTAGAATGGTTTTTCCAATATTATCATTGAGAATTTTTTGTTTCAGGTCTTAGATTTAAGACCTTTATCTATCTTGAATTGATTTTTGTATAAGGTGAGAAATGAAGATCCAGTTACATTCTTCTACATGTGGCTTGCAAATGATCCCAGCACCATTTGTTGAATAGGGTGTCCTTTCACACTTTTTTTTTATTGTTGTTGCTTTGTTGAAGATCAGTGGGCTATAAGTATTTGGGTTTATTTCTGGGTTCTCTATTCTGTTTCATTGGTCTATGTGCCTATTTTTATATCTGTACCATGCAGTTTTGGTGACTCTGGCCTTATAGTATAGTTTGAAATCAGGTAATGTGATGTCTCCAGAAATGTTCTTTTTGCTTAATCTTGCTTTGGTTTGTGGACTCTTTTTTGGTTCTATATGAATTTTCAGATTGCATTTTCTAGTTCTGTGAATAATGATGGTGGTATTTTGATGGGAATTGCATGGGATTTGTAGATTGCTTTTGGCAGTATAGCCATGTTTACAATGTTGATTTACCCATTCATGAGCATGGGATGTGTATTTATTTGATTGTGTCATCTATGATTTCTTTCAACAGTGTTTTGTAGTTTGGTGTATTCCTAAGTGTTTTATTTTTTTTTCAGCTATTATAAAAGGGGTTGGGTTGTTTATTTGATTTTCAGCTTGGGGTGCTGTTGGTGTATAGCAGAGCTATGGATTTGTGTACATTAATTTTGTATCCTGAAACTTTGCTGAGTTCATTTATCACTTCTAGAAGCTTTATGGAAGAGTCTTTAGGGTTTTCTAGGTATACAATTATATCAGCAGCCAACAGCAACAGCAACAAAAAGCAGTTGTTTTTTGTTTTTGTCTTTTTTTTAGACAGAGTGTTGCTCTGTCACCCAGGCTGGAGTGCAATGGCACGATCTCAACTCACTGCAACCTCTGCCTCCTGGGTTCAAGCAATTCTCCTGCCTCAGCCTCCTGAGTAGCTGGGACTACAGGTGCCCGCCACCACGCCTGGCTAATTTTTTTGTATTTTTAGTAGAGACGGGGTTTCACTGTGTTAGCCAGGATGGTCTCGATCTCCTGACCTCGTGATCCAGTCTATCATTGTTGGACATTTGGGTTGGTTCCAAGTCTTTGCTATTATGAATAGTGCCGCAATAAACATACGTGTGCATGTGTCTTTATAGCAGCATGATTTTTGCACATCTTTTTGATATGCTGTTGGATTTGGTTAGCTAGTATTTGGTTACGAATTTTTGCATCTATATTCATCAGGGATATTGGTCTATAGTTTTTTTATTGGTTGTGTCCTTTCCTGGTTTTTGGTATTAGGGTGATACTGGCTTTATAGAATGATTTAAGGAGGATTCCGTCTTTCTCTATCTTGTGGAGTAGTGTCAATAGGATTGGTACCAATTCTTCTTTAAATGTCTGGTAGAATTCAGCTGTGAATTTGTCTGGTCCTGGACTTTTTTTTGTTGTTGTTGGCAATTTTGTTATTACCATTTCAATCTCGCTGCTTCTTATTGGTCTGTTCAGGATTTCTAATTCTTCCTGATTTAAGCTAGGAGGGTTGTATCTTTCAAGGAATTTATACATCTTCTTCTGGTTTTCTAGTTTATGCATATAAAGATGTTTAAATAGTACCTTAAATAATCTTTTGTATTTTTGTGGTGTTAGTTGTAATAGCTCTTGTTTCATTTCTAATTGAGGTTCTTTGGATCCTCTCCTTTTCTTGGTGAATCTTGCTAATGGTCTATCAATTTTATTTATCTTTTCAAAGAACCAGGTTTTAGTTTCATTTATCTTTTCTATTATTTTGTTTCAATTTCATTTGTTCTGTTGGGATCTTGGTTATTTCCTTTCTTCTCCTGGGTTTGGGTTTAGTTTGTTTTTGTTTCCCTAGTTCCTTGAGGTATAACCTTGGATTGTCTATTTGTGCTCTTTCAGACTTTTTGTTGTAAGCATTTAGGGCTATAAATTTTCTCTTAGCACTGCATTTGCTGTATCCTGGAAGTTTTGATATTATTCAGTTAGAAGATTTTTTTAAATATCCATCTTGATTTTATTGTTGACCCAATGATCATTCAGGAGCAAGTTATTTAATTTTCATGTATTTGCATGATTTTGAAGGTCCCTTTTGGAGTTGATTTCTGGTTTTATTCCACTGTGGTCTGAGACAGTACCTGATATAATTTCAACTTTCTTAAATTTACTGAGACTTGTTTTGTAGTCTATCCTGTGGTTTATCTTGGAGAAAGTTCCATGCACTGATGAATAGAATGTATATTCTGTGGTTGTTTGGTAGAATGTTCCATAAATATCTGTTAAGTCAACTTGTTCCAGGGTATAATTTAAATCCATTGTCTCTTTGTTGACTTTCTGTCTTGATGACCTGTCTAGTGCTGTCAGTGGGGTACTGAAGTCCCCCATTACTATTGTGTTGCTGTCTATCTCATTTCTTAGGTCCAGTAGTAATTGTTTTATAAATTTGAGCACTCCAGTGTTAGGTGCATATATATATTTAAGATTGTAATATTTTTCTGTTGGACAAGGCCTTCTATCATGATATAATTTCCTTCTTTGTCTTTTTTAACTGCTGTTACTTTAAAGTTTGTTTTGTCTAATATAAGAATAGCTACTCTTACTCACTTTTTGTGTCCATTTGCATGGAATTTCTTTTTCCACCTCATTACCTTAAGTTTATGTGAGTCCTTATGTGCTAGGAGAGTGTCTTGAAGGCAGTAGATAGTTGGTCAGTGAATTCTTATCCATTCTACAATTCTGTATCTTTTAAGTGGAGTGTTTAGGTCATTTGCATTCAACGTTAGTATTGATATGTGAGGTAGTATTCTATTCATGATGGTGTTTGTTGCCTGTATACCTTGTTTTTTTATTTGTTTGTTTTATAGGTTCTGTGAGATTTATGCTTTAAAGAGGTTCTGTTTTAACATGTTTCCAGAATTTGTTTCAAGATTTAGAGCTCTTTTTAACAGTTCTGGTAGTGCTGGCTTCATAGTGGCAAATTCTCTCAGCATTTGTTTGTCTAAAAACAACAGTATCTTTTCTTCATTTATAAAGCTTAGTTTTGGCTGGGTGCAGCGGCTCACACCTGTAATCCCAGCACTTTGGGAGGCCAAGGTGGGTGGATCATAAGGTCAGGAGATCAAGACCATCCCGGCCAACATGTTGAAACCCTGTATCTACTAAAAATACAAAAAAATTACCTGGGTGTGGTGGCATACACTTGTAGTCCCAGCTTCTCAGGAGGCTGAGGCAGGAGAATTGCTTGAACCCAGGAGGCAGAGGTTGCAGTGAGCCGAGATCACACCACCGCACTCTAGCTTGGCAAAAGAGTGAGACTTCATCTCAAATAAATAAATAAATAAATAAGTAAAGCTTAGTTTCATTGGATACAAAATCCTTGTCTGATAATTGTTTTGTTCAAGGAGGCTGAAGGTAGGGCCCCAATCTCTTCTATCTTGTAAAGTTTCTGCTGAGAAATCTGCTGTTAATCTGATAGATTTTCCTTTAGAGGTTACCTGGTGCTTTTGCCTCACAGTTCTTAAAATTCTTTCCTTCATCTTGACTTTGGATAACCTGATGACAGTGTGTCTAGGTGATGATCTTTTTGTGATGAATTTTCCAGGTGTTCTTCAATTTTCTTGTATTTGGATTTCTAGGTCTCCAGCAAAGCTGGGGAAGTTTTCCTCGATTATTCCCCTAAATACATTTTCCAAACTTTTATATTTCTCTTCTTTCTCAGGAACACCAGTTATGCTTAGGTTTGGTCACTTAACATAATCCCAGACTTCTTGAAGGCTTTATTTTTTCTTATTCTTTTTTCTTTGTCTTTGTTGGACTGGGTTAATTCAAAAACCTTGTCTTTGAGCTCTGTAATTCTTTCTTCTGCTTGTTTGATTCTATTGCTGAGACTTTCCAGAACATTTTTTATTTCTCTAAGTGCATCCTTTATTTCCTGCAGTTGTGATTGCTTTTTATTCATGTTATCTATTTCACTGACAATTTCTCCTCTCATTTCTTGTATTTTTTTGATTTTTTAAAAATTGGACTTCACCTTTCTCTGATACCTCCTAGATTAGCTTAATAAATGACCTTCTGAATTATTTTTCAGGTAAATCAGGGATTTCTTCTTGGTTTGGATTCATTGCTGGTGAGCTAATGTGTTTTTGGGGGATGTTAAAAAACCTTGTTTTGTCATAGTACCAGATTTTTTTTTCTGGTTCTTTCTCATTTGGGTAGGCTATGTCAGAGGGAAGGTCTAGGGCTCAAGGCTGCTGTTCAGATTCTTTTGTCCCATTGGGTGTTCCTTTGATGTACTACTGTACACCCTTTTTTAGAGATGTGGCTTCCTGAGAGCTGAGCTGTAGTGATTGTTATCTCTTTTCTGGATCTAGCCACCCAGCAGGTCTACCAGCCTTTGGGCTGGTACACTGGGGGTTGTCTGCACAGAGTCCTGTAATGTGAACTGTCTGCAGGTGTCTCAGCCAGGATTTCCTTGGATAGGGCTTGCTACAGCTGCTGCAGGAAATGGGGGTGTTTTTCCCAGGTTAATAGAGATCTGCTCTCAGAAGGATTATGGCTGCCTCTGTGGTGTCATGCAGGTTGTCAGGGAAGTGGAAGAGAGCCAGCAGTTACATGCCTCACTCAGCTCCCATGCAACCCAAAAGGTCGGTCTCATTCCCACCGTACCCCACCCCTCAACAGCACTGAGATTTTTTCCAGCCAGTGGGTGAGCAGGGCTGAGTACTTGCCCCAGGCTACCAGCCTCCCAGCTGAGAAAGTGAGCAGGGCTTTGGTGCCTCCCTTCCTGTAGAGACTGCACACCAGATTCATGCCTTCCCCAGAGTTCTTGCCAGGAGACTTTGTGTTCAGTTGGAATTGTTACAAAGTTCAGCTGGAGGTTTCCTTCCTCTTGTGGTCTTTTCCAAGTACTTCTGGCAGCCCTCCCCTAAAACCCCTTCGAGGCAAGTATGAAATAGCTTCCCAGGGAACACAGAGAGCCCACAGGGCTTTTTCTGCTGTTTCCTCTATCCCTATATTTCAGTCACTCTCTAAACTGACTCAGCTCCAGGTAAGGTGAGATCCTTCTCCCATGATCTAGACATTCATTTTCCCCAGTAAGGGTATGTGTTTGGGGGTGGATGATCCCTTTTTCCCACTTTCACAGATTGGGCACTCACAGTATTTGGGCTGTCTCCTAAGTCCTGCAGGAGCAATCCACTTTCTTCAGAGGGTCTGTGGGTTCTCTCAGCATTCCTGGTTTATTCCTGCAGTAGTTCTGGAGCAAAAATTCACGATGCCAGTCTCCACACACTGCTTTGTCTGTCCTAGTGGGAGCTGCAATCTGGTTCTGCCTCCTGAATGCCATTTTTTTTTTCCAAAAAAGTGGTTTGCAAATTTCTCTTTATTTTTTTACTAAATTACGAAATTCAGAGGCAAAATACTAGATCAGGAATAAAAACAAGCATCAGGTGAGAGGGTGTAGAGCATAATGGTTAATATATTGAAACTCAGAATCAGGTGGTTTCGATTGCATCCCAGTTCTGCCACTTATGGGCTGTATGACATAAATACAGGTTTTTTTTGTTTTTTTGTTTTTTTTGAGACAGAGTCTGGCTCTGTTGCCCAGGCCAGAGTGCAGTGGTGCGATCTTGGCTCACTGCAAGCTCCGCCTCCCACGTTCACGCCATTCTCCTGCCTCAGCCTCCCAAGTAGCTGGGACTACAGGCGCCCGCCACCATTCCTAGCTAATTTTTTGTATTTTTAGTAGAGACGGGGTTTCACTGTGTTAGCCAGGATGGTCTCGATATCCTGACCTCGTGATCCACCCACCTCAGTCTCCCAAAGTGCTGGGATTACAGGTGTGAGCCACCATGCCCACCCCATAAATACAGTTTCTTGACCTCTCTTTGCTTGACTTTTCAACTGTACAGTGAAAATAATAGTCCCAAATACTAGAGTTTTGGTAAAATTAAAGCAATTAAAACAAAGATGTCCAAAGAGTACCCAGAACGTAGCAAGTGTATAGGAAACTTATTAGCTCTTATTTGTCAATTCTGTTAGATCATGATTAATGTTAAGCCTGAAAACAGGGTCGCTACATCAGTGGTTTGTAACCCATGTTTATTCTAGTTAGTCTGGGGCTATAATACTAGTTAAATATTTTTAATACTATCCTTTTTTTAAAAAAAAGCATAATAGTATTTTTGATTGGCATATCAAAGTTGTATACATTTCTGGAGTACAATATGATGCTTGAATATATATATATAAAAAATATGGAATGATTAAATCAAGTTAAATAACATATCTATCAACTTGCTTACCTATCATTTTTTTGTGGTGAGACACTTGAAATTTACATTTAGTTATTTTAAAATATACAGTACATTATTTTTTATGACAGTCACCCTGCTGTGCAATAGATCTCAAAACCTACTTACCCCTTCTATTTGAAACTTTGTACCCTTTGATGAACAACTCCCTATTTTCTTCCCACCACACTCAGCCTCTGTTAAAGATGATTTTACTTTCTATTTTTTTGAGTTAAACTTTATTCTATATATAAATGAGGTCATGCAGTATCTTTCTGTCTCAGGGTTATACCATCTAGCATAATGTCTTCCAAATTTATCTATATTGTTTCAAATTATGAGATTTACCCCCTTTTAAGACTGAATAGTATTCCATTGTGTATCTATGCCACATTTGTTTTACAAAAAAATAATTTAAGGCCAGGCGCGGTGGCTTACGCCTGTAATCCCAGCACTTTGGGAGGCCAAGGCCGGCGGATCACAGGGTCAGGAGACCATCCTGGCCCACATGATGAAACCCTGATTCTACTAAAAATACAAAAATTAGCTGGGTGTGGTGGCATGCACCTATAATCCCAACTACTTGGGAGGCTGAGGCAGGAGAATGGATTGAACCCAGGAGACAGAGATTGCAGTGAGCCAAGATCACACCACTGCATTCCAGCCTGGTGACAGAGCGAGACTCTGTCTCAAAAAAAAAATTAAATATATTCATCTATTCGTTGAAAAACTCATGTCATGGAAGAGTATTTCTGTGTTAAAACATGTATTAATATCATTCAGCATATATGTATATTATTAATAATAGTTAATTTGTACTGAGCACTAGCCGTAACACAATTTATGTGTTAATAAATTTAATTCTCACAGTAACTGAATAACAGGTATTATTATCCTCATTTTACAGAGAAAGAAACAAAGCCAAGGAGAAAAATGACTTGCTTACCATACCAAAGCCAATATTAAACCACAGGCAACTTTGTCTCCAGAGATAAACCAATAAAACAATAAAAACCCTCTTCAAACAGAAAAATTAGTAATATATATATATATATATATATATATATATATATATATATATATATTTGAGATGGGGTTTTGCTCTCGTTGCCCAGGTTGGAGTGCAATGGTGCAATCTTGGCTCACCATAACCTCCGCCTCCTGGGTTCAAGCGATTCTCCTGCCTCAGCCTCCCGAGTAGCCAGGATTACAGACATGCGCCACCATGCCTGGCTAGTTTTGTATTTTTAGTAGAGATAGGGTTTCTCCATGTTGGTCAGGCTGGTCTCGAACTGCCGACCTAAGGTGATCCACCCACCTTGGTTTCCCAAAGCGCTGGGATTAAAGGCGTGAGCCACCGCACCCGGCCAAAGCATAATTATTTATTTATTTATTTATTTATTTTATGTTTTGGTTTTAAGGAGTGGAGAGTTTAATAGGCAAGAAAGAAGGGAGAAGAAAGAAGGAAGAAGCTCCCTGTACAGAGACAGAGGGAGGGGGGTGCTCCAAAGCCAAGAAAGGAGACCCCCCCCCTTTTTGAGACAGAGTCTCGCTCTGTCACCAGGCTGGAGTGTAATGGCGCGATCTCAGCTCACTGCAAATTCCGCCTCCCGGGTTCAAGTGATTCTCCTGCCTCAGCGTCTGGAGTAGCTGGGACTACAGGCATGCACCACCATGCCCAGCTAATTTTTGTATTTTTAATAGAGACGGGGTTTCACCATGTTGGACGGGATGGTCTCAATTTCTTGACCTTGTCCCGCCTCGACCTCCCGAAGTGCTGAGATTACAGGCATGAGCCACCATGCCCGGCCCACAAAATAATTATTTTTAACACTAATTTTTAAATAAAAGTTAACCAGAATTGAGTAATTGGATACATTTTCATTGTTCTATGTGCTTGTGAATGTATAAAATGATATATAAAGGAGAAATAAGCCAGAAAAAGGATAATTTAGTTAATATTTCAATGAATAAAATTGGAAAGTAGTTAATTATTATTTGCAGATGATATCTTTGTTTGCTTAGATGACAAAAGCAAGTAAAAGACTATTTTAAAAGTCTATTCAGGTGGCTAGGCAAAATTCTAAGATGATCCTCAGGATTCCCAGTCTGTTGCACACCTGGTGTATAATCCTTTTTTTGTTAAGTGTAAAAAAAAAAAAGTGTGACTGTGGAGGAAAATCACTCATGAAATTAGGTTACTAATGTGTTGCCTTTGTGTTCCTCAAAAGAGAGATTATCTTGATTGGGCTAAACTGAATCAGAGGTGCTTTTAAAAGAAAGGGACACATCCTGGTCACAGTGGCTCACGCCTGTAATCCTAGCCCTTTGGAGGCCTAGGCGGGTGGATCATAAGGTCAAGAGATGGAGACCATCCTGGCCAACATGGTGAAACACTGTCTCTATGAAAAATACAAAAATTAGCTGGGCATGGTGGCGTGCGCCTGTAGTCTCAGCTATTCGGGTGCCTGAGACAGAATTGCTTGAACCCGGGAGGCAGAAGTTGTGGTAAGCCGAGATCGTGCCACTGCATTCCAGCCTGATGACAGAGTGAGACTTTGTCTCAAAAAGAAAACAAAACAAAACAAACAAAGAAAAGGACATGTCAGAGAAAAACACCCCTGCTGGTCTGGAAGTAAGAGACTTCCAGGCGGGCCATGCTAAACTGCTTATGGAGGCCACATGGCAGGAAATATACTTGTATCTTTTCATCATTCCTGTCTCCCACATGTTGCTTCCAGTAGGGAGGACAAGAGGATCCCATGGATCCTCTCCATGGCAGAGGAAAGAAGAGGGGGTTCTCATTCATTCAATAAATAATCACCTGATCTGAGATAGCTTAAGATAAACAGAGGAGACCACAACATGACCACATCAATGGGAGGAAGGAGGCAATCTGGTTGAAAGGGGTCACTGGCATTATGAAGCAACATTTAGTAAGTCGTAGTGAATGATGAACCTGTGGGATATTGATAGTCTACCATCAGTGAGGGTGAACTCATTCTTACTCTAATTAAATCAGCATGTGTTCACCATTCTGGTGACCCAGTTTTACACTACTCATTACAGAAATACCATGGGGACCAGTAGGTACCCTCCTAGAATTAAAATTATCATGAAAAACATATCTAATTTTTCATTTTCACAACTGAAAAATCTTGAAAACATAATTAATTTGATGATGAACTTATCTTCTGTTAATTTTAGATTTTAGAGAATTTTACTATACTTTAATACAATATTGAACTTTAAACATCTTAATGTATATGTATTCCTTTTTTTTGTTTGGAGACAGAGTCTCAGTTCATCAACCAGGCTGGAGTTCGGTGGCACCATCTTGGCTCACTGCAACCTCCACCTCCCAGGTTCAAGTGATTCTCCTGCCTCAACCTCCAGAGCAACTAGGACTACAGGCTCACACCACCACACCTGGCAAATTTTTTTTTTTGAAATGACAACGTAAGTGTTTAATGATCTTCACCATGCTTTCCATTCCCAGTAAAAAGTAAAAACTCATAGATTTTAAGTGGGATGGGGAGTAGTGAATGGGAGAAAACAAGTTTTAGGGAAGGACAGCCAAACTGTCTAATCTAGGCTCTCGTTAACCTCAAGAGTCTTTGAGGCACCATGAAGCTGTTATAAAGCCATGACTGATGCTGCCTCTTGCTGGAAGCATGACTGACGCTTTATAAAGGTGATTCTTGCCAGCTGCCATGGTGCAACTATAGTTCCAGCTACTTGGGGGGCTGAGAAGGGAGAATCACTTGAGCCCAAGAGTTCAAGGCTAGTCTGGGCAACATAGTGAGACTACCTCAAAAAAAAAAAAATCAAAAGGTGATTCTCTAGAGAGCGAGCTCTTGGATATTGGAGAGTGGCAATATAATGATCCCATTTTTGCCTACTTAGAAGAAACTCCTCTCCTTTAGCTGTATGGGGACTGTTATTTCAAGCAGAAAGGACATCAGCAAAGAATAAAACCGATAACTTTTACTCTCGACGTTACAATAGTTCTCAAGCAAAGCTTGGATTTTCTACTTAATCAGTATTGATCCAAAGGTATCCAGAATGAAGTGACCTTCAGCATTTATCCTTTGCTAATCTTGCTATTATGAATCCAGAAATTGATATGATACATTTCAAGGGTACAACTTAAAGTAAGTCTACAACATGTAAGGCTAACAATTGCCCCATATTTTAGTGAGAAAAACATCAAAAAAACTTCTCAAGTTGTTTTCAAGTGGCAGAGCCAATGGGTATTTTTTTAAAGCTGCAAACAAATAATTGGTACTGATACTGTGTTAAAGGCCCCCTGGGTATGCTTCCATCATAGCATCTCCATCCTCCAACTACAATAAATGCTAAGACTGATTAAGCCCTTAGGTTAAAAGGCCATTCTACAGGAAATACTACAGGATCTGCTACTGTGTCCACTAAGGCAAACCATTTCTAAATGATGGTGAAAGGAATGTTTCTGAAATCTCCCAATTCTAAATGACATGAAAAGAAAGTACAAAAACAGCAAGACCATGGGTACATATGTAGAATCGTACCATCTTTTCATCATGCAACATTGGCTTCCCACATCAGGAAGATTAAGTAGAATATTTATACATATTCTTTGTAGACATCTTTCTCTCCCTCTGTAAGTACACATGTACTTGTCCTTGCCTGGGTCTCCAAGGCTACATGTGGTAATGGGCTACATTTTCTGAACAAGAGTCCAGTTTAGTTTTGTTTCTTGCTGAGGATATGTTCTAGGTCTTCACTTAATTTTTCTGGATATCCACATACACCACAGACTCTGACTTGTTAATCTTGTCACTCTGATGTCCGCCAGAGTGGTCTAACTGTGCATATATGACTGGGCCCTGGTGAGATCCAGAAGGCAGACTCTTTACAAGACCTTCAATGTCAGAAGGGGACTTCCAACGAGCCTGCTTAACTGGTGACAAACTCTCTGATGTACTGCAGCCAGTGTAATCCCGTTTAGAGTTTTACCTTCTATAGAAGACAGCCAGAATCAGGCTGATGAGCAGAGTGAGACCTAGGACCACAGCGCGTAACTATGCCCACCACTACCCAAACTGGAAACACAGGCAAACTCTCTTTTTCTACGACATAGAGTCTAATGTGTCCAGGCTGGACAACAATGTCAGGAGGGTTTTTGGCATCACAGATATAGGTGCCATTGTGTATAAACTGCATATTTTCTATGTTGATTGATGCATCTTTCTCGTCAAGGTCTCCAGCCCAGCTGATTCTGTCTTTAAATGGTGGATAATTCCCAAAGTACACTTGCCCTTGGGAGTAGTGGCAAAATGACACGGTGGTGTCGGCCCCCTCTGGCTGGAACCTCCAGGAGACTGAGGTCAACCCGCCAGTCGTATTAGTAGACTTGAACTTGCAGGTCAGCTTCCCTTGTGTACCATTTGCCACGAAGATTTCTTTTGGTAAATATACTTCCAAGACTGATACTCCAGCTGTCAAGAGCCCCAGCGCCACCGCCAGCACCGACCACAGCCAGCGCCTCCTGTCTGGGGCTGCAATCACTGCCCCGGCTCCAGCGGGCGCTGCCATCATCCAGCCACTGCAGTCGCCGCTGCCGCGCCCCTGAGCCCGGGTCCCTGCCGAGGTTCGCTTGGCTTGGGGAAGAGGGTTCTGATCTCTCTGCCACCTGCACTGGGTGGCAACGCCACGCCGCGCTCCCTACTCTGGCCCCAGCTGTGGCTCGCCAGCTCTGCACTCTAGCCTCAGCCCTGCTCTGGCCACATCTGGCTAATTTTTTTATGTTTAGTAAAGATGAGGTTTCACCATGTTTGCCAGGCTGGTCTCGAACTCCTGACCTCAAGTGATTTGTTCACCTCGGCCTCTCAAAGTGCTGGGATTACATGTGTGAGCCACTGCACCTGGTCATAATATGAATATTTATTTATTTATTTATTTTTCGAGACGGAGTCTCGCCCTGTCGCACAGACTGGAGTGCAGTGGCACGATCTCGGCTCACTGCAACCTCCACCTTCTGGGTTCAAATGATTCTCTTGCCTCAGCCTCCTGAGTAGCTGGGATTACAGGCACGCACCACCACGCCCAGCTAGTTTTTTGTAACTTTAGTAGACATGGGGTTTCACCATGTTGGCCAGGCAGGTCTCAAACTCCTGACCTTAATTGATCCGCCCACCTCGGCCTCCCAAAATGCTGGGATTACAGGCGTGAGCCACCGCACCCAGCCATGAATATTTCTTTAATGTATGAACAGTTACGTAGATATCTGCTCTTAGAGTAACATAATAAAAGTAACAATTAGAGAAAACATTTGAAATGGGATAAAATTAATCAAAACCACATCTTTTCAAAGGCTTGGCATAATTGCCATGCTTTTTGAAATGCTCAGATTGCTAAGAAGAAGCAAAGACAAGATTTTGGCTTTGCTCAATCATTAAGTTATTGACCTTATGAAATCTAAACTCCTGGCTAAAGGATTTGACAGGCATATTCTTTAGGTGGCTTCCTAGGGTATCCAAGAAAATATAAGAAGAATTTTTTTTGTTTGTTTGTTTGTTTGCTTTTCTTTTTTTTTCTCTTTTTCTTTTTTTCTTTCTTTTCTTTTTTCTTTTTTTTTTTTTTAATTTTTATTTTTTTAATTGATCATTCTTGGGTGTTTCTCACAGACGGGGATTCGGCAGGGTCATAGGACAATAGTGGAGGGAAGGTCGGCAGATACACAAGTGAACAAAGGTCTCTGGTCTTCCCAGGCAGAGGACCCTGCGGCCTTCCGCAGTGTCTGTGTCCCTGGGTACCTGAGACTAGGGAGTGGTGATGATTCTCAACGAGCATGCTGCCTTCAAGCATCTGTTTAACAAAGCACATCTTGCACCGCCCTTAATCCATTTAACCCTGAGTGGACACAGCACATGTTTCAGAGAGCACAGGGTTGGGGGTAAGGTCACAGATCAACAGGATCCCAAGGCAGAAGAATTTTTCTTAGTACAGAACAAAATGAAAAGTCTCCCAAGTCTACTTCTTTCTACACAGACACCGCAACCATCCGATTTCTCAATCTTTTCCCCACCTTTCCCCCCTTTTCTATTCCACAAAACCGCCATTGTCATCCCGGCCCGTTCTCAGTGAGCTGTTGGGTACACCTCCCAGACGGGGTGGTGGCCGGGCAGAGGGGCTCCTCACTTCCCAGTAGGGGCGGCCGGGCAGAGGCGCCCCTCACCTCCCGGACGGGGTGGCTGGCCGGGCGGGGGGCTGACCCCCCCACCTCCTTCCCGGACGGGGCGGCTGGCCAGGCAGAGGGGCTCCTCACTTCCCAGTAGGGGCAGCCGGGCAGAGGCGCCCCCTCACCTCCCGGACGGGGCGGCTGGCCAGGTGGGGGGCTGACCCCACCTCCCTCCCGGACGGGGCGGCTGGCCGGGCGGGGGGCTGACCCTCCCACCTCCCTCCTGGACGGGGCGGCCGGCCGGGCGGGGGGCTGACTCCCCCACCTCCCTCCCGGACGGGGTGGCTGGCCAGGCAGAGGGGCTCCTCACTTCCCAGTAGGGGCAGCCAGGCAGAGGCGCCCCTCACCTCCCGGACGGGGTGGCTGTCCGGGTGGGGGGCTGACCCCCCCACCTCCCTCCCGGACGGGGCGGCTGGCCGGGCAGAGGGGCTCCTCACTTCCCAGTAGGGGCAGCCGGGCAGAGGCGCCCCTCACCTCCCGGACGGGGTGGCTGGCCGGGCGGGGGGCTGACCCCCCCACCTCCCTCCCGGGCGGGGTGGCTGGCCCGGCAGAGGGGCTCCTCACTTCCCAGACGGGGTGGCTGCCGGGCAGAGGGGCTTCTCACTTCTCAGATGGGGCGGCTGCCGGGCGGAGGGGCTCCTCACCTCTCAGATGGGGCGGATGCTGGGCCGAGGGTCTCCTCACCTCTCAGACGGGGTGGCTGGGCAGAGACGCTCCTCACCTCCCAGACGGGGTCGCGGCCAGGCAGAGACGCCCCTCACCTCCCAGACGGGGTGGCGGCCGGGCAGAGGCTGCAATCTCGGCACCTTGGGAGGCCAAGGCAGGCGGCCGGGAGATGGAGGCTGCAGCGAGCGGAGACCATGCCACTGCACTCCAGCCTGGGCACCACCGAGCACTGAGTGAACCAGACTCCGTCCGCAATCCCGGCACCCTGGGAGGCCGAGGCTGGCGGATCACTCGCGGCTAGGAGCTGGAGACCAGCCCGGCCAACACAGCGAAACCCCGTCTCCACCAAAAAAGTACGAAAACCAGTCACGCGTGGTGGCGCGCGCCCGCAACCGCAGGCACTCGGCAGGCTGAGGCAGGAGAATCAGGCAGGGAGGCTACAGTGAGCCGAAATGGCAGCAGCACAGTCCAGCCTTGGCTCAGCATCAGAGGGAGACCGCGGAAAGAGAGGGAGAGGGAGACCAAGAGGGAGAGGGGAGAGGGGAGAGGGGAGAGGGGAGAGGGGAGAGGGGAGAGGGAAGAGGGAAGAGGGCAAGAAGAATTTTGAAGTTAGGCAGAAGAATGCATTCTATATACATACACTGCTCTTCTCTGATTTGCTTTAACATTAAAAGATTGAAGATTGCAAATCTGATCTCTCTATGTAGAGTAAATTAGGAAAGGATTAATTTTTCAGCCAGGGAAATAATTGTATAAAATTAATGGGTGGCCAAGTGTAGTGGCTCACATCTGTAATCTCAGCACTTTGGGAGGCCAAGGCAGGCGGATCACTTGAGCTCAGGAGTTTGAGACCAGCCTGGCCAGCATGGTGAAATGCCATCTCTACTAAAAATACAAAAAAATTAGCCGGGTGTGGTGGCGCATGCCTGTAGTCCCAGCTACCTGAGAGGCTAAGGCAGGAGAATGGCTTGAAACTGGGAGGCAGAGGTTGCAGTGAACCAAGATTATGCCATTGCACCCCAGCCTGGGTGACAGAGCAAGACTCTGTCTCAAAAAAAAAAAAAATTAATGGGTAACAGATACCGTTAGCTGCCAAAAATAATATGACTAGATTTAGTAAGTATCTAGCCATGCAAATAACAGTCCATTAAATTAAGACTCTAATAGGTGCATGTGGACAGCATTTATGTGCAATGTGATGCACCTCTACTCAGCACCTTCTTCTGCCTGCTCGCAGAGATACCAATTTTCCCTGAGTGATTCAGGGTGAATACTGAGAATTGAGAATGCTATGTTCAGAGGGATTACTAGGAACGTCATTAACACAATTGTTTCCATATTATAAAGAAATTTTATGAATCTTACTCTGCCTCAAAAACGCTTTTAGTAAAGGATTGTTTCTTTACAGTGTTCAATTTGAATTCATGGGAAATTTCAATATTCCAGGTAAGTCAGAAACACTTAAGTGTCAACAAAATTCCATAATACGTACTTGAATAAGATAAAGTCTTCTTAGCTAAGAATTTTATTTTATCCATAAATTTAGAGAAGAATAGAAAACCAGTACTTTGGGCCAAATAGCAGTGTTTGCCATGGAATTACCACCCAAACAAGTGCTCTCCAATATCATCATTAAAATAGCAATAGCACCATGTGCTTTCCTAGAAACAGCTGGCCTGTTTTGCAGGGATATAAAGTGGAGAAGGCATTGAAATAATGAAGGGGGGTGATATACATTGAATAATCATATGAAATATACTTTTTAATAAAAAGAAGCATTTGATGTTGTATAACTATAGATGAGACTATTAGTATGAGGTTATAATATTGTTACTTCTTTTTTTTTTTTTTTGAGACTGAGTCTCACTCTGTCACCCAGGCTGGAGTGCAGTGGCACAATATCTCACTGCAACCTCAGCCACGCGGGTTCAAGTGATTCTCCTGACTCAGACTCCTGAGTAGCTGGGATGACAGATGCCTGCCACTGTGCCCAGTAAATTTTTGTAGTTTTTAGTAGAGACAGGGTTTCACCATGTTGGCCAAGCTGGTCTTAGAACTTCTGACCTCATGATCCACACGCCTCGGCTTCCCAAAGTGCTGGGATTACAGGTGTGAGCCACCGCGCCTGGCCAATATTTTTACTTCTATTGATAGGATAACTTCATTCACCATATTCTTATTTAAAATATTCCTTTTTCTGTGGTATATTTGCTAGCTTTTGGTCAAATATTACCTGAGCTCAATAGAAATCAACAAAATGAATCTATATTTTACCACAAGCATTTTATTTTTATTTATTTATTTATTTCTGAGACAAAGTCTCGTTGTGTTGCCCAGGCTGGAGTGCAGTGGTGCAATTTCGGTTCACTGCAGCCTCTGCCTACTGGGTTGCAGCCATTCTCCTGCCTCAGCCTCCCGACTAGCTGGGACTACAGGTGGTGCCACCACACCCAGCTAATTTTTGTATTTTTAGTAGAGACGAGGTTTCACCATGTTGGCCAGGCTGGTCTCGAACTCCTGACCTCAGGTGATCCATCTGTCTTGGCCTCCCAAAGTGCTGGGATTACAGGCAGGAGCCACCGTGCCTGGCAGGAAGCATTTTGTTATTGATGCATATGCTTACTTCGCTAAAAATACATTAGCTTTTTACGAAAAATCTATACTTTACTTTTCTTTGAGACAGAACCTCACTGTGTTGCCAAGGCTGGAGTGCAGTGGCACGATCTCGGCTCCCTGCAACCTCCACCTCCTGGGTTCAAGCAATTCTCCTGCCTCAGCCTCCCAAGTAGCTGGGACTACAGGTGCTTGCCACCATACCCAACTGATTTTTTTTTTTTTGTATTTTCAGTAGAGATGAGGTTTCACTATGTTGGCCAGGCTGGTCTTGAATTCCTGACCTCATGATCCGCCCACCTTGGCCTCCCAAAGTGCTGGGATTACAGGCATGAGCCACTGCACCCAGCCTATACTTTTCTTTCAGTGTGTTATTTATTGCTGAGAAGTGTCCTGCCAGGAAATTGCTATAATCAATCAGCTCTACTTACATTGACTGATAGTGAGTTGAAGTGATGTGTGAATAGGAAACAGATGTGTCTTCTTGGCATCTCTTTTTAAATTTATTCACAGAAGAGGAGGATGCAGATAGAAGATGAAGAAAGATATGATCTTCCTCTTTCTTTGTCAACATGTGTGAAGTCAGAGAATAGGTAACATGGCACCCACCAGGTAGAGAATTCATCTGCATATTAAAAGATTAGGGTGCTATGGCAAGCTTCTTCACACACTATGTAATTGGCACACCTGGTCCAACAAATCCTCTGTGCCCTATGTAAATCAGACACCACCTCCTCAAGCACATCTATAAAACCAAATGCATCTTGCCATGAATGAAGAGATCTGTTCAGAACCCTCTGCTTCTGCATGAGGGGGCTTTTCTCTCTTGTTTATTAAAATTTCCCTCTTAAACTCACTCCTTGCATGTCCGTGTCCTTGATTTCCTTGGCATGAGGCAAGGAACCTGGGGTATTACCCCAGACAAATGATGCCACTTTATAACCACAAATATAATTGAAATATATTTGTATCTTCAGCTTGTGTAGGCATTGGCAAGCCTTCTTCCAGAATGTAGTAGCAACTTATACTACCTGATTTATATGAGGGATTATTTATTATCTAATTATCCTTATTTTCTAAACCCTACAGTATGCTGGCTCCCTCGTCACTCTGTGAAGACAAAAACCTTTTATTTCATTCACCACTATATTTGCAATTTTTCAATTAAGTACATAAATTTGATTTGACTTTGAAGCATTTATTTATTTATTTATTTAGAGACAGCTTGAGCCACTGTACCCGGCCTAAGCATTTATTTTTTTTAAAGAATAACTACGGGCCTGGCGCAGTGGCTCATGCCTATAATCCCAACACTTTGGGAGACAGAAGCAGGCGGGTCGTGAGGTCAGGATTTCGAGACTAGCCTGGCCAATATGGTGAAACCCTGTTTCTCTAAAAATACAAAAATTAGCCAGGCGTAGTGGCGTGCATCTGTAGTCCAAGCTACTCAGCAGGCTGAGGCAGGAGAATCGGTTGAACCCAGGAGGTAGAGGTTGCAGTGAGCCAAGATAGCACCACTGCACTCCAGCCTGAGTGACAGAGAAAGACTCAGTCTCAAAAAATAAATAAATAAATAAAATGAAAATAAAAAATAACTGCAGTAAAACACATCTCTGAACATTATTTTCTTTTCCACAACTGTTTCTTTACATGTAGGATTCCTCTGCCAAAATTTTTTCATTCTTTTCTTAGCCATTCTCAGTCAGGATTATTTTTCTGACTGTACAGAGAGACTGTAACTGAGCAGGTGCAATTTCAGCAAAGTCTTGAAGAAGATAGGCCTCGGCTGACCAGGTAAACTCTAAGCAATTGTAAATAACTATCTTTTAAAGGTGTATAATTTTTATTTTATATTGATTTACCAGGACAATCACCATTACAAAAAAATCAATTTAATTACGCCAGGCATGGTGGCTCACACCTATAATCCCAGCACTTTGGAAGGCCAAGGTGGGTGGATCACCTGAGGTCAGGAGTTTGAGAACAGGCTGGCCAACATGGCAAAACCCCATCTCTACTAAAAATACACACACACACACACACACCTGGGTGTGGTGGCAGGTGCCTGTAATCGCAGCTACTTGAGAGGCTGAGGCAGGAGAATCATTTGAACTTTGGAGGTGGAGGTTGCAGTGAGCCAAGATCACCCCATTGCACACCAGCCTGGGCAATGGAGGGAGACTCTGTCTCAAAAAAAAAAAATCAATCTAATTACAATATATCTAGAGATTTAACCCACATCTAAATGTTAAATTGACACTACAATATAATATTTAAATCTGCAAAAAGACATTAGAACATGTGGTCAATAATACCATGAGCTGCCACAAGCTTTTAGCAGATAATACAAATGACAATCACCTCTTTATGCCCATACAGGAGAAAAACATACTTGTGCATCTCATATATATCAGAAAAGAGAAAAATGCAGAATTCAATTTGCGGAAAAAGGTTGTTTATACCAGATATATACATTTTACTGATGGTTGTCCAGTATAATTTTTAAGTTTTCTGTATTACATTTTACCAAATATATATAATCCTGTTGCTCACAAGAGAGGAGCAAAAGCTAAACTATTCAAATGGTCATAAGAATTTTTGGAAAATAATATATCGTTAAAAAGAAGTTGAAAGTGTAATAGTTGACCCCTTAGGAATCTTAAATATTCCATTTAATTGCACTTAGATGGCAAGAGCTGGAGTTTTGATTAAGTTGGCCAATTCAAAATCCTCCAGAGAGAAGTTATCAGGTATCAACATTTAAGGCAGATTTTATTCATTTAAAGCATCTTAAGAAGTAACGGAAACTGCAGAAATTAAAGAATTCAGGGCCGGGTGTGGTGGCTCATGCCTGTAATCCTAGCACTTTGGGAGGCCAAGGTGGGTGGATCACCATAGGTCAGGAGTTCAAGACTAGCCTGACCAATATGGTGAAACCCTGTCTCTACTGAAAATACAAAAATTAGCTGGGCGTGGTGGTGTGCGCCTGTAGTCCCAGCTCCTCAGGAGGCTGAGAGAGGAGAATTGCTTAAACCCGGGAAGCGGAGGTTGCAGAGAGCCGAGATCATGCCACTGAACTCCAGCCTGGGTGACAGAGCGAGACTCTATCTCAAAAATAATAATAAATTAATTCAGGATTTCCACTAGTAATAAATTATATTGAAAATGTTGTTAGATTGTGTTGGCCATTTGACAGCTGCTATTTATAACTGTTTCATAAGCCTGCTGAGTCACAGGGGCAGATAAGCAATCACTGTTGTTTACATGTTCCTTTTCAGGCAGCTTTTATTAGCATGCAAATATTATCATCTTCCCAACCACAGACCCCAACATGCAAGATTTTACTTTGTGTCCAAAGGGACAGCCTTGCTTGGTTGCTTACAATCATCATGGTCATAAAGACAAAGTCCCAGTTCCCTGATACCTCTGCTTTCCAATCTGTGCATGAGACAGCCTTTGTGAGGCCCAGCATGGCCAGCTGTGCCTCTCCTTTCTGGTGGAATGTATTAAACACCTTTTAATTGCATTCACCTCCTTTTAATGTGTTAACATCCAGGCGAAATTCATGAGGCCTGCTTTAGAAAAATCATGTTGCAGGCCAGCTGCGGTGGATCACGCCTGTAATTCCAGCACTTTGGGAGGCTAAGGTGGGTGGATCACAAGGTCAGGAGTTCAAGACCAGCCTGGCCAACATGATGAAACCCTGTCTCTATCAAAATATAAAAAATTAGCCAGGCGTGGTGGCAGACACCTGTAGTCCCAGCTACTTGGGAGGCTGAGGCAAGAGAATTGTTTGAACCTGGGAGGCAGAGGTTGCAGTGAGCTGAGATTGCACCACTGCACTCCAGTCTGGGCGACAGGGTGAGACTCCATCTCAGAAAAAAAAGAAAAATCATGTTGCTGTGCTTTGTTATCAAAAATAATATGGAGGTGGAAGCGCAAAGCAAAAGTAACCAAAACATGGATAGTACTAATTTGTATTTGAAAGTGTATTTGTGAAATATACTTTTACAGAAATATCTTTGCTAGGATGTCAAGGAAGAGGTCACAAAACATCAACTCCAAAATATTCACATAAATTTAACAATTTAGAGATGGTTGTTACTTTTTGTTCTAGATTATTTCTACTTTCAGTAAAGCAAGTATTTATTGTAATACAGAAGCATTGGAAAATTAACACTAATATAACTAATGTCTGAGTCCTGAAGACTTTCCTCTGGAACCTCAGTAAATTTACTTAATCTAAATGGGTCCAGGTGCTGAGGTGATTACCCTTATCTTGTCTCCTGCTGAATCACGGAGGTTAGGGTAGTTCCTTCAGACCCCCAGTAAACTTGTTTGTGGAGGCCTGGGGGTTTCTTCAGACCCACAAAAAAGCTCATTTAATTCTACATAGGTCCTGTTAAGAATTCCTTCATTATTTTGTCATGCTGTAAGGCCCAGGAAAGGCCTAGGGAAAACTCTTCGTGGGCTTTTGTTACATTCCAGCCTTTGTATAAGGGCACTGGTTTTTTTTTGTGGGGGGGGGGGTGTGGGGGTGCTGAGGTTCACTCTTGTTGCCCAGGCTGGAGTGCAATGGTATGATCTCTGCTCACTGCAACCTCTGCCTCCCAGGATCAAGCGATTCTCCTGCCTCAGCCTCCCGAGTAGCTGGGACTACAGGCATGCACCACCACGCCTGGCTAATTTTGTATTTTTAGTAGAGATGGGGTTTCTGCATGATGGTGAGGCTGGTCTCGAACTCCCAACCTCAGGTGATCCACCTGCCTCAGTCTCCCGAAGTGCTGGGATTACAGGTGTGAGCCACCATGCCCAGCCAGGGCACTATTTTTTAATATTTAACTGAACCACTCAGTCAGTACTGAAACAGTTGTTTTGGAGGCCTCTATTAGTAAGAGCTGGACTGCCACAATCCCTACTGTCAATTCATGCATGATTTCTGTCTTGCTTGTGTATTTATTTATCACAAGAATTGGAGGGAGATGAGGGGGTCATAATCCTTCTGGATACTTCCTGCAGAGAGGGGGTCATTGTTATGGGGCACTGAATGCAGCGCTGGAGTGGAAGAGGTCAATTTGTTTCCTATAGCACTCTCTGTTTTGGGGGCTTAGAGGCAGCACCTTCTGAAACATAATAGTATGCAACAGAAGCACGCATAAATAGGTTGCTGCTCTTCTGAAGTTTAAGTCATCTAGTCTTTAGTTCACAGGGCTTTAAGAAAGCACAGCTTGGGTTTTAGTGATTTCTTATTAGGAAAAATGGGGAAACAGAACAATATAAAGCAAAAAGTTAAAAACATTATTTTGGAGACTTGTAGCCAGAAAAATTAGAATTTAATCCAAACTGTAGAAAACAATAAAATTTGAAAAACATCAGGTAAGACTAGAATTTAATCACAGGTGTACTATTGTTTTTGAAACATAACTTCTTTCTCTCCAGTTTCTCAGTTTTACTAAAAGATAAATTGTGGTAGGACTGGTTTGCTTTATTATACTTGGCCTAATTATTGGTATACAGTGCAGCAAGAATAATTATTTTTCACATAGGCCCTTTAAATTGGCTTTGATGGAACTTTGTTCCATAGAAGGAATCTGAGATAAGACCTCATGCCTGTAATCCCAGCACTTTGGGAGGCTGAGGCAGGCAGATCACAACGTCAAAAGATCAAGACCATCCTGGCTAACATGGTGAAACCCCATCTCTACTAAAAATACAAAAAATTAGCCAGGTGTGGTGGCACATGCCTGTAGTCCCAGCTACTCAGGAGGCTGAGGCAGGAGAATTGCTTGAACCCAGAAGGCGGAGCTTGCAGTGAGCTGAGATTGCACCACTGCACTCCAGCCTGGGCAACAGAGCAAGACTCCATCTCAAAAAAAAAAAAAAAAAAAAAAAACCACTGAGCCCAACCATGGATTTGTACCATCAAATACCTATGTGTTGGGTGACTTCTTCTTCTCTTGAGGTTCCAAGATAACTTTTGGTTCCTGACCTGTTAGAAAGTGACATTCTTTACTTATCACAGATCAGAAACCCTGTACAGGGACTGTGTACACAAAATATGAAGCCAGTTTTCCAAGGGCTTTATTGGCTTCATAAATCAAGTTTGATTCCTTAAAGGAGAGCACACCATTCTAGTCAAAGCCTTGGTAAAATAACCAGGTTTGCCAATTGTGTCCTGTTACAAAAGAAAACAAATTCTTATTGCACTTATGCAAATAACTATATTGCTATAAATTAAGAATACTCAAAATAGTTTCCAAGTTCTGCAGAAATCAGGTAGAGAGAAATAAATATGCTCCAAATTTTGTTCATAGGAGTATACTTAATTGTTAAAAGCTGTTAATAGCTCCAAATTTTGTTGATAGAAGTACACTTGTTAAAAGCTGTTAATAGTTCAAAAGAAAAGTTTCCTTGATTCTGAAAAACAAAACAAAGGATTAGCAGCAATTTAAGCAAAAAGTCAATAAGATCACTTCAGTTTCCCATTAGTTTAATTTATGCATTTAATTCCTGTTCTTCTTGACATTAATGAACATTTTAGCACTTCAAGAGTCCTGAACATTTTTCCTTTATTCTTATGTCACAATCTCCAAAGTGATCAGAAACCTGCATTCAAGAGCACTGTTTAGAGCTTTACAGATGATTATAAAACCACCTTCTAAAGAGGACCAAAACAAGAAAACAATTGTTTACTGATGACAAAAAGTTTTAGGATAGCCATAGTTAAAAACACGATTGACAGTGAAAATTGTTACCTCTATGGCACACAATAATTTAACATAACAATTGTAATTATTACTGGTAACATACACTAAGATATATCAGAATTATAGGAGTTTCACATGATTTTGGAACACATACCAATAACATATTTATACAAATATAGCCCAAAGAAAGCCAAGCCCCATTTTATATTTGGCAATGCTTCCTGTATGATTTTTGGTACCAAATGAGCCAAATTTTACCTTTTACATTGTTAAACCCAATTCTTAATAAAACCTTATAGACATATTCACCCATTTGTTTTTTTTAAAACAGAGTCTCGCTCTGTCACCCAGGATAGAGTGCAGTGGCGTGATCTTGGCTCACTGCAACCTCCGCCTCCTGGGTTCAAGCGATTCTCCTGCCTCAGCCTCCCAAGTAGCTGAGAGTACAGATGTGTGCCACCATGCCTGGCTAATTTTTTGTATTTATAGTAGAGATGGGGTTTTGCCATGCTGGCCAGGCTGGTCTCAAACTCTTGACCTCATGATCCACCTGCCTCAGCATCCTAAAGTGCTGGGATTACAGGCATGAGCCACTGCACACGACCCACTAACCTGCTCTTTAACAAAAATTGTAAAGGGTTATAAAATGTCTATAAAAATGTTACCTCATACTCAAACATTAAAATTGGGTAAATATGGCTGGGCATGGTGGCTCATGCCTGTAATCCCAGCACTTTGAGAGACCGAGGTGGATGAATCATGAGGTCAGGAGCTCGAGACCAGCCTGGGCAACAGAGCGAGACTCTGTCTCCAAAGAAAAAAAAAAGCAAAAAAAAAGCAGGATAGTGCTGTAAGAGAAACCCATTGTGCTTTTATTTTAATGCTCAATTTACAGAAAAACTGGACAATACCCTTTTTAACTACAGCCAGTATGTTTACACACAGAATTTCCTTTACAATCACCCTTCCACAACTTGCTTAAACCTTTGTCTTTATCTTATCCAACTTAAAACAGTTCTTTAACCTTTTAATCTAGTCAGATATCCACATTCTCATGCTTCCTTATAATTTATTTTACCAAAAGTATATATATATTTTTTACATTGCATATAAACCATTCCTTCAATAGTCACACATACATGTTACAATGTTAACTCTTAGCAACCTTCACTTTTGGTGAAAACCCAGGTAAGTTTGGGATTTTAATGATGTACTAGATGTGGAGCCTAGGACCTAGACAGAAGTGCAGATAAGGTCTGACTTATTCCAGCATCTAACTCCATATATCCCAGGACATACCTAGCTGTAAAGCAGGCAAGTTGTATAGCTAAGAGTCATAGTGGCATTTTATAAAGTATTTAGGAGGCCTAATTACCTTTAAATTGTATGACATTTCTTGCATAAATTCCCCTTTATAAATTCTTTCACTACTTACACAGACAAGCTATGACATGCCTTGACTTTCTGACTTGTCCTAAACATTCCTTTTTTTTAAATGACCAGTTATTTTACTATATGACAAGAATTTACCATACAAGATCCTTTCTTACATAAAATATCTGTTCTTTAATACCTTTTTGCATAGCTAGGGGCATGGCTAATTTCATATGTCCACAGGCCTTATCTAGAATTTAACACTCCAAAAGAAATTGAACAATTTTTAAGTCAAAAAAGTAGTGTATGACCTAAAGCCTTCAGCAAATGTAATATTTGATCAGCATAATTTAGACCAAATGTTTACATTTCTGAAAATATTTATATTTTACCAATAATCTTTAAAACTATCTTTATTTTTATAACTTTCTTTATATCTCCTTTATTTCCTGGTTTATTTTACTTTGTTTTATATATAACCTTTAAATAAGCTTTGAATTAGATGAAAATTGGTTCCCCTTTAAAAAGGACATAATTTCTAGAAAGAATGTTTTCCTACAATATATTTTTTATTGGAAAATACCCAAATAATGAAATAACTGTTGTTTAATTTAACTTTAGATTCCAAATTATGACAAAGTTGTTTATGAGTATTTATCCCATTACATTTATCTGTGATTTATTTTAACCATTTACCTAGATTATTTATGAAAACTGTGATAGTCATTATTTAAAGTTATGAAACTGCCATTGCAAAATTATAACTGAGACAGTGAAAATAATCTGACCTAAGTGACTCCATCTTGCTTCTAACTTCTAGTCTATTCTTATTCATCAACTTAGTTTACAGTTTAGCTTTGAAACAAAGATGATAACAGTCCTTTCCCAGAACAAATTTCCTTCATGTCTGTGGACTAGACTGCCTAAAGCCACAAAATTAGAAGTGAGGGTATTTTACTGAATTATTCAAGTTGTAGCTATCTTCATTAAACAAATATTAATGTTTTATTTTTTAAGAGTTACACAGCAAAGATCATTCTGTTTTGGGCTGAGTTATAGTTTTGTAGCCTCTATGCCAAATTTTGACACCTTATAGTTTTTGGCAGAGATAAGTATAAAATTGCTTTATCAATAAATGCAGGCAAAAATGTATGGCAACTCTTAAGACATTTCTAATATTACTTTACCAATAATTTTTAAAGGTAGCTTATTTACTATTTTACTAAGCCATATAAACTTAAAAAAGCATTTGACTAGTCTTTTCTTTTTTCTGTTAAAGTATTTAAGTGCTAGCCAGGTGCGGTGGCTCATGACTGTAATCCCAGCACTTTGGGAGGCCAAGGGGGGTGGATCACAAGGTAAAGAGTTTGAGACCAGCCTGGCCAATATGGTGAAACCCCTTCTATACTGAAAATACAAAAATTAGCCAGGCATGGTATGAGGTGCCTATAGTCCCAGCTACTTGGAAGGCTGAGGCAGGAGAATCTCTTGATCCCGGGAGGTGGAGGGTTGCAGTGAGCCAAGATTGCACCACTGCACTCCAGCCTGGGTGGCAGAGCAAGACTCCATCTCCAAAAAAAAAAAAAAAAAAAAGCATTTAAGTGCTTTTTTTTTGAGCCAATTGGTTAGAATTCTTTTATATATTTTCAGTAGTAAACATGGGGTACACTAGACATAAATACATAGACATATTAGCCATGCCAATAGAAGTACATTTAATAGATTCATAAGACCTCCTTTTTCCTATCTTCGACTTGCAAACTCTTGATGACCTGCTTTATTACTCTGGCAGTTGTCAGCTACATAGGCCTAAATCTGCATGTGGAAGGAAACAACTCTTAGGTGAAAATCAAATGGCAAAATTTACATCTCAAGGTACAGAAAGAGAAAGTCTGGTGGTGCTAGAGCAAGATTAAAAATGGATGCCAGATCAAACAAAAGATTATAGAAATTTTTCAAACAACTGTATAAGGAGACTAACTTTATTTAGATCTTGACTACCTATCTTTTAGCTGGATCATTGAGCTCTGAGCAGAGCCCACACTGAATCCTCGGTTTTCAAAAAGGGAGAATTATTATGAGACTAGACTATTTGATGCTTTTACAGTGCACTTAAGAATTTTTTTCCCAGGTCGGGCACAGTGGCTCATACCTGTAATCCTAGCACTTTGGGAGGCTGAGGCAGTTGGATCACATGAGGTCAGGAGTTCAAGTCCAGCCTGGCCAACATGGCGAAACCCCAATTCTACTAAAAATACAAAAATTCAACAGGCATGGTAGTGGGCACCTATAATCCCAGCTACTTGGGAGACTGAGGCACAAGAATTGCTTGAACTCGGGGAGGCAGAGGTTGCAGTGAGCCGAGCTCACGCCGTTTCACTCCAGCTTGGGCGAAAAAGTGAAACTTGGTATCAAAAAAAAATTTTTTTTTCCCAAACGAAGGCATTTCTAAGTGTCTAAATTACACTTTTTCTTAAAAATCCCAGAGTAGCTTCTGTTGCAATAGCTATTAATGAAGAAAACAGAATTCAGTTAATCTGAGAAAATTTTTGCTCAAAAAGGCAACATCCTAGGAGAGAAATAAACAAAAATAAAAACATGGTTGCCTTTTAAATACAAGCATGCACACATACATATACACATGTTGGATGTTAGCTTTTAATGAAGCTGACAATTAGCTATTGAGCTCCTAAAAATTTTTTTTTTCTTCCCAGAGGCCTCTCAGCAGGACTGGACCCAATACCTCCCATTTTCAAGTTTACATGGTATCAAAAAGGATAAGACAGATACACAAACGAGCGGAGACAAATTCTGGACAACACAAGTGGGAGTGCACTCAGACAAAAGGTACTTAAAACCAACTCAAAACCTGATCTCAACCAAAGTGTAAAGTGGGTATATGAGTGAGCCCTATTGTTTCCCTTGGCAGTACCTGACAAATGGCTTAACAAGCCCAGATAAGAAAACAATAGGCTCCCGGCATATGATTGGGTGGTCTCACCCTTTGAACGTGTCCACTCATGATCTCCATTCTTCCCCAGTAGTGAAAGAGACATGCAATTTTGCACACGGGACAGCCTTCGGGAGGGGCTGTCTCATCTCAAGCCGCTGGCTGCTGAATGCAACACCATCCTGGTCTTTCCTGGCCGTTGTGCCAAATTTTGTTCCTGGACCAAACTAATGATTGGGCTGCTATTTCAGATGAACTGGGGATGAAGAGAATTTTTTTTTTCTGCAACTGGTTACAGGAAGAAGGCCTGGAAATTATCAACAGACAAACTCAAGATGAAGTTCTTCATTATTTTGTCATGCTTTAGGGCACAGGGAAGGCCTAGGCAAAACTCTTGGTGAGCTTTTGTTACATTCTAGCCTTTGTATAAGTGCACTGGCTCTTAACATTTAACTTAAGCACTCAGTCAGTACTGAAACAGTTGCTATGGAAGACTGCATTAGTGAGACCTGGCCTGACACACTGGGATTAAAGGCATGAGCGCCACACCCAGCTGAATGCAATTTTTTACTGCAAAGTCTTCTCCCCACGATAATAGTCACCAAGGCCAGAACACCTAGCACAGTGCTCTGCACATATTGTGCACTTGGTAGGTATGAAACTGATTTGAATTAGGAGTGAAATAAGTAGCAGATGTCAGTTCTGCAAAAGATAGAAAGTAGGCAATACAAGTAAGACTGAAAGACAACAACTCAGCAGCAAACACTTTTACATTTATTTAAGAAATATTTTCAGCCAGGCACAGTGGCTCACACCTGTAATCCTAGTGCTTTGGGAGGCCGAGGTGGGTGGATCACCTGAGGTTGGGAGTTCAAGACCAGCCTGGCCAACATGGAGAAACCCTGTCTCTACTAAAAATACAAAATTAGCCAGGCATGGTGATGCATGCCTGTAATTCCAGCTACTTGGAAGGCTGAGGCAGGAGAATTGCTTGAACTCGGGAGGTGGAGGTTGCGGTGAGCCAAGATCACGTCATTGCACTCCAGCCTGGGCAACAAGAGTGAAACTCCGTCTCAAAAAAAAAAATTTTTTTTTTCAACTAGTTAACCAAATGATGTTAGTTTAAAGCAGTGATTTGGGGGTTTGGCTGAATAGTGCAATCACCTGGAGACCTTCATATCACACTATTGCCTGGGTCTCACTCCAGGAATTTTGATTAATTGTTCCATTGCAAATTGGGTTTGGGGACTTTAAATAACCCCACTTCAGTTTGTACTAATATGCAGCCAGGGGTGAAAAGCATTGATTCAGGGTGAGGAATGCATCGGTTGTGTGATTTTTATATGTGCTTCAGGGCTTTGCCCTATAGCTACTCCTAAATTTGTGGTCTTATAAAATATCTTTGCCTTTTAAGGCATCCACAACTGTTCAGCCAAATTGCAGCAGAAGAAAATAGTCAGCAGCTCTATCAGGCACAGTAATTTGATGTAGTTTGTTTTGGAACTCATACATAGTCTACAAATACCAAAGAGAGATACAAAGAGTTTGCAGATATATGGAGTGCATTATAGGTGTTTTCAAATTTCTCCTGTGATAAGAAATAAAAAATATAATTTTAGGCCTTAATTTCTAAACTCAGTGCTCAGCCATTTCCTCTGTTTTTCCCACAGGCTTCAGCAGTATTCTCTGGTGATAATGAATTTATTTCAATGTTTGAAGAGTACTAGGTAAATGGAATGAGAATATATATATATATAGCTTCTATTTCAGAAGTGTCTCTCTCCAGGACCTCGATGGACTAGAAAACCTGGCTGAGTAGTGTGGTCTATTGAGGTGAATGAGATTTGGACTCAGACAGAGTTAATCCTGAGTCCCAGCCCAGCAGCTTAGTAGCTGTGGGACAGTTATATAAATCTTATGTGCAAGAAAAGGTATAATAATATTGATTGAAAATACAACAATTCTTTTTATTCATTCTTATAGTCATGCCCTTAGCAATATGCTTTTATAGTAGTTCCCATCAACAGGAAGAATCTGTTTTTCAAACCTTGGATCTTTCTGGTCTTATTTGCATGGGGCAAAACTGTGAATATGACAGTGTGCCAGTTTTGGTCTTAAAAGCCCATTTTAGCCTGCTGAAAAATAAAATATCATGGGGAGAAAAACCAAAGTGCCCCAGTTGACAGACAGCTCACTCTCAGAAGCAGAGCCACCTAATCTGCCATCAGCTGACCATTCATGCCTGAAGAAGCCCAGCTGAGCTCAGCCTAAATTTCTAACCAGCTCAATAATGAGCTAGTAAGCTTTGGGATAGTTTGTTATGCAGTTATGTCTTACTAAAAAATACATTTATTATAGGCAGGATGTAAGGATTTCAGTAAAGTTTAATTACAAATAACCTCCAGATGTTTGGCACCCTATAAGTATTAATTTTCTTTTTCCTTCATTTAAAGTTAGATTTCACTTAGATGGTACTGAGTTATACAGAAGAGCAGGTAGATGTGGATGCATGTGATTGGTGCTGAAACTCACACAGTGCCCCACATCACAGGAGAAAAACACGCAGCTACAGCTGAACAATTAGGTCCAAGGCCAAACGGCAAAATAAGAAGTTGGCCTTTGTATTAGTCCATTTTCACACTGCTGTAAAGAACTACCTGAAACTGGGTAGTTTAAGAGAAGAGGTTTAATTGACTCACAGTTTTACATGGCTAAGGGGGGCTCTGGAATCTTACAATCATGGCAGAAAGCAAAAGGAAAACAAGGCCCGTCTTCACAAGGTGGCAGGAAAGAAAGAGAGAGGAAGAAACACATTTATTAAACAACCAGATCTCATAAGAACTCTATCACAAAACAGCAAGGGGAAGTCTGCCCCTTATGACTCAATCACTTCGCACCAGGTTTCTCCCCTGACATGTAGGGATTACAATTCAAGATGAGATTTGAGTGGGGACACAGAACAAAACCATATCAGCCTTTAGTCTATTTTCTCCACATCTAAACTTTGGAGGTCAACACTATAAAGAGTCCTGAAGACATGGGGTTCCCTGTTGCTGGGGCCCTATCATCCATTGTTTACTGTCTGATGTTTGGAAGGAAGAGGAATTCTCACCAAACAGAAACTGGGAGACAATGGTCTACATGTGGACACTTCCTGCTTGCAGTGGCTGCTCATTCTAGGGGCACTGTCCCTCCCATCTTTGGGCCTGAACGGAGAAGTTTATAAGGAGATGTTGCAGGCCAAAAGAGTGAGGGTTGTGATCAACTCAGTATACCACTGGAGGCTATATTAGTAAACAGCAAACTGTTCTCATAAATGCAGGATGTTAGCAGCTGACAACTGCATCTGCCACCCAGAAAGAATGCTGAGGGCAGTCACACCCCAAGCACAGTGCTTCTTGTAATTAGGCACATCTGAAGCCTGTTAGCAATAATGTGAACCTGTGATCACTCAAGCAGCTGACCAAACATTACCTCCTCCTTCCTGCTTTTTCTACCCAATAAATATGAAGGGCTGTAGAAGCTCAAGGTGGCTGTCTTCACTCACCAGACGCAGGGCGTCCTCTTCTTCTTCCCCTGGCCCCTTCCTTTAAAATAGTTTCTTTTGTTTTAGGTTTTCATTTCTCATTTGTCCTCCTTCATTCAGTCCTGTGGTAACCATGGCAAGCTGCAGCAGGGAGAGGCTGTTCCCTCATTTCCAGCAGAAAGCGGGTATTTAGGCCCTTCAGCTCCCTGAGATCAGAGAGTCAGATCCCTCAGAGCTGCTCTTTGATGTGGCAGCTACTTGACATTTGAGGCTACTAAGAACCTGGAATGTGGCAGATTTAAAATGAGATGTGCTGCAAATATAAAATACAGAGTGAGTTAAGAAGGTTTAGAACCAAAAATTACTTTATTAATAATTACATATTGATCACGTATTAAAATAAAAATATTTTGGATATACTGGGTTAATTACAAAAAATTTCACTTGTTTCTTTTTATTATATTTAATGTGGCTACTAAAAAACTTAAAATTCAAGATGGGCACAGTGGCTCAGGCCTGTAATCCCAGCACTTTGGGAGGCCGAGGGGAGTGGATCACAAGGTCAGAAGTTGGAGACCAGCCTAGCCAACATAGTGAAACCCCGTCTCTACTGAAAATACAAAAAATTAGCCAGGTGTGGTGGCAGGCACCTGCAATCCCAGCTACTTGGGAGGCTAAGGCAGGAGAATTGCTTGAACCTGGGAGGTGGAGGTTGCAGTGAACCGAGATCATGACATTGCATTCCAGCCTGGTGACAGTTGGAGACTCTGGCTCAAAAAAAAAAAAAAAAAAATTCACACATGGCTAACATTTTATTTCTTAGAGGATTGCTCTCCTGTTAAAATCTCAGCTTGCCTACTCAAAATGTGTCCAGAATTTATTCCTTCTGGCGGGTTCTTGGTCTCGCTGACTTCAAGAATGAAGCCACGGACCTTCACAACAAGTGTTACAGCTCTTAAAGATTGTGTGTCTGGAGTTTCTTCCTTCGGGTCTTCAGATATGTCCGGAGTTTCTTCCTTCTGGTGGGTTCTTGGTCTCACTGACTTCAACAATGAAGCTGCGGACTTTCATGGTGAGTATTACAGCTCTTAAAGGTGGTGCAGACCCAAAGAGTGAGCAGCAGTAAGATTTATTGTAAAGAGCAAAAGAACAAAGCTTCCACCCTGTGGAAGGGGACGGCAGCAGGTTGCCACTGCTGGCTCTGGTGGCCAGCTTTTATTCCCTTATTTGGCCCCATCCATATCCTGCTGATTGGTCCGTTTTACAGAGTGCTGATTGGTCCATTTTACGGAGTGCTGATTGGTCCATTTTACAGAGTGCTGATTGGTGTGTTTTTACAGCATGCTGATTGGTGCGTTTACAATCCTTTAGCTAGACACAAAAGTTCTCCAAGTCCCCACCTGACTCAGAAGCTTAGCTGGCTTCACCTCTCAATCCCCACTCTAAACAGGACACCCCAACTGCTGTTGGGAATTGAGTGATGGCCACTCTAGCTACCTCCTGTGGGATAGGGCTGAAGAAGGGGCCCTGCAGTTGTAGGGTCCTCCAGAGGGGAACTCTTTAGGCCAGTGAAAAGGTCAGAAGGTCTGTCCAGGGGTCCTCAGTAGAAGTTGTTAGTTGAGCTCATTTGGGGTTCCATTTTTAAGACCATCTGTAGCTTGATGGCCTCGATTCTAGAGGAAACAAATTTGACAAGGAGGTTAAAAATACAGGGCCTGAAGGCGAGTAATAACAAGATGACTGTCACGGGAACTTGAAAGGAGAAAAATCATGTCTCCCAACTCCAGAAGTTGGTATAAGAGGGTGAAAGGCATTGTCTGATTTCAGAAGCCTTTTCCTGTAAATGCCAGGCAGCATCTCATACTATCCCTGACTGGTTAGTGTAAAAGCAACACTTTTCTCCTGAGAAGGTGCGGAGTCCTCCTTTCTCATCAGTTAGGAGGTCTAGGCCTCAGCAGTTTTGGAGAGTCACTGCTGCCAAAGAGTCTATTTGGGATTGTACAGTAAGGATAGATTTCGTTATTTCTTGCAAATTGTCTGAGAAATCCTTTGAGACTGTGTGGTAGTAGGAGAATAAAGTAGATAAACTGGCTATTCCGGTTCCTGTAGCCATAGCCATTCCTAACCCTGTAAGTAGGGGTATTAGTTGTATGGCTCTGTGCTGCTGGACTTGAGCTTTGAGGGTTACTGATAGGATCTGATTTCCTGGGGCAATGTTAATGTTGGGACTTAGAAAGACTAAGGTGCAGGTGCCTGTCCAGATAGTGGGGAGGCAGATTTATAGGTTGACGTTCCACATAAGAATATACCTTGCCTGGGTAGACAGAACTAGTTGTGTATGTTAAAAAGGTGTGTGAGTTTGTTGTTTTTGTTTTCCCATACTCCTAGAGTACTTGCCAAGGTAGCTCTGGTGAGCAGCTGGAAAGGGGTGTTGGGAGAAAAATGAGTGGCTCCCTGTGTTCTCTTTTCCCATTGGAGAAAAAACCGTTCTGTATCTACTAGGAACCATTGGAGAGAGTGATTGAAAGAGGGGATGAAAAGGCATTCACTAGTGGTGGGGGCGCTGCTGCAGGGGGTCCAGGGGTGAATGGTCATGCAGGAAGTATGTTTGCCATTACAAAACCTGGACTGTTTGTTAAGCAGGGAGGAGGTGATGATTTTTGGAGACCCTGAGAGACAGACATGCTGTCTGAATGGAGCTGTTTGGGTGACTCAGAAGTTACTATGATCAGTTGGGGCTTGAAGTTGTAGGGTGTAATTACACTGATGGAGTAGTAGGTGCCCCGGGGGAAGGCCTGATAACAGATTGCGTTGGATGCATAAAGGGGTTTGGAAAGTTAAGGTGGTATTCGTAGTTACATGGCCATGTATGGGCTTTTCATTGCTTGTGTAATAGGTGAGGTTGGAAATGTAAGAATGTTAAAGTTGGTTGCACGTCCTGTTAGGGTATTCTTGGTCCTATCAGAGATGGGGAAGTTGGCTAATGATTGCATATCTAGATGTCAGAAAGGGTCTTTTCCTTCATAATGAGGATGGTAAGTTAAGTTGGTAAAGACCCAGTTTTTTGCGGGAATGGGAGTGGCAACGCAAGCAGAGTTTGATAGAGAGATGCAAAGCCAACAGTCATTTGCCAGGGAAGGATTGGACTGGTTTAACAGACAGTGGGTTAAGTTGAGAGTCTTGTATAGGTAATTAGGAGCTAGTGGAAGGGGAGGGGTGATTGTATGAGGTATCCAAGGAAGCAGGAGGGATAGATAGGCAAAGAGTATGGTTAGTATGCTGCTTAATAATATGATGAAATAGTAAAAGGATTCCATTAAAGGGGCAAGGAGAGGTGTTAACTTTTAGCAAATTTTACTTTTGTTGAAAACCTTGTAAGCTTGGGATTTCAATTACTCTTTGCTATTAATAAGACTTCGCTCAGTCCATATTAACTTAGAATTGATATAGATGGCTCCTTCCTGATTCCGTAAGTACTTTAAGGTTTGGCTGAGCACAAACAGCTCACACGTTTAAGCAGACCAATTTTTAGGCAATTTTCCTAACTCTGCCTCTACAAGAGTTTCCTTATCACTTATTGAATACCCATTGTGTCTTTTTCCCTTAAGCGCCCAGGAAGAACCACCTGTCTTTCTGTCCTGAAGGGAGTTCCTCCTATATCTGGTAGGACCTTTGTATGGTAATTAGTTAAGGTTTAGATCCCCTGTTAGGAAACCTGCTGGGTTAAGGATTTTTGATAGGAAGGCTATGGGTTGTCAGTGGCCTCAGTGCTTTTGGGCTGTGCCCTTGATTACACTGACAAGGTGGTATTGGATTGTTATAGGGTTACAGAGAAGGCCTTCAATGATCAATTATATTTACCCTGACTTTTAAAGGAAAAGGGTACACTGTTTTTTCTCCACTACTTCCATCTCTCTTTCTTTCTCTTTGACTTTCTGTCTTTTCTCTCTCTGACTCCCCTTTGTCTGTCTCTTCCTCTCTCTGACTTTCTGTCTCTCTCTTTGATTCCTTTGTCTCTTCCTCTCTCCTTCTCTGACTTTCTGTCTCTCTGACTCTTTGTCTCTGTCTCTTCCTCTCTTTTTGACTGTCTCTTTCTGTGTCTCTCTTTGTCTCTGTCTCTTCCTGTCTTTCTCTGTCTTTCCTCTCTGCTGATCTTTCCCTGACTCTGCCAGCCACTTATGCTGCTGTTCTCCCCTCTCCTTCCCCTTTTGATGGCTTCGGCAGTGTAAGAGTGCCACTTCCTTGGGTTTTTGCCTGCATGCAATAACTCCATGGTTTCCTTGTGATATTTAATGGGGGTTCCCCCAGAGGTTAGGCACTCCCTTTCTTTCCATATTGCAGTATGGGCTTGTAGGATTAGATAAGCATACTTACTATGTGTAGCAAAGTCTCCCAGTTACAACTGAGGAGGTGGGAGAAATATCTGGTTACAGGCTGTCCCAGGATTCCTCGGATGGTAGTTGACCTTGAAGACAGCTGTCCGGGACAGGAGATTAACACTGAGAGAGCCACACCAGTGTCCAGGAGGAAGTCAATTTCCTGACCCTCAATGGTTAAATGTACCCGGGGCTCAGTGAAGGTGATGATGTGAGGTGGCATTTGCCCTGGGCACCCTCAGTCCTGTTGTTGGATCATCTGGTTGGGGGCTTCTGGCCCAGAGAACCTTTGTCCTCTGGGGCAGTGCGCCTTTCAGTGATTGCCTCAGCATAGTGGAGATGGGCGAGGGGGTAGCTTGTTTCTCGTTGGACAATCTTTTTTAAAGTAGCCTTACAAATGACATTGATAACAAGCCCTACCAGGTGATTGGCCTGCTCCATTTTCTGTCCTCTCCGAACCACCAAAGTTTATTTGTCTGAGGGCCTTGACTATCCTGACCCTTGTAAAAAGGCATGTTGGATTTTGGTTTTTAAAATTCTTTTTTTTTTTTTTTTTTTTTTTTGAGATGGAGTCTTGCTGTGTCGCCCAGGCTGGAGTGCAGTGGCGAAATCTCGGCTCACTGTAAGCTCCGCCTCCCAGGTTCATGCCATTCTCCTGCCTCAGCCTCCCGAGTAGCTGGGTAGCTGGGACTACAGGCGCCTGCCACCATGCCTGGCTAATTTTTTTGTATTTTTAGTAGAGATGGGGTTCTAATCATATATTTTATTTGTTAAAAGTTGTTATTTACTTTTTTCCTTACAAAAGTGAGTGTAGTTGTTTCTCTGGTCTGCCACTTTTTGGGGGTAATTTCAAACAGAATCTCAGGGCTTAGCTTTGAGAATGCTACCAGGGAAAAATAGGAAATATCTCTCCTTTTATGGCTATAGAAAATGAATACATTTCCACAAGACGTGTAGTAAATCAACTGGTGCATTACATAGATGCATCAAAACAATAGTTCCTTTTTTTTTTGAGGGTGAAGAATTTGTAATATTTTGAATCTCTTTTCTGTAGCATGTCATTTGAATAAGTTTAATGCTAAATTTTTTAAGGTGATACTTGGCACCTTCTAAAAGTATTAATATATGGTTAATTGTTAAATTATTTTTTATAGAGATAAGTGATGTGTTTATTGTCTGAAAGGGATAGACACTTGTTTTTCGTTGTTTTGTTGTTGTTGAGATATAAAATGTAAATGCCTTACAACTTAATTCTCTTTCATAAACACTGAGTTTGAGTAATTTTGCTAGATTCTTCAAACACTGACTATTTTTTTAAATATAAAATCAAGTGTCCCAGAACTTTGGGAGGCCGAGGTGGGCAGATCAGCTGAGGTCGGGAGTTTGAGACCAGCCTGACCAACATGGAGAAACCCTATCTCTATTAAAAACACAAAATTAGATGGGCATGGTGGCGCATGCCTGTAATCCCAGCTACTTGGGAGGCTGAGGCAGGAGAATCACTTGAACCCAGGAGGTGGAGGTTGCAGTGAGCCAAGATCATGCCATTGCACTCCAGCCTGGGTGACAAGAGCAAAACTCCTCTCAGAAAAAAAAAAAAAATCAAGTGAACTATGCTGATTGGAAAATGAAAGCCCAAACCCAGTGACTCCAAGCTGGCCAGTCTTGAGCCTGCAAAAAGGGGTGATTGAACACCAAGTTGGTTGGTCTTTTACTGGTGAGTCACCCCTGCAGGTGTCCCAGCCTACTCACCTCAGCCATGGAAGAATTGTTTATACTGACAGAAGCTACAGAGCCCTGGAAAGCTGGATACTCAAAGTCAGATGCAGTTAAAGTTGGGATAGAAGTGGTTGGGGAGCCTCTTTTTGAGGATGGATTTGTTGTTATTGTCCTGGGGCTCTACCTAAACTTTGTCAAATAGAACTAATTTAGAGTTAGGTATGAAGTTACTTACTCCTAAAGAAGAATTGTAGTAAGAGAATAATACCAACTATAAGATCTTTGAGAATCTCAAAAAATAGGCAGAAAATAACTTTTATTTGCTTACTTATTCATTTATTTATTTATTTTGAGATGGAGCCTCTTGCTCTGTTGCCCAGGCTAGAGTACAGTGGCATGATCTCAGCTCACTGCAATCTCTGCCTCCCAAGTTCTAGCAGTTCTTCAGCCTAAGCCTCCCAAATAGCTGGGACTACAGGTGTGTGCCACCACGGCTAGCTATTTTTTGTAATTTTAGTAGAGATGGGATTTCACCATGTTGGCTAGGCTGGTTTTGAACTCCTAACCTCAGGTGATCCACCAACTTTGGCCTCTCAAAGTGCTAGGATTAGAGGTGTGAGCCACTGTGCTTGGCCCACTCTTGTTTCTTGATAGTACCTTTCTCTCTCCTGCCTTTCTTTTCCCCCAAAACCCTCTTTTATATTCACACAGTGTGGCAGTGTGCCCAAGTCCATCCCTCAGGTACCTGAATCCTGTGCCTACTAGAATTCAGATGTTAATAAGTTCAAGACCATGGCTTTAGACCTGGCTGTTGTCAAAGTAAATACAGAGGCTGGGCGCAGTGGCTCACAACTGTAATCCCAGCACTTTGGGAGGCCGAGGTGGGTGGATCACAAGGTCAGGAGTTCAAGACCAGCATGGCCAACATAGTGAAACCCCATATCTACTAAAAATACAAAAAATTAGCCAGGCGTGGTGGTGGGCACCTATAATCCCAGCTAATTGGGAGGCTGAGGCAGGAGAATTGCTTGAACCCAGGAGGCAGAGGTTGCAGTGAGCCAAGATCTTGCCACTGCACTCCAGCCCGGGCAACAGTGCAAGACTGTCTCAAAAAAAAAAAAAAAAAAAAAAAAAAAAAAGAAGCAAATGCAAATTAGGAAGAAGAGGCTTAATGTTTTCTTTTTAAAATAAGGGAAGATTTTTTGCTGTTTTCTATTTTCTATTTTCTTTTCTTTTTTTTTTTTTTTTTTTGAGATGGAGTTTTGCTCTTTTTGCCCAGGCTTGAGTGCAATGGTGCAATCTTGACTCACTGCAACCTCTGCCTCCCAGGTTCAAGCGATTCTCCTTCCTTAGCCTCCTGAGTAGCTGGAATTGCAGGCACCCACCACCACTCCTGGCTAATTTTGTATTTTTAGTAGAGAGGGGGTTTCACCATGTTGGCCAGGTTGGTCTCAAACTCCTGACCTCAAGTGATCTGCCTGCCTTGGCCTCCCAAAGTGCTGGGATTACAGGTGTGAGCCACCATGCCCACCCGATGTTTCCTATTTTCATAAAGCACTTAATTTGAAAACTTTTGTATTTAAATATTTTCTCTGCTTCTTTGAAATATATGTAACTCATTTGTATTAGTTAAACAGTTCATTTGTCTTTTTTGACCCAGAATTATCTTTAGGAACTGGAAACTATTGCTTCAAAATATAAATAGCAAGAGTATACACCCTATCTATCCACAGTTTGTACAGGAGAGTAGGAGGCTCCCTTCAGCAGGTACATGGCTCCACATTACAAAAGGACTTTCCGTCATGAAGATGTGAAAATTTTATTTTTCCTTTGATTATTACCAATTAGAAAACGCAGATGACCTCCCAGATTACTAGGGTTATAAACTATGTATGGCAAATGGTGTTGTCAAGTCTTCTACTTGGAAACTAATTTTGGTGACCTTTCTGTGTTTGCAATCTCTTAGTAGATTGCCTGTGATGCACATCACATTTTGGTTTAATGATATAACAAGATAGTTTTCTTGTTCTATTATTGTTAAGAGTTTTTTAGGGTTAGAGATGTTTTTGTTTCTAGCTATATTTTCTACACACTGTCCAGAATTACCAGAGGTTATACACAAGGTGCCCAACAGGTTTCATTTTAGAGGGGTCTCTCTTTCTCAAGTGTCCAATTACAACCCATAATTGTACAGCAAAATGCACAAAGTACAGCAAAGTGCTCCCCAAATCTGTAAGCAGAATGGTCTCTCCTTCTACTTAAGATCCACAATCCCTTCTAGAGAAGTTAGACTAGATTTCTGCAAAAATAACTTTTCAGAACAGCAATCAATTACTCCACCTTTTTCAGTGCTCTTGGCATCTTCAGGTCTCACACTGATTCAAAGATCATAGGGCCCCAGATCCCCAACCAGTCTCGCACATGTGCATTGATTAAACACGAGAATTTACCTTCCTCTCTCCTCCTCTTGTCCAAATGCTCACAAATGTGCATAGCTCACCAGCCTTCCAAGACCTAAATGTGCAGTTCCAAATTCTGAATTCATGTCCTGGGATTCGAGGGAAGAAAAGAACTTTTATTTGAGACATGCAAGTTCTTTTAAACCAGAGATATATTAAAATGAGACCACAGTTATATTCTGCTCTCCTCTTTGAACTATTTATCTTTTTAAATTGGTTGGTATTGCCACAACCTAATAATGCCACACTTGACTCTATAACCCACACCCTATAGCTTAACAATGTATAGTCAATCGCTAACCAGTTATTTATATAAAACAATAAGAATTTTTGACAGATAACTTTGTATCAGTACCCTCTCTGCCTTCCTTTTTTGCCTTTAAAAATACACACTTACAACTGCTTCTAATTGGAGGGTATATTCAGGGCAACTTTTTACTCCAGGGTTGCAATCTTTAAGATTTAGCCAAAATAAACTCTCTACTTATATTATGTTTACCCCAGCTTTTTCCTTTTAGGTCAAAATACTTTTTACAATGTGTTGAAAAAAATTCCATGAGAGGATCTCTCCTCTGGTTTTACTTGGCTTGCTGTAAACCCCAAAAAGGGAGAGTCACTTTGATTTCACCTAAAATCTGCACATAAAAGCTGGTCTCTGCCTTGGATTCACAAGACAGGGCCAGACTTTGGGTTGAAGACATGCAGAAAACTCACAGAAGACATTTTCTGCACCATGAGCGATGAATATAGACATCTTAAGCTTTGCTTTTAGAGTGGAGCCCTTTGCCATGTCCAGATCTTGTTCCCAGTGTCCTGCTACAGCTGTGTAAGAGGCTTCTGGTGTCAACAGAATCCTGTGGTAGAATCTGTAAGTTAAACAAGCACCTTAGCAGTGGGAGGTCAGGGCCACAAAATATCCAGAGCCATAATCACTACTATACCTCCCTGTAAACTGTGTTACTGGAGTAGAGTATTTTCATCTTTTCTCTTACCCCAGAGTTAGCTGATCAGGGACAAGGAGTATCACATCCTGATCCACCTGGTGGATCTGCAGCTGGTCTGCAGCTCCACCAGGGCAGTTCCACTTATTATCTGTAGCCCAGAAAGTCACCCTGAGTCTCCTGCCTGGATCACTCTGGGGGCATCAGCCTAGGATCAGTGAAGACACTCTCACCCTCATTTGTGAGGGTTTGAGACATTTGAGGATGTCCTGTGCAGGCTGGGGTCAGGCTTATAACAAAATCTAATTCTGTTCCCATTTCAGAGGAAGAACAGTGACTCATCCAGGGTTTGTTTCTCCCTTCATAGAACATTCTTTTTGGTTTGTACTAGGATGGGAGTTTCTCTGGTTCTTTGGCAAAAAATGAATAGATCTGGATGCTCAAACTGGTCAGTCAGTGAATTTCTTCTCTTTCATATGGCCATTAGAGAAACAGATGAAGCTGTCATGGCCTCTACCATCTGGAAACTTGCAGTCTGGAGCACATAAATACATGGTTGAATTTCACATCATGTGATTAGTGCAAGGATGGAAGGTGCACAGGGAACTTAAGCTTCATTTGGGTCATTTTCCTTTTATTGTTACCTGAGTTTTTATGCCACCTCTGGAAGGGCTATTCATGGACAGAAGAGAAGTTGTTATTATTATTATTTATATTGCTTCTACTCAGCAGCATTGAGATTAGAAGCCTAGGGCCCATTCTCTGTCCCAAACCTGCCCAGATTCACCCTATGCTGAATCTTGTCCCAGTCTGACTCTACACGGGAATCTCTGACAGAACTGCTTAAAGGAGGTCAGAGTTTGGGGTGGTTGCTCCTACTGCCTCTCCAGAGCTGGTGCTCACAATTTTCTGAAATCCAAAAGCAGATAAATGGGAAAAAAAAGCTGTATACTTGGAACCTTAAAATCTTTTTTTTTTTTAATTAAAGCAGGTGCTTCTAGAGACATCCCATCCCTGTGGTTTTAGTAGTTTCTCGACAAGTCTCAATAAAATACAAACACAAAAATTAAAAATCCCTCTGAACTGCACTTAACACTTCCTTTCTGTATCTCTCCCATCTATCTATAACTATTATTGAGCTATTATTCTATATATTTTCTTTTTAAAATCAGTAATAGGGAAACAGAAGAAGAAATAGAAATGCTAGACCCTGTATTTAAATCCTGAATATTATTGGACTCTTAGTACCCATGTCCCAGTGTGTTAAAAAAAAAAAAACTTACATAATATGAGGCCAGCACAGTGCTCTGTGACATACTCCTGAGCACATAGTACATTCTGCATAAACATTGCATTAATGTATGTGCACATGTTGTTTTCCAAATGCAGATTTACTCAGACATTGCTACCATCTCCAGCCTCTGTAATATCTTTTTTTTTTTTTTGAGATGGAGTTTTGCTCTTGTTGCCCAGGCTGGAGTGCAATGGTGTGATCTTGGCTCACCAAAACCTCCACCTCCCGGGTTCAAGCGATTCTCTTGCCTCAGCCTCCCAAGTAGCTGCAATTACAGGCATGTGCCATCACACCCAGCTTTGTATTTTTTATATTTGTTGTATTTTTATATTTTTTATATTTTTAGTAGAGATGGGGTTTCTCCATGTTGGTCAGGCTGGTCTTGAACTCCTGACCTCAGGTGATCTGCCAGCCTCGGCCTCCCAAAGTGCTGGGATTACAGGCATGAGCCACCCGACTCCAGCCTCTGTAATCTTTAAAGGGCCTGCAAAGAATGTCATGTTTTAGGCTGGCGATTGGTGGTTCTTTCTTTGGATGAAAAGGATTTGTGTTGTGATAAGGATGTTGGAGTAAGGGACTCTGTGCTGTGCCTGCTTTCTGTAGCTGAGTGCTACTACAATGGTGTTAGAAGGAGCAGCATCTGCATTAACAGGGAACTTGTTAAAATAAGCTAATTCATGGACCTTTTGCAAACCTGCAGCATTATGTTACTTACTTACAGTGAGGCCTGAAATACCAAAACATTTATATGCACATTGAAGCTTGAGAGGCACTGCTTAGCTAAGTGATTCTCTGCCCAGTCTTCCAATAGGATCACCTGACCAGTTTGAAGAGATACCATACCCTGTGCCTCCCCACAGAATCTTTCTGTTGTTTTGTGTGGAAACATCCCTGTTTTTTAATTAAGTGCCTCACATGATTCTACAGTGAGGCCGGGATCAAGTGTGCGGACTTCCAGATACTTTATTTAAAAAAGGTTGAGTTCACCTTTTGTTCCAAATGAAAGTCACAGGGTCTGCTGTGCTTGGGTTTGGTAAGGGCAAGTCAGTGCGGCCCATATTTCCATTGCAGAAGCAAAAATTGCTGGTATGTCATCCTTTTTTCTCAGAGTTATAGAATGGCTTAGAGAGTATTACTGTGTTAAAAATGTATATAAGGATGTGATGTTAGAAAATGACAGAAACCTGATCTTCCTGGGTGAGGATAACTTTAATACATAATTCCTAGTAATCCTCAGAGTTTTATTTTCTCTCTTTGTAGAATGTTTCTTGGGAGATTCTGCTTTGCATGAATTAATTTTAGTTTCTTTCTTCAAGAATTGGAAGTTTGCTCGTCTAGAAAACAAATCTTTAAGATGTTTTATCTTGGCATAAAGCTTCTCTTTTCTTGAGCTGATTTGTGTGCTTCACTCTAGAAATTCAATGGCAAAAAATATTATTGCCCATATCTTTTTGGTTTTTTTTGAGATGGAGTGCAGTGGTGCGATCTTGGCTCACTTCAACCTCCGCCTCCTGGGTTCAAGCAATTCTCCTGCCTCAGCCTCCTGAGTAGCTGGGACTACAGGCACGTGCCACCATGCCCGGCTAATTTTTTGTATTTTTGGTAGAGATGGGATTTCACCGTGTTAGCCAGGATGGTCTCAATCTTTTGACCTCGTGATCCACCCACCTCAGCCTTCCAAAGTGCTAGGATTACAGGCATGAGCCACTGTGCCCTGACGTCCGTAACTTAATATTCAATTTTCATCACTTATTTTTGATTCAGTAATTTTGGGTAGTAAAACTAGGAAGACACAGATTTAAAATACTTAAATATTCTAAAGATTCTGTTAGAAAATAATTTTTGGATTAATTTTCTAGAATCTTTCATAATTTCTCTTTTCTACTAAGCACAGGACAATGTTTGTAACTGGAGAATCCCCAGCAATAGTTGTGTCATTTTTAAAAGAATAGAACAGATGTCATTATCTCCAAGCCAGACCTGATCACCTGTCTGGAGCAAAGGAAAGAGCCCTGCAATGTGAAGAAACATGAGACAGTAGCCAAATACCCAAGTCAGTGAGAATGAATGCAGGAGATGACATATGCAAGAGGACTGAAGGTCAAGGAGAAAGCCAGGAGTTAAAATGTAGTTTGGGAAGCTCTGCTCCAGTGAAAATGATTATTGAGAAGTCTGGGTTTTTCTCATACTTACAAGCAGGATCATCTTCTGTCCTATACTCTTGAATCTTCTAAGGAGTCTCCTTTTTCTTTAGTGATCTCCCTTCAATTTTACAGTGAGAGCCAATGTCTATTTTTTTTTTTTTTTGAGACAGAGTCTCTCTCTGTTGCCCAGGCTGGAGTGCAGTGGCGTGATCTCGGCTCACCGCAAGCTCCACCTCCTGGGTTTACACCATTCTCCTGCCTCAGCCTCCCAAGTAGCTGGGACTACAGGTGCCAGCCACCATGCCCGGCTAATTTTTTTTTTTTTTTTTTTTTTAGTAGAGACAGGGTTTCACCGTGTTAGCCAGGATGGTCTCGATCTCCTGACCTCGTGATCCACCCACCTTGGCCTCCCAAAGTGCTGGGATTACAGGCGTGAGCCACCGTGCCCGGCCGCCAATGTCTATTTTATTGCTTATAGGGATCTGCATGATCTGACTGCTTTTCCATTGCTTTTGGAGACATAGGAATATTGGTATTTTTTAGAAACTCTATGTTAAACTATTTTTTTTCAAATTTCCCTTTTGCAGTATGTCTAAAATGTCTGAAGTGAGTAGTGGAGATATTGGGATTTGGTTCAGAAATCTCAGGGTGTTAGGAATCCCCAACTAATGCCAGGAATAGTTGTTGCATATTTTTTGCTTTATGATTTTTAATCCTATAATGCTTGCAAATATGATTCTACAAATTGATTTTATCAGAACAATAAGCATTTTCCTAAATACGAAAAATGTTATTTTATTTCAGAATATTATTGTTTTAGTATGATCTGAGACTTTTAAACTCTATATGCAAATTTTCTAATTGTTATATAGTGTAAAGTATCTACTTATCTTCTAAATTTGTTAAATGCCATATGTTACTAAGAAGCTTAGACCATTGCTAAGCATATATTAAACTCAGTTTTTCCTTCTTAGTAACTATTACTTTATCATTGTCTTATTTAGTAGGAAACACACTGAAACTGTCATTTAGATATTTATCAATGTATGTATGTATATATGTGCATGTGTGTCACCTATATAAATTATATAGGTATACAGTAAATTCTCACTTAACATTATCGATAGATTCTTGGAAACTGTTACTGTAAGTGAAACAACATATTGTTTAAGAAAGTTAATTTTACCATAGGTTTATTGATGCAAACAAGAGTTAAGTATAAATGGTGGGGTGTGATGACTCACACCTGTAATCCCAGCACTTTGGGACGCCAAGGTGGGCACATCAACTTGAGGTCAGGAGTTCTAGACCAGTCTGGCCAACATGGTGAAACCCCATCTCCACTGAAAATAGAAAAATTTGCTGGGTGTGGTGGCACGCGCCTGTAATCCCAGGTACTTGGGAGGCTAAGGCAGGAGAATCACTTGAACTCAGGAGGTAGAGGCTGCAGTGAGCCGAGATTGTGCCACTGCACTTCAGCCTGGGCAATAGAGTGAGACTCTGTCTCAAAAAAAAATCAGTTTTTAAAAGTAGACCTATTTTGAACATTAATAGAGGACTTACCCTATGCCTGTTTGTGTGACATAGCTACTCTGGCAAATAAAGGTTGTATAACTAATGTGTAAACTCTAATTATTTGATATTCATATACATTGTAAAATAAAATACAATCAAGTTAATGAACACATTTATTACTTCATAAAAACATACCATTTTTGTAGTAAGAACACTTAATGTTTACTCTTGTAGCAAATTTTAAGCATACATTACAGTATTACTAACTATAAACACTATGCTATTTCGCTAGTCTAACGCTAATATACATTAGATTTCTCAGACTTACTCAACTTATAACTAAAAAATTGAACACTTTGAACAACATCTCCCCATATTCCCACCCTCAGGCACTGACCACCATCATTCTACTCTGTGCTTCTATGAGTTCACATTTTTAGATTTCCCATCTGAGAATATGCAGTTTCTTTGTCTCTCTGTGTCTGGCTTATTTAATGTAGCATAATGTCCTCCAGGTCTATCCATGTTGTTAATGGCTGGATTTTTGTCTTTTTTATGTCTCAATAGTATTCTACTGTGTATATACACCATATTTTGGCTATTGTAAATAATACTGCATTGAACTTGGAGCTGAAGTTTTTTTTGAGGCACTAATTTTATTTCCTTTGGTAGTATGCTCAGAAGTGGTATTCCTGGATTATATAATAGATTTTAAAAAAATTTTTACTGGTTTTTACAATGACTCTATCAGTTTACATCTCACCAACAGCATTCAGGCTTTTCCTTGTATGTATGTCTTTTTTGGGGGAAAAAGAAAATCTAACCTTTTGACTATTTTTAAGGGGTTATCATCATCATTATTGTTTTTGCTTTGAATTGCATAAGTTTTGGATATTAACTTATCATCAGATTTATGGCAAATATTTATTGCAATTATTTTCCCATTCTGTTGGGTTTTTAAAATTTTTTTCTTTGCTGTGCAGAAGCTGTTTATTTAGATGCAATCCCACTTGTTAATATTTTCTTTCATTGCTGTGCTTTTGGTTTTATATTCAAAAAATTATTGCCTCAAACAATATCAAGAAGGTTTTTCCATATATTTTCTTCAGGAGTTTTAAGGTTTTATGTCTTTTTTTTTTTTTTTTTTTTTGAGACGGAGTCTCGCTCTGTCGCCCAGGCTGGAGTGCAGTGGCACGATCTTGGCTCAGTGCAAGCTCCGTCTCCCGGGTTCACGCCATTCTCCTGCCTCAGCCTCCAGAGTAGTTGGGACTACAGGTGCCCGCCGCCATGCCTGGCTAATTTTTTTTTTTTTTTTTTTTTTTTTTTTTTTAGTAGAGACGGGGTTTCACCGTGTTAGCCAGGATGGTCTCGATCTCCTGACCTCGTGATCGCCCGCCTCGGCCTCCCAAAGTGCTGGGATTACAGGCGTGAGCCACCGCGCCCAGCCCAAGGTTTTATGTCTTACATTTCAGCCTTTTATTTTGAGTTAATTTGGGGTTGTGGTATAAGAAAATGATCTAGTTTTATTATTTTGCTTGTGAATATCCAGTTTTTTTCTGGCATCATGTATTGACAAGACTATACTTTCTGCATTGTATATTCTTGGCTCCCTTGTCAATGATTAGTTGACCTTGTATGCATGGATTTGTTTCTGGGATTTCTGTTTTGTTCAATTTTTTTTTTTTTTTTTGAGACGGAGTCGCCCAGGCTGAAATGCAGTGGCATGATCTTGGCTCACTGCAACCTCAGCCACCCGAGTTCAAGCAATTCTCCTGCCTCAGCCTCCCAAGTAGCTGGGACTACAGGTGTGTGCCACCATGACTGGTGAAGTTTTTTTTGTATTTTTAGCAGAGACAGGGTTTCACCATGTTAGCCAGGATGATCTCGATCTCCTGACCTCGTGATGTGCCCACCTCGGCCTCCCAAAGTGCTGAGATTACAGGCATGAGCCACCGAGCCTGGCTGTTGTTTTTTTTTTTAAGCTGTTTTTATGCACATACTATAACCTCTAGATAATGTTGGAAATCAGGTGGTTTGATGCCCCCAGCTTTGTTCTTTCTCAACATTGCTCAGGTTATTTTTGTTTTGAGATGAAATCTTGCTCTGTCACCCAGGCTGAAGTGCAGTGGTGGGATCTCAGCTCACTGCAACCTCCACCTCCTAGGTTCAAGAAATTCTGCTGCCTCAGCCTTCCAAGCTGCTGGGATTACAGGTACCTGCCAGCACACATGGCTAATTTTTGTATTTTTAGTAGAGACGGGGTTTCATCATGTTGGTCAGGCTGGTCTTGAACTCCTGACCTTGTGTAATCATCCCACCTTGGCCTCTCAATGTGTTGGGATTACAGGCATGAGCCACCATGCCCGGCCTTCTCAGGTTATTTGAAGTTGTTTTAGGTACACTCAAATTATACAATTGTGGTTTCTATTACGGTGAAAAAAATGCCACTTAAATTTTGATAGGGATTACATTGACTCTAGATCATTTTGACTCATATGGTACTTTGACAATATTAGTTATCTTAATATGTTTTTATTCATTTGTGTCTATTTCAGTTTCTATCATTAGTATCTTACTGTATTTAGTGTATAATTTTTTTCTCATCAGATAAATTTATTTTGATTTTTTTATTTTTACATTATTGTAAACGAAAATTGTTTCTTTTTTTGGAAAGTTTGTTGTTAGTGTATGGAAATGCAAAAAATATTTACATTTGGGCCAGGTTCAGTGGCTCATCCCTGTAATCCCAGCACTTTCAGAGGCCAAGGCAGGTAGATCCCTTGAGCCCAGGAGTTCAAGACAAGCCTGGTCAATGTAGTGAAATCATGACTTTACAAAAATAGACAAAATTAGCCATGCTACCTGCTATACACCTGTAGTCTTAGCTACTCAAGAGGCTGATATGGGAGGATCACTTGAGCCCAGGAGGCTGAGGCTGCAGTGAGCTGAGATTGCCCCACTGGACTCCAGCAAGAGCAAAAGCATGACACCCTCTCAAAAAAAAAACCCACAAGTATTTGTATGCTGAATCTGTATCCTGAAACTTTAATGAATGCATTTATTAGTGCAAACAGTTCTTGTTGTTGTACTCTAGGGTTTTATATATAAATGCATGATCATACCATCTACAAACAGTAACATTTTTACTTCTTTTCCAAGTCAGAAGGCTTTGTTTTCTTTTTCTTTGCCAAATAGTTCTGATACAAACTTCCGGTAATATGTTAGGATAGAAGGATTGAGAGTGGCACATTGTAACTTTTAACTGGTGTCTGTAGATTTGAAATTTTTATAAACTCCTCTTACAGTTTTTGTAAACTATTTTTGGCAGCTAAAGGTCTCTTCTTGTTGGGTCTTTAGGCTGATGGAATTACCTCTGGGGTTGCAGAGAATATGGGTTGTAGCTGGGTTACAAGGATGCTGCTGGGTCTGCTGTGGGACCTGCCTTTGATGGTACTGTTACCTGAGATTTTAGCAGTCGTGTATCCTTTCTGGGCCCTGGAAAGTTTAGATTTTCTTGAGAACAGTAATCGATATGGCAGGCACTGGGGTAGGATTTTGAAATTTATCTGCATATGATGGGCCAAATACCAGGTGTATGAATGGGTTTGGCTTTTACTGGGTACCTAGGAGCATTTTTTATAGGTATCTGTGGACCCCTCAGTGTGTATGACTGGCCGTAGCCTGTGGCTGTGAGGGTTGAAACAGTCAGAAGGCTGCTTCAGGGACCAGAGCTGAGGCTAGTGTCTACAGGCCTGCCTTCAGAGCCATGGTTGGGTGTGTCTCCCTGCAGTCTCTTGATGGAAAGTACTACTTCTGGACTATAGCTGAGAGGAATTTGAGGGAGGTTGCAGAACTGCTTTAGGATTCTGAGACCAAGTTCAGTGCATCATTTCCTTGTCTGTAGCCATGTCTGTGGGCCCTTAAGTCTGCCACCTAAATGAGAGCCTGCTGTTTTCAAGTGGACCTCCTCTGTCTTTGGCTCCACCAAGGTTTCACAACCCCAACCACATGCAAGCATTCTTCTACTTCCTGTTTCTATGAGTTTACTATTTATGATATCTTATATGAGTGAAATCATACAGTCTGTCATTTTGTTAGTGTCTTATTTTGCTCAAAATAATGGCTTTAAGATTTACCTTTGGCTGGGTGCGGTGGCTCATGCCTGTAATCCCAGCACTTTGGGAGGCTGAGGTGGGTGGATCGATCACCTGAGGTCAGGAGTTCAAGACCAGCCTGGCCAACATGGTGAAACCCCGTCTCTACTAAAAATACAAAAATTAGCCAGGCGTGGTGGCAGGTGCCTGTAATCCCAGCTACGTGGGAGGCTGAGGCAGGAGAATCTCTTGAACCCAGGAGGCAGAGGTTGCAGTGAACCAAGATCACACCACTGCACTCTAGCATGGGTGACAAAGCATGACTCTGTCTCAATAAAACAAACAAACAAAAAACAAAAAAAGATTTATCTTTATCATAGCATGTGACAAGATATTTTCATTTGTGGCTAAAGAGTATTGTATGTATACGCCCTGTCTTCTTTAATCATTTATCCATTGAGGGACATTTGTGTTTTTTCACTTTCGGCTTTTATAAATGATACGGTTTGAATCTGTGTTCCTACCCAAATCTCATGTTAAATTGTAATCCCCAAAGTTGGAGGTGGGGCCTGGAGGGAGGTCATTGCATTATAGGGGCAGCTTCTCATGAATGGTTTAGCACCATCCCCTCTGGTGCTGTCTTTGTCATAGTTGGCGAGTTCTGAGATCTCATCTGTTTAGATGATACGGCACCTCCCCCTCACTATTTCTTGCTCCTGCTTTCACCATGTGAGTTGACTCACTCTCTCGTTGCATTCTGCCATGACTGGAAGCTTTCTAAGCCCTCCCCAGAGGCAGAAGCTGCTTTGCCTTCTGTACAGGCTGCAGAACCATGAGCTAAGTAAACCTGTTTTTAACATAAATTACCCAGTTTCAGTTATTTCTTTATGGCAAAGTGAGAATAAACTAATACAGTGAATATTACTGCTATAAACATGAAAGAGCAAATATTTCTTTCAGGTACTACTTTGCATATTTTTAATATATGCCCAGAAGTGTAATTACTGGATCATATAATAACTTGATTTTTAATTTTTTAAGGACCTTTTATAAATTTTTTTTTTTTGAGATGGAGTTTTGCTCTCGTTGCCCAGGCTGGAGTGCAATGGTGCGATCTTGGCTCACCACAACCTCCGCCTCAGCCTCCCAAGTAGCTGGGATTACAGGCATGCGCCACCAAACCCAGCCAATTTTGTGTTTAGTAGAGACGGAGTTTCTCCATGTTGGTCAGAATGGTCTCAAACTCCCGACCTCAGGTGACCTGCCTGCCTTGGCCTCCCAAAGTGCTGGGATTACAGGCATGAGCCACCATGCTCGGCCCCTTCCATACATTTTTAAAGTGGCTGCATCACTTTTTCTTCACTAACAGTACATAAGGGTTTCAATTCTTCCACATTCCTGACAACATTTGTTATTTTAGTTTGCTTGATATTGGCCATCTTATTTAAGGCACAGTAATGTTTCATTGTAGTTTTGCTTTACATTTTTCTAAACATTAAGAATTTTTCAGTTGATTATTTGTTATGTGTATTTTATTTTTGGGGAAACATATTTCTATCTTTTGCCTATTTGTTAATTATGTTACTCTGTTGCTGTTGAGTTTTTGGAGTTGTTTATATATTCTGGATATTAACTTCTGTCAAATATATAATTTTCAACTTCCATTGTTTCTTAGGAGAGACTTTCATTTCACTGAATTTTTTTTTTTTGAGACATAGTCTCATTTGAGTGCCCATTCTGAGGTGCAGTGGTGTGATCTCTGCTCACTGCAACTTCCACCTCCCAGGTTCAAGTGATTCTCCTGCTTTACCCTCCCGAGTAGCTGGGACTACAGGTGTGTGCCATCATACCTGGCTAATTTTTGTAGTTTTAGTAGAGATGGGGCTTCACTATGTTGGCCAGGCTGGTCTTGAACTCCTTGAACTCCTGAAGTGATCTGGTCCCTTGGCCTCCAAAAGTGCTGGGATTACAGGAGTGAGCCACTATACCCAGCCTGCTCAGGTTTTTCAAGAGCATATTATTTAATTTCTATGAATCTTTATATTTTCCAAAAATTTTCTTGTTATTGATTTCTAGTTTTATTATATCATGGTCAGAGAAGATGCTTGATAATATTTTAATTTTTTGAATATTTTAAGACTCGTGTTGAGACCTAACATAATGTCTATCAAAGAGAATGATTCGTGTGCTGAGCAGAAGAATATGTATTCTGCAGGCATTTTATAAAGTGTTCTGTAAATATTCATTACAACTATTTGGCCCATGCCACAGATTAGGCCTAATGTTTCTTTGTTGATTTTCTTTCTGGGAGATCTTTCCAATGCTGAAAGTGGGGAAGTCTCCAGCTATTATTATATTGGGGCCTATCTCTCTCTTTAGCTCTCATATTTTCTCAAAATATCTGGGTGTATATGTATGTAACATTCTTATATCCTCATGCTTAATTAACCCCTTTATTATTATATAGTGATGCTCTTTGTCTTATAGTTTTTGTCTTGAAATCTATTTTGTCTGATATAAATATAGCTACCACTGCTGTCTTTGGTTTTCATGGGCAGAGTATCTTTTTTCATTTCTTTATTTTTAATCTGTGCGTGTTTATAGATGAAGTATGTTTCTTGTTAGCAACAGATCACTGGGTCTTAATTTTTATTCAGCCACAGTATGTCTTTTGATTGGAGAGTTTAGTCCATTTACATTCAGTGTTATTATTGATAAGAAAAGACTTACTTCTGGCTGGGCGCAGTGGCTCACACCTGTAATCTCAGTACTTTGGGAGGCCGAGGCAGGTGGATCACGAGGTCAGGAGATGGAGACCATCCTGGCTAACACGGTGAAACCCTGTCTCTACTAAAAATAGAAAAACTAGCCGGGAATGATGGTGGGCACCTGTAGTCCCAGCTACTCAGGAGGCTGAGGCAGGAGAATGGTGTAAACCCAGGAGGTGGAGCTTGCAGTGAGCTGAGATCATGCCACTGCACTCCAGCCTTGGCGACAGAGCCAGACTCTGTCTCAAAAAAAAAAAAAAGAAAAGACTTACTTCTGCCAATTTGTTACTTGTTTTCTGCTTCTTTGTGGTCTTCTGTTTCTTCTGTCCCTCTTCCCTGTCTTCCTTTTAGTAAAGATGATTTACTCTGGTGCTATGATTTAATGTATGCTATTTTCTTTCATTTTTTGTTTATTGTATGTTTTTTGATTTGAGGTTATGATGAGGCTGGCGAATACTATTTTATAATACATCATTTTAAGCTGAAAACAAATTAACACTGTTTTTATAAATTAAAAAAACTAATAAAAACTCTATACCTTAACTTTGTCCTTTGATTTTAATTTTCCTGGTTTTAATCTATATCTTATTTTATTTTCTGTGTCTTGAAAAGTTGTTGTAGTTATTATTTTTGTTTGGCTCATCATTTAATTTTTCTACTTAAAAGTAGTTTAAGTGCCACAGTTACAGAATCACATAGTATTCTGTATTTTTGTTTGAACTTATTATCAGTGACTTTTGTACCTTCAGATGGTTTCTTCTTGCTTATTATTTTCTTTCTTATTAAGGTACTCTCTTTAGAATTTCTTGTAGGATAAGCCTGATGTTGATGAGATTCCTCAGTTTTTGGTTGTCTGGGAAACTATTTCTCTTTCATATTTGATGAATATTTTTGTCAGATATACTACTTTAAGGTAAAAGTGATTTTTTTTCAGCATTTTAAATATGTCATATCAATCTCTTCTGGCCTGTAATACTTCCACTGAAAACTCTACTACCAGATGTATTGAAGATCTATTGTATGTTATTGGTTTTCTTTGTCTTGCTGCTTTTAGAATACTTTTTATATCATTGATCTTTGGGAGTTCAATTACTAAATGCCTTGAAGTCTTCTTTGGGTTATATCTCCTTGGTGTTTTATAACCTTCTTATACTTAGATATTGAAAACCTTTTCTAAGTTTAGGAAGTTCTCTATTGTTATCACTTTGAATACATTTTCAACTCCTGTCTCTCTACCTCCTCTTTAAGGCCAGTAACTCTTAGATTTGCCTTTTTGAGGTTATTCTCTAGATCCTGTAGGTGTGCTTCTTTGTTGTTTCTTGTTCTTTTTTTTTCCCCACTCTATATTTTTGTATAGCTTGTCTTCAAGCTCACTAATTTTCTTTTCTGCTTGATAAATTCTGCTATTAAAAGACATTCTATGGTATTGTAGTTGCATTTCTTTAACTCCAGAATTTTTTATTGTTTGATTATTTTGAATTTTTTTCATAAATGACTTTATATAATTAATAATTTTAATTATTTCTTTTGAATTAGTATTCTTTTGAATTATCAATCTCTTTCTTATTGAGGTACTCTCTTTAGAATTTCTTGTAGGATAAGCCTGATAAATTTAAATTTATCTGAAAATTAAATTTATCTGATAAAATTTTGAATTATTTCTCTTGGTTATCTTGAATGTCTTCAAATTTCTACAACTATTTTGAATTCACTCTGATAGGTCACATATCTGTGTTCCTCCAGGACTGGTCACTGGTGCTTTGTTTAGTTCATTTGGTTAGGTCATGTTTCCTTGACTGTTCATAGTGCTTATTTTTCATCAGTGACTGGGCATTAAAAAGTTAGGTATTTTTTGTAGCCTTTGCAGTCTCGGCTTCTTTGTACCTGTTCTTGTTGAGAAGAATTCCCAGGTATTCAAAAGGACTGAGGTATTGTTACCTTAACCACATCTGCATTAGGGGTACCCCAAGTCCAGTTAACACTGTATTTCTTTCACACTCATGAAGGTACTGCCTTAATGGTCTTAGATAAGATCTGGAAAAATTCTCTGGATTACCAGGCAGAGATTCTTGTTTTCTTCCTTTACTTTCTCCCAAACAAAGTCTTTCTGTTCTGAGCCACATGTAGCTTGGGGCAATGTAACACATCTACTGGGACTGCAGTGGGTCAGATCAGAAGCCAGCACAGCACTGGGTTTCACCCAAGATGAGCCGTGAGGACTACCTGCTACCACTGATAATCTCTCAGGGTTCCGGGGCTCTATAGTCAGTAGGTGGTAAGGCCAGCTAGGCTTATATTTCCCTGAAGGGTAGTGAGTTCCCTCAGGCTCTGAGCAGGTTGAGAGGTACCATCCAGGAGCCAGGGGCTGGAGTCAATAACCTTAGGATTCTACCTGGTGGTCTGTTGTACTGTGGTAGGGCTAGAAGTCAAACTATGAGATGCAGTTCTTCCCACTATTTCCTCCTTGCTCCACAGGCAGAGGGGCCTCACCCCATTGCCACCACCACCACAGGCCCATGGGGAGTCCTGCCAGGCTACCACCAATGTTCCCTTAAGGCTTAAGGACTCTTACATTAGCTTGTGGTGAATGATGCTTGGCCTGATACTCTCCTTTATGGTCCCTTATGTCCTAGGACGGGTCCTGAAATGGTATCCAAGAACCAAGCCCTGGGGTCAGGGACCCAAAAAGCCCACTTGGTGCTCTTCCTCTCTTTGGCCATGCTGGTACCTAAGGTGCAAGACAAAGTCCTATAGAGTTTTCCCTCTACATTTTTCATTCTCTTCCTGTAGCCAGCAAAGCTGAAAATGTGCTGAGTCTCACCTGATTCTGGCAAGCCCTAGAGTCTGAATTAAAGCTCACAGCATAGTACTTGGGTATTACTGCAGGTCACTCAGGGCCCAAGGGCTCTTCGGTTATCTGTTGATGGGTTCTGACAGTAGGGGGGCTTTGCATTCAAAGCAACAGATTTCCTTCTGGCCCAGGGTGTACCTAGAAATGTCAGTTAGGAGCTAGTGGCTGAAAAAGAGGCTTTCCAACTCTGACAAATGGCCTATCTTGCTGTGGCTGAGCTGGTATACAAAATTCAAAAGTCCTGTTTACTCTTCCCTCTCTCTTTTTTAAAATTTTTATTTAAAAATTAAGATAGCATCTCACTTTGTCACCCAGGCTAGAGTACAATGGCAAAATCTTGGCTCACTGCAGCCTCAACCTCCTGGCCTGAAGTGATCCTCCCACCTCCACCTCAGCTCCAACGTGGCTGAGACTCCAGGTGTGAACCACCACATCTGGCTAACTTTTCATATTTTTTCATAGAGATGGGGTTTCACCATGTTGCCCAGGCTGATCTTGAACTCCTGACCACAAGTGATCCACCTGCCTCAGCCTCCCAAAGTGCTTGGATTACAGGCATGACTAGGGCACCACAGTAAGAATTACTGTAGACAAGATGGACTGAATAATGCAAAAATTGTGGGTAAAATTTAAAGGAGAAACATTGTATTTCCATAGCCTTAAAGGATATTCCTCTAGATTTTTTAGGAACAAAGTACTGAAGCACACACCTTGAAAGAGTCTCATAAAGCTGCCAAATGAGACAAGCTTGACATAAAATAATACATATTGTATGATGTCAGACAAAATTAACCAATGGTAATAAAACATTAGCAAAGAAATAGCCTCTGGTTGAGAGTAAAATTGTCTGGAAAAAAGCATAAGGCAATTATCTGAGAATAATAAAATATTCTATCATTCTATTCTAAATTCTATAGATAGAATAGGAAAATATCTTATTCATTCTTTTTTTTTTTTTTTTTTTTTTGAGATGGTGTCTTGCTCTGTTGTCCAGGCTGGAGTGAATCTTGCTCTGTTGCCTGGGCTGGAGTGCAGTGGTGCGATCTCAGCTCACTGTAACCTTCACCTCGCAGGTTCAAGTGATTCTCCTGCCTCAGCCTCCTGAGTAGCTGGGACTACATGCATGTGCCACCACGCCCAGCTAATTTTTTGTATTTTTAGTAGAGATAGGATTTCACCATGTTAGCCAGGATGGTCTCGATCTCCTGACCTTGTGATCTGCCTGCCTCAGCCTTCCAAAGTGCTGGGATTATAGGCATAAGCCACCACACCTGGCCCCTATTCATACTTAAAAGGTATAAAGGTTATATGGGTGTATTGTCAAAAAATTTCAGTTAGGAATTGTGCCTTTCAATGTGTGTATATTTGACCTCCAAAAAAAAAACCAAAAACAAAAAAACTGAAGAAAATAATGGAGGATGGACAATGGGTTGGCCAGGAATGATTGGGGCAGAGAAGTGGAGGTGAAACAAGAATGGCCGGTGATTGGCAGTTGTTGACGCTTCATGACAGGTCTATTGCACTATTTGTTTGTTTGTTTGTTTTGCATAAGTTTAAATTTTTCTGTGATAAAACACTTGGTTAAAAACACAAAATTGATCTACAGTGTTAACTCTTAGGATTACGGTTATTGTTGCAGAAAAGAAAGTGATTACTGGGGCATATATGAGGCTTGTTTTGTTTTGTTTTGTTGTATTTTATTTGAGGCAGGGTCACACTCTGTCAGCCAGGCCACACTGCAAGGGTGTGATCTTGGCTCACTGCAATCTCCACCCACCTGGCTCAAGTAATCTTCCCAGTTTAGCCTTCTAAGAAGCTGAGACTACAGGCATGCACCACCATGCCCAGTTATTTTTTGGTATTTTTTTAGTAGAGACAGTGTCTCGTCATGTTGGCAAGGCTGTTTTATACTCCTGATCTGCCTGCCTCAACCTCCCAAAGTGCTGGGATTACAGGCATGAGCAAACACTTACAGAAATGGCAAAATTTTACTAAACGTAATTTAAAATTACAATGGAGTGTTCCCCTGAAAAAGTGCGTTTGAAAATGAAGTCTCCCTAGTAAGACTCATCTAGGGTTCACTACTGATGTGCAGAAGCTTCTAAAAAGATTTCAATATTTGGCTGGGTGTGGTGGCTCACCCTGTAATCCCAGCACATTGGGAGGCCAAGGCGGGTGGATCACCTGGGGTCAGGTGTTCAAGACCAGTCTGGCCAACATGGTGAAACCCTGTCTCTACTAAAAATGCAAAAATTAGCTGGGCATGGTGGCAGTCGCCTGTAATCCCAGCTACTCAGGAGGCTGAGGCAGAATTGCTTGACCCTGGGAGGCAGAGGTTGCAGTGAGCTGAGATCGTGCCATTGCACTCCAGTCTGGGTGACAGAGTGAGACTCTATCTCAAAAAAAAAAAAAAGATTTCAATATTTTTACTATTTGTTAAAAAAATAATCTTTATAAAGGCAGATTAAAAGTCTAAGTCTTACAAAAGATTAAATCTACCATTTTCTTTAGTTGCTCTCCCTCCTTGAAGGTAAATAGAAAGCTATCCCAGATAAAGTGTTTGTAAAAGTAGACCCTCAGGTAAAGGCTTCTTTTTCAGATTTATCCATGCTGAGTCCAGGCTTAGAGAATTCTTTCTTCTTTTTATTTTTGAATGGGCTTCAACTTCAACTCTTAATTATACCTAGGAAACAGTAGTTAAGCTTGAAAGACCACCTTTGAACTAAATTAGAACTTTCTGATATTTAACTATTTTGAAAGTATTTTGTAAAAGAAATTTATATCTGTAAATGAAATCTCCATTTGCAAGGTGTTTGTGTTACATTAAAAACATTGACTATTATTTTAAATTTACACAAGTCATACCTTTGTTTAAGGTGCTTTTCTGGCCATCTTTTACATATATATATATATATATATATATATTTTTTTTTTTTTTTTTTTAGGCGGAGTCTTGCTCTGTCACCCAGGCTGGAGTGCAATGGCATGTCTTGGCTCACTGCAACCTCTGCTTCCTGGGTTCAAGCAAGTCTCCCTGCCTCAGCCTCCTGACTAGCTGGGATTACAGGTGCCTGCCACTATGCCCAGCTAATTTTTTTGTATATTTAGTAGAGATAAGGTTTTGCCATATTGGCCAGGCTGGTCTTGAACTCCTGACCTCAGGTGATCCGCCCGCCTCGGCCTCCCAAAATGTTGGGATTATAGGCGTGAGCCAACGTGCCCGGCCCATCTTATTTTAACTAAATTTTACTTACAGCATATTTTCCTGAGTTGAAGATATGAGAAAATGTTTTAGCCTAAAGTGTTAGCTCTGTCCTTTGGAAATATAAACTTTACTGTATCACCCGAGTTGTCCCTTTAGAAATGCAGCGAGATAGATGGCAACACAATAATAGTGAAGGACCTTCAATACTCCATTGACAGCACTGGACAGTTCATCAAGACAGAAATTCAACAAAGAAACAGTGTACTTAAGCTATACCCTAGAACAAATGGATATAACAAATATTTACAGAACATTCTACCCAACAACTACAGTATATACATTCCTTTTATTCAGCACATGGAATATTCTCCAAGATAGACCATATGATATGCCACAAAACAAGTTTCAATAAATTTTAAAAAATTAATATTATATCAAGTACACTCAGACCACAGTGAAATAGAATTGGAAATCAACTCCAAAAGGAACCCTCAAAACAATACACATATCCCTCTCCCTCTCCCTCTTCCTCTCCCTCTCCCTCTCCCCACGGTCTCCCTCAGATGCCGAGCCGAAGCTGGACTGTACTGCTGCCATCTCGGCTCACTGCAATCTCCCTGCCTGCTTCTCCTGCCTCAGCCTGCCGAGTGCCTGCGATTGCAGGCGCATGCCGCCACGCCTGACTGGTTTTCATATTTTTTTGGTGGAGACGGGGTTTTGCTGTGTTGGCCGGGCTGGTCTCCAGCTCCTAACCGCGAGTGATCCGCCAGCCTGGGCCTCCCGAGGTGCCGGGATTGCAGACGGAGTCTCGTTCACCCAGTGCTCAATGGTGCCCAGGCTGGAGTGCAGTGGCGTGATCTCGGCTCCCTATAACCTCCACCTCCCAGCCGCCTGCCTTGGCCTCCCAAAGTGCCGAGATCGCAGCCTCTGCCCGGCTGCCACCCCGTCTGGGAAGTGAGGAGCGTCTCTGCCTGGCCGCCCATCGTCTGGGATGTGAGGAGCCCCTCTGCCTGGCTGCCCAGTCTGGAAAGTGAGGAGCGTCTCTGCCCGGCCGCCATCCCATCTAGGAAGTGAGGAGCGCCTCTTCCCGGCTGCCATCCCATCTAGGAAGTGAGGAGCGTCTCTGCCCGGCCGCCCATCATCTGAGATGTGGGGAGCACCTCTGCCCCGCCGCCCCGTCTGGGATGTGAGGAGCGCCTCTGCCCGGCCGCAACCCCGTCTGGGAGGTGAGGAGCGTCTCTGCCCGGCCGCCCCGTCTGAGAAGTGAGGAGACCCTCTGCCTGGCAACCGCCCCGTCTGAGAAGTGAGGAGCCCCTCCACCCGGCAGCCACCCCATCTGGGAAGTGAGAAGCGTCTCCGACCGGCAGCCACCCCGTCCGGGAGGGCCAGCCGCCCCGTCCGGGAGGGAGGTGGGGGTTCAGCCCCCTGCCCGGCCAGCCGCCCCGTCTGGGAGGGAGGTGGGGGTTCAGCCCCCTGCCCGGCCAGCCGCCCCGTCTGGGAGGGAGGTGGGGGGGTCAGCCTCCCGTCTGGGAGGTGAGGGGTGCCTCTGCCTGGCCACCCCTACTGGGAAGTGAGGAGCCCCTCTGCCCGGCCACCACCCCGTCTGGGAGGTGTGCCCAACAGCTCATTGAGAACGGGCCATGATGACCGTGGCGGTTTTGTGGAGTAGAAAGGGGGGAAATGTGGGGAAGGGATTGAGAAATTGGATGGTTGCCGTGTCTGTGTAGAAAGAAGTAGACTTGGGAGACTTTTCATTTTGTTCTGTACTAAGAAAAATTCTTCTGCCTTGGGATCCTGTTGATCTGTGACCTTACCCCCAACCCTGTGCTCTCTGAAACATGTGCTGTGTCCACTCAGGGTTAAATGAATTAAGGGCGGTGCAAGATGTGCTTTGTTAAACAGATGCTTGAAGGCAGCTAAGAGTCATCACCACTCCCTAATCTCAAGTACCCAGGGACACAAACACTGCGGAAGGCCACAGGGTCCTCTGCCTAGGAAAACCAGAGACCTTTGTTCACTTGTTTATCTGCTGACCTTCCCTCCACTATTGTCCTATGACCCTGCCAAATCCCCCTCTGCGAGAAACACCCAAGAATGATCAATAAAAAAAAAAAAAAAAAGAAGGTATGTATGGTATGATCCCACTTTATGAAACGACTAAAACCTCTTGTATTTGTCTACGTATATATGCAGTGTCTGTATGTGATTATAAGAGCACAGAGAAAAAAAACAAAACAAAAACAAAACAAAACAAAACAAAATACACATACCAGAAAATTAAATAATCTTTTCCTGAATGATCTTTGGGTCAACAATGAAATGAAGATGAAAATTAAAAAAATTTTTTGAACTTAATGATAATAGTGACACAAATTATTAACACCTCTAGGATACAGCAAAAGCAGTGCTAAGAGAAAAGTTCATAGCATTAAATGCCTGCATCAAAAAGTCTGAAAGAGCTCAAATAAAACATCTGAGCTCATACCTCAAGGAACTAGAAAACCAAGGAGAAAGCAAACCCAAACTTAGCAGGAGAAAATATGTTACAAGTATCAGCACACAACTAAATAAAAGTGAAACAAAAATTACAAAAGATAAATGAGAGAATTGCTGGTTATTTGAAAAGATAAAATTGATAGACCACTAGTGAGATTAACCAATATAGGCGGAGAGAAGATCCAAATAAGCTCAATTAGAAACAAAACAGGATATATTACAAACAATGCCGCAAAAATACAGAAGATTATTCAAGACTACTATGAACACCTTTACATACAAAACTAGAAAACCTAGAGGAGATGGATAAATTTCTGGAAATACACAATTCTCTGAGATTAGACCAGGTAGAAATATAAACTCTGAACAGACCAATAACGAGTAGCAAGATTGAAACAGTAGTAAAAAATTGCTGACGGCTGGGCACAGTGGCTCACGCCTGTAATCCCAGCACTTTGGGAGGCCAAGGTGAGCGGATCACTTGAGGTCAGGAGTTCAAGACCAGCCTGACCAATATGATGAAAACCCGTCTCTACTAAAAATACAAAAATTAGCTGGGCGTGCTGGCACGTGCCTGTAATCCCAACTACTTGGAAGGCTGAGGCAGGAGAATTGCTTGAACCATGGAGGTGGAGGTTGCAGTAAGCCAAGATAGCTCCATTGCACTCCAGCCTGGGTGAAGAAGTGAGACTCTGTCTCAAAAAAAAAAAAAAAAAAAAAAAAATTGTTGACAACAAAGAATTCAGGACCAGATGGATTCACAGCTGAATTCTATCAGACATTTAAAGGAAAATTGGTATCAATTCTACCAAAACTATTCCAAAAAATAGAGAAAGAGGGAATCCTGCCTAAATGATTCTATGAAGCCAATATCACCCTAATACAAAAACTAGGAAAGGATATAACAAAAAAGCCCTACACATCAATATTCTTGATTAACATAGATGCAAAAATTGTTAACAAAATACTAGATAACCAAATACAATAGCATATCAGAAAAATACACAATTACCAAGTGTGTTTTACCACGAGGGATTCAGGAATGGTTTAAAAATGTGATACACCACATAAACAGAATTAAAAACAAAAATCATATGATCATCTCAATAGATGCAGGAAAGGTATTTGACAAAATCCAGCATCCCCTTATAATTAAAACCCTCAGCAAAATTGGCATAGAGTAGACAGAACTTAAGATAATAAAAGCAATTTATGACAGACCCACAGCCAATATTATACTGAATGGGGAAAAGTTGAAACCACATCTCCTAAGAACTGGAAAAACACAAGAATGCCCACTTTCACCATTTCTACTCAACATGGTACTGGAAGTCCTAGCCAGAGCAATAGACAAGAGAAAGAAATAAAGTGCATTCAGATTGGTAAAGAGGAAGTCAAACTGTCAGTGTTCAGTGATAAGATTGTATATCTAGAAAAGCCTGAAGACTAGTTCAAAATCCTCCTAGATATGATAAATGAATTCAGCAAGGTTTTAGAATACAAAATCAATATACAAATTAGCAGCACTGTTATACAACAATAGTGACCAAGCTGGGAATAAAATCAAGAACTCAACCCCTTTAACAACAGCTGCAAATAAATAAATAAATAGAAATAGACCTAACCAAGAAAGTGAAAGATATCTGCAAAGAAAACTACAAAAGACTGCTGAAAGAAATTATAGAAACACATGTTATGCTCATGGATTGGTAGACTCAATATTGTCAATGTGACCATAATGCCAAAAGCAATCTACAAATTCAAGGCAATTTCCATCAGAATAACATCATCATTCTTCACAGATCTAGAAAAAAAAAACCCTAAAATTATATGGAACCAAAAAGAGCATGCATAGCAAAAGCAAGACTAAGCAAAAAGAACAAATCTGGAAGCATCACATTATCTGACTCCAAACTACACTACAAGACTATAGTTACCAAAGCAACATGGTACTGGTATAAAAATAGGCATGTAGACCAATGGAACAGAATAGCAAAACCAGATATAAAGCCAAATACTTTCAGCTAACTGATCTTCAACAAAGTAAACAAAAACACAAAGTGGGGAAAGAACACTCTATTAAATGAATGGTGCGGAAATAATTGGAAAGCCACATGTAGTAGAATAAAACTGAATTTTTTTCTCTCACTTTATAAAAAAATTAACTCAAGGCCAGGCACGATGGTTCATGCTTGTAATCCCAGCGCTTTGGGAGACTGAGGCAGGCAGATCAATTGAGGTCAGGAGTTTGAGACCAGCCTGGCCAACATGGTGAAACCCCGTTTTCTACTAGAAAACACAAAATTTAGTTGGGCATGGTGCCACATGTCTGTAATCTTAACTATTCAGAAGGCTGAGGCATGAGAATTGTTTGAACCCTGGAGGCAGAGATTGCAGTGAACAGAGATCCTGCCACTGCACTTCAGCCTGGGTGACAGAGCAAGACTGTCTAAAAAAAAATGATTCAAGGTGGAGTGCAGTGGCTCACACCTGTAATCCCAGCACTTTGGGAAGCCAAGGCAGGCAGATAACCTGAGACCAGCAGTTCCAGACCAGCCTGGCTAACATGGCAAAACACTGTCTCTACTAAAAATGCAAAAATTGGCCGGGGTGGCTCACGCCTGTAATCCCAGCACTTTGGGAAGCTGAGGCGGGCAGATCACGAGGTGTGGAGTTCAAGATCAGCCTGACCAACATGGAGACTAAAAATACAAAAATTAGCTGGGTGTGGTGGTGTGTGCCTGTAATCCCAGCTACTCGGCAGGCTGAGGCAAGAGAATTGCTTGAACCCAGGAGATGGAGGTTGCAGTGAGCCGAGATCGTGCCACTGCACTCCAGCCTGGGCAACAGAGTGAGACTTCGTCTCAAAAAAATACAAAAATACAAAAACTAGCCTGGGCGTTGTGGCCGGCACCTATAATTCCAGCTACTTGGGAGGCTGAGGCAGGAGAATCGCTTGAGCCCCAGGGGCGAAGATTGCTGTGAGCCCAAATCACACCACTACACTCCAGCCTGGGCAACAGAGCGAGACTGCATCTCAAAAAAATAAGAAAATACAAAAATACAAAAATTAGCCCGGGTGTGGTGGCCAGTGCCTGTAATTCCAGCTAAGGAAGGAGACCACTACTACTCCTGCTGCCCTCCTCCCACACCTTGCCTAGTTCACAAGACAGGAGGAGAGAAAAAGCAAAAAGTTGGAAAAAAAACAAAAGTAAGATAAATAGCCAGACAACCTTGGCACCACCACCCGGCCCTAGGAGTTAAAAAAAGTAACAATAATGACATCAACCCCTGACCTAAACTACTTGTGTTATCTGTAAATTCCAGACACTATATGAAAAAAGCATTGTAAAGCTTTTTGTTCTGTTAGCTGATGCATGTAGCCCCCAGTCACGTTTCCCATGCTTGCTTGATGTATCACGACCCTTTCACGTGGACCCCTTAAAGTTGCAAGCCTTTAAAAAGGCCAAGAATTTCTCTTTCGGGGAGCTCGGCTTTTAAGACGTGAGTCTGCCGACGCTCCCGGCCAGATAAAAAACTCTTCCGTCTTTAATCCAGTGTCTGAGGAGTTTTGTCTGCGGCTCATCCTGCTACATAGCTACTCGGGAGGTTGAGGCAGGGGAATCGCTTGAACCAGGGGGGCAAAGATTGCAGTGAGCTGAGATTGTTCCACTTCACTCCAGCCTGGGCAAAAGAGCGAGACTCTGCCTCAGACAAACAAACAAACAAAAAAAGATTTAAAAAATCAACACAAGATGGATCAAAGACTTAAGTCTAAGTCCTGAAATTATAAAAATTTTAGCAGATAATATAGAAAAAACTCCTCTACACATTGGCTTAGTCAAAAAGTTTGTGACCAAGTACCCAAAACCAAATGCGACAAAAAAAGATAAATAAATGTGACTTAATTACACGGAAAAGTTTCTGCACAGCAAAAGAGATAATTCAAGCAGTAAACAGATAACCCACAGAGTGAGAAGAAAGGTTCACAAACCATGCTTCCAACAAAGGACTTATATTCAGAATCTGCAAGAAACTCAGGCCGGGTGTGGTGGCTCAGGCCTGTAATCCCAGCACTTTGGGAGGCCAAGGCGGGCGGATCACCTGAGGTCAGGAGTTCAAGACCAGCCTGTTCAACATGGTGAAACCCTGTCTCTACTAAAAATACAAAAGTTAGCTGGGTGTAGTGGCAGGTGCCTCTAATCCCAGCTACTCAGTAGGCTGAAGCAGGAGAATCACTTGAACCCGGGAGGCGGAGGTTGCAGTGACCCAAGATCGCGCCATTGCACTCCAGCCTGGGCGACGAAGCAAGACTCTGTCTCAAAACAAACAAACAAAAAAACAAAATAATGGCACTCAGAGCAACCTGGATAAAGTTGGAGATCATTATTCTAAGTAAAGTAACCCAGAAATGGAAAACCAAGCATGGCATGTTGTCACTTTTTAGTGAGAGCTAAACTATGAGGATATAAAGGCATAAGAATTATGTCACATAATGGACTCTAGAAACTTGGGGGAAAGGGCGGTGTGGGGTTGAGGGATAAAAGACTACACATTGGGTACAGCGTATACTGCTCTGTAGATGGGTGCACCAAAATCTCACACACCACTGCTAAAGAACTTATTCATGTAACCAAACACCACCTGTACCCCCAAAACTATTGAAATAGTAATGATAAAAACAAGAAACACAGAAAACTCCATAAGTTTAAGTTTATATGCTTTGGCATTTTATTTTTTTTAGAAAGGGTCTCCCTCTGTCACCCAGAATGAAGTACAGTGGCTTGATCACGGCTCACTGCAGCCTCGACCTTTTGGGCTCAGGCAATTCGCCTTCCTCAGCCTCCTAAATAGCTGGTACTACAAGTGCGGGCCACCATACCCAGCTAATGTTTGTATTATTTGTAAACATAGGGTTTTGCCATGTTGCCCAGGCTGGACTTGTATTCCTAGGCTTAAACAGTCTTTGTTTCTTGGCTTTTTAAAGTGCTGGGATTAGGTTGGGCACAGTGGCTCGTGCTTGTAATCCCAGCATTTTGGGAGGATGAGACGGTTGGATCACTTGAGGTCAGGCATTTGAAACCAGCCTGGCCAACATGGTGAAACCCCGTCTCTACTAATTATCTAATTCTCTAGAGAATTTTGCAGCCAACTTTATATATGAACAAACTTATGCCTTGATAGGTACAAGATGAAGGGTCAATGTGGGTGAGAAATTCTAATGGGACATTTGTTGCCTCATAATATCAGAAACACAGAATATAGGTCCACTGCTCTTAACCTACTTCAGAAGTTAAAAAGAACTCATTCACAATAAGTTTCAGAGCATTGCCTGGCCATTACTCTTCTAAATAAGCATCATTTGTTAGGTCTTTTTTTTTTTTTTTTTTTCATGGTTCAGGGTAAAAAAATCAGGCATTGGTTAGACATTTATCCTTCATAATAGTCTCTATAGCAGATTCTACTGCAAAGGCTATGGTTACACAATAGACTTTTTTTACTAAAGTTGTGCTAAATAATGGAATTTCTTGAGATTACTTATTGCATAAACAGAAAAGTATCTGTGTAGTTGCTAATATGCATAGTTGCACATGGAGAAATATATTATAGAGATTATACAGAAATATATTACACGTATTACAGAGATTCAGTTACGGGGGTTTAAGAAACAGGCTGCTTGGTTGAAATGAGGAGACCATTTATTTAGCTGATAACTTGGTCTATCTCTCAAAATTGAGAAGATAACCAAAAAGGAGAAATTGTTAAATTATAGCCTGAAGCTCTCTGTTTTCATGTTTAATTTTGGTCAGTAGGTTTTTTGTTTGTTTGTTTTTCTTTTTTTTTTTTTTTTGGTACATACTAAACTGAAACCTAACTGGATATGTAAGTAGATTATAACCCATTCCTGTACCAGCCACTGTGATTTTGCCAATAAAAGGACATCAACTCTTCAAACCATGTTCAAATAAGGCAAATCCCAAGCTGTAATCAATTTGGCTGTTTCTGTACCTCAATTTCATTTTCTGTATGCCACTTTGCTTTTTCTGTTGATCAATTTTTTTACCATGTTGCTGTGCTGGAGTCTCTCTGAGCCTATTCTGGGCCCACAGGCTGCCTGATTTGCAAATCATTCTTTGTTCATTTAGACTCTGTTACATTCAATTTCTCTGAAGGTTTTGTTTTTTTTTTTAGATGTTTACAGATTTTATCTATGATAAAAAATAAGTAATGTGTTGCTGGGCTTTGATTTTCTCAACTCATCCCTCATCTATCTTTTTCCACATATGCTATGTCCTTTTGAAATGCTCCTGCAACTTTTTTCTTTTCTGTTTCTTTTCTTTTCTTTTTTTTTTTTTGGAGAAAGGATCACACTCTCACCACCCAGGCTGAAGTGCAGTGTCGTAACCAATCATGGCTCACTGCAGCCTCGACCTTCCAGGCTCAAGTAATCCTCTTGCCTCTGCCACCTGAGTAGCTGGGACTACAGGATTGCCTCATGCTGGCTAATTTTTATTTTTATTTATTTTTATTTTTTATTTTTTTTGAGACGGAGTCTCGCTCTGTCACCCAGGCTGGAGTGCAGTGGTGGGATCTTGGCTCACTGCAAGCCCCATCTCGTGGGTTCATGCCATTCTCCTGCCTCAGCCTCCCGAGCAGCTGGGACTGTATTTTTAGTAGAGACGGGGTTTCACCGTGTTAGCCAGGATGGTCTCGATCTCCTGACCTCGTGATCTGCCCTCCTCGGCCTCCCAAAGTGCTGGGATTACAGGCATGAGCCACCGCGCCCGGCCATGACTGGCTAATTAAAAAAAAAAAAATTTTCATGCACATAGGATCTTAACTATGTTATTCAGGCTGCACTTGAACTCCTGAGCGCAAGTGATTCTCCCATCTCAGCTTGCCAAAGTGCTAGGATTATAGATGTGAGCTACCGTGTGCTTCTTCAATTTCTTAAGATTATTTCTAGCAATAATAATAAACAGTGCTATATGGGCACAAATCTAAAAGAAATCTGGCTTCTATTTTAGAAGTGTCACTCTCCAGGATTTCAAGGGTCAAATGGAGTTAATTCTGAGTCCCAGCCCAGCCACTTAATAGCTGTGGGTCTTTGCACAAATTTTTTTTTTTTTGATGTGGAAGAGTTATATAAACCACATATGCAAAAAAAGGCAGAATGATACTGATTGCAAAAATGTTAGCAATTTTTCATCCCTCCGCTATCCATGCCCATTGCCAGGTGCATTTACAGCTGTTTCCATTGAGATCCAGTTCTGTTTTCCAAACCCTAGATCTGGCTGGCCTTATTTGCTCAGGGCAGTAAAAACCTGTGAACAGTGCAGTGTGCTAGTTTGAGGCGTAGGCTCAAATGGTTTTGCATGCTTCTGTTTTTCTTTCAGAAGGCTACTATCTCCGCGAAAAAAGCCCATGTTAGCCAGATGGAAGATAAAATAGTATGGGGAGGAGAAGCAAGTTGCCTCTGTTGACAGCCTCAGAAGCAGAAGCTCACCCCCAGAAGCACAGCTGCCTAGTCAACAAGCAGCTGATGATACATGTCTGAAGGAACTCAGCTGAGGTCACAAGAATGGTCTCACTGAGCCCAGCCTAAATGACTAACCATCTCAATTAGAGTGAATTCCACCTGTTTATTCTTAAAGTTTGACTACTAGAAAATTTGGAATTCACATGTGCTCTGTAATCCCAGCACTTTGGGAGGCCGAGGCAGGTGGATCACCTGAGGTCAGGAGTTCGAGATCAGCCTGACCAACATGGCAAAATTCTGTCTCTATTAAATATACAAAAAGTAGCCGGGCGTGGAGGCGGGTGCCTGTAATCCCAATTACTCAGGAGGCTAAGGCAGGAGAATCACTTGAGCCCGAGATGCGGAGTTTGGGGTGAGCCGAAATCGTGCCACTGTGCTTGAGCCTGGGTGAGAGTGAGACTCTGTCTCAAAAAAAAAAAAGAAAAAAATCTCAGGCTGCCTGCTCAAAGGACCAGAAGCCAGTACGGTTATAAAATCTGGAATTTAAAAATAATTGTTATATTCAGATGTGAATAGCTATATGTTATTTATAAATGCATACGACCTTATACACAAGGTTAAATGCAAATGCCCTCTGGGGTGGGCCTGACTCAGCTCAGGGAGGAAGCCCTTCTGGAAAAGGCTGCTGCTTAGGTTTAACTCTGTCTTCCTTCAGCCCAGCACCTGAGCACATCTGTCACTCAGGGCCTGAGGGGGCGGGTTGTTAAACGTTATCCAATCAGGGACGCCGGGCTGGGAACGGTCCAATCAGGCACCCAGCTGGAGCGGACATGACGTCTTCCGGGAGGCGGCGGGGTCTTTGTCTCGCTGCAGCGGGTGCTGCAGGTCTGGCCTTCACTTTTCTGCGTCCTCTTACTCCTAGAGGCCCAGCCTCTGTGGCGCTGTGATCTGGTTATTGGGAGATTCACAGCTAAGACGCCAGGATCCCCCGGAAGCCTAGAAATGGTGAGAGTGCTGGGTCCGACATCCCGAGAGAGGGGGAGGGAGCTGGTTGGAACCGGTCGGAAGTGGCTGTGGCAGTACTCGGGTCTTCCCGCAGTCGGCTGCAAAATCCGCGGCCCCGAGTTCTTGGCACAGCTCGGCCCTCAGTCCCCTTAAGCCATAGCATGGCAGCTGGGCTGACAGCCGGAACCAGGCGTCCTGTCTCCTCCCTGCGCAGTGACTGTGCCCTGGCCTGGAGCCCTCTCTGAGCAGCTCTGCACCCGCAGCGATTGTGCAGAGACGACGGGAGGGTCGTCAGGGGAGAATCCTGACTCGGGGTGCTGGGTTCATGAATGGGAAGAGGTTTCCTCCGCGGGCTTCCCTGTCCCTCTTTTCCCCTATTAAAATTTATGAAAGTCACCGCAAAAAAATTAATTTAATCAAACAGTGATTCAAGAATTGTGGAGCACCCAGCTGTGGTTTGCAGTAGTGGTCCGTGGGAGGGGTTTGAAGGAAACACTTGTATAAGGTGTATGATAAAACCAAATTCAGTAATTGGTTAGTAGAGTTATGTAGTTTCTTAATTTGTACAATGAAGGAGGAAATTTCCTGGTCATGTAATCAGAGGTTAATTGGCAGTTTACAGTTGGTTAAACATGAATTTTATTTTTCACAAGGTAGTAATTTACAAAAAAATGCATTTGAGTTAGATTTTTTTAAAACCAGAAACCCTGGGACTGGAGCGACCTCAGTCTAATTGCCTGCCACTTAATTATTTTCACACTCCACAGGGGACAGATCTTCCCCTTCATTTTTCACATGTGTCCCAAGCAGGGTCTCAAGACTCCTCCCCCTCCCCATTTCCCATTCCTTCAGCCTAACTCTGGCTTGCAGTAAAATACTAAATTTCCAGTTCCTTCTGACATTCCCAAATGCCAACTTCCCCTTCCTAATTCACATTATCAACTATTTGTCCTTTAGTGTACATTTGAAATACTGTATTTTAATTAATCATTTTTTGACAAAGCATGGATGGCATTTTAAAAAAGATTTGTTATCTGTTTGTAAATATTTCCCATGAGAAGAAACCAAAGACTCATCCCCTGATGCTGTATTGTAAAAAATCTCTGTGCCTTTTTTTTTTTTTTTAAATCTTCCCTAGGTACAGAGATCTTATCAGAATATTTTTGGGTCAAGGTTTCCCTTTGGAAACTTTATAAGGTAATGTGTCCTTAGTCACTCTTCAGTTTTTTCCTTGGTCCTGGGTTTCAGTACTTTCTGAGGATAAATCAAAATATCCACTGTGGCTGTGTATGCTAGAATCTCTGGTAAATTTCAGCTCCTGGCCTGGAATGAACTCTGGTTATCTGGGAATGGGAGACAGAGGACAACCTGAGGTTGGAGTGTAGCCTCTCAAGGGAGCAGGTGAATGCCCTGGGGCTGAGAGGAATCTCCTGGTGTACTCTTCCTTTGAAAAGCAAACCCTTTGAGAAGTTAAGATTGTCTTCAAACCAACCCAGTGTCCATTTCCGGAGACATATTGCTGGTCAATCAATCATATGCTGGTATTGAGGGGAGAACACAGAAATAATTTCGGCCCACTGGATTCTCTAAGATTTGTGAAAGAAATGATAGTATCCAAAAAGACAAATCAAACCTTACCCCAGTGAGATGGTTCAAGAACTTGCAAAGTGAAATGTACTTGGGGCAGTCACTGAGGCATAGTGCAGCGTCTTCAGAGAGGGTGGTCTTCAGAGAGGGTGGTCGTTTAGCACTTAAGTGAGCAGGATGGGGTGGGAGAATCTCTCAAGTGATTGGGTGGCTTGACTTGACATGTGAGTGAGATACATCTGTTTTTTAATCAGCACTGCCACTCCCTGGGATTGTCACCCTGAAAAGATTTGTTCACTTACTTCAGTGTTTTAATTGTAACTTGCAGTTTATTAGTAGGACTAAAAGGTAAGAGGATAATTAGAATGGGCATGAAAGAGATGGGTTTTGGAAAAAAATATCTAATCATATATTCTATTTGTTAAGTATTCTCATTTACCTTTTTCTTTCCCAGACTGAGTTTAGGAATTTTCTCAGGTCTGTTTTTTTATGGCTGGGTGATGTCCAAGAGTATTCCAAGGCTTAGCTTTTAGAATGCTACCAAGGAAAAGAATAGGGAAAATACTTCTTCCATTTTGGCTGTGGAAAACGAATACATTTCCGGCGGGGTGCGGTGGCTCATGCCTGAAATCCCAGCACTGTGGGAGGCCAAGGCAGGGAGATCACCTGAGGTCAGGAGTTCTAGACCAGCCTGGCCAACATGGTGAAACCCCATCTCTACTAAAAATACAAAAATTAGAAATTAGCCATGAATGGTGATAGGCACCTGTAATCCCAGCTATTCGGGAGGCTGAGGTGGGAGAATCATTTGAACCCCATAGGCAGAGGTTGCAGTGAGCTGAGATCGTGCGGCTGCACTCCACCTTGGGCGACAGAGCGAGACTCCATCTCAAGAAAAAAGAAAGAAAGAAAATGAATACATTTCCACAAGAAGATGTGGTAGATAATTGGTGAGTTATACAGATTCATGAAAATATCAGTTCCTCCTTTTTCAGGGTACATTTCAGTGAATACCTCTCTTCTGTATCCAGTCATCTTGATTTCTGAGGTTAATGCTAAATTTTTTAAGATGAAACTTGGTCTATCCTAGAAGTGTTCCCATATGACTAATTGTTTACTACATCATTTTTAATGGATATAATAAAATAATTATTTATCGTTTTAAAAGATTACATACTTTTGCATTTGAGATATGTGACGTAAGTGCTTTAAAATTTCCTTCCCTTATATAAACACTGTGTTTGAGTAATTTTGCTGAATTTTTCAGTTTAAAAAACCATTTGAACAACTCCGACATGGAAATTAAAGCTTGCGCCAGTGACTGCAAGCTAAGGCTAATATTGAGCCTACAAAGGGAAGGGAGGTTATTAAAGGCCCAGTTAGTTCTTTCTAGGAAGCCTCCCCTGCGGATGTCGGAGCCTGCTCACCCCAGCCATGGAAGAACCTTTATACTGAGAGAAGCTACAGAGCCCTGGAAAACTGGAGACCCACAGGCAGATGCAGTAAACATTAAGATGGAAGGGGATTGGGAGGGTCATACTCAGGATGAAGTTGTTATTGTTTTGAGGCAGTTTCTAGACTTTGTAAAATAAAACAAAATTAGGTTTATTTTTTAAAAAATTCTAAAATACTGCAACAGAAGGAAGTACCAACTATATAATCTTTAAGGATTGCAAAGTTTAGGCAGATAAAGGCTTTCTTAGGGAGGAGCAAAAAAGATTAGAAGGTGAGAGGGGAATGGCAAATGGAGGGTGTATAAATCAGATTTTATTTTTTATTTTTTAATTAAATTATTTTTTTGAGACAGAGTCTTACTTTGTTGCCCAGGCTGGAGTGCAGTGGCTGGATATCACCTCACTGCAACCTCTGCCTCCTGGGTTCAAGTGACTGTCATGCCACAGCCTCCTGAGAAGCTGGGATTACAGCCGCCCACCACCATGCCGGGCTAATTTTTGTATTTTTACTAGAAATGGGGTTTTGCCATATTGGCCAGGGTGGTCTCAAACTCCTGACCTCAGGTGATCTGCTCTTCTCAGCCTCTCAAAGTGCTGGGATTACAGGCGTGAGCCACCACGCTCAGCCCAAATCAGATTTTAGATTAGAAAATGTTTTACCCTGAAGTCAGCAAGTTTTTAGGAGAAACATAAAATGGGGTTGTATGTTGGCTCAGACTGAGTAGCTCAAAGTTCAGGAGCTGTGGGAAGGAGATAAACTTAACTATATTTTGATTAAGAAGTATTTTATTTGACCGCTGAAGAAAAATTCGGCTATTTTTTTAAATACAAAAAAGAAAATCTTATACATAGTGCTAGCTAGTTATTCCAGTACCATTTTATTAAATAGGGAATTCTGGCCGGGCATGGTGGCTTACGCCTGTAATCCCAGCTCTTTGGGAGGCCAAGGCGGGTGGATCACCTGAGGTCGGGAGTTTGAGACCAGCCTGACCAACATGGAGAAACCCTACAAAAAAAATAGTCGGACATGGTGGCCCATGCCTGTAATCCCAGCTACTCAGGAGGCTGAGACAGGAGAAACGCTTGAACCTGGAGGCGGAGGTTGTGGTGAGCCGAGATTGAGCCATTGCACTCCAGCCTGGGCAACAAGAGTGAAACTCCGACTCAAAAAAAAAAAAAAAAGGAAATTCTTCCTACATTGATCTTGTCAGCTTTTTTGATGATCAGATGGTCAGATGGTTGTAGATGTGTGGCATTATTTCTTGGCTCTATTCTGTTGCATTGTTCTATGAGCCTTTTTTTTTTTTTTTTAATCACTACCATGCTGCTTTGGTTACAGCCTTATAGAATAGTTTCAAGTTGGATAATGTAATGCCCAGCTTTGTTCTTTTTGCTTAGAATTGCCTTGGCTATTCAGGCTCTTTGTTGGTTTCATATGAATTTTAAAATAGTTTTTTTAGTTCTGTTAAGAATGTTTTTGGTAGCTTGATAAGAATGACATTAGATCTGTAAATTTCTTAGGGCAGTATGGCCATTTTAATGATATTGATCTTTTCTTTTCTTTTTTTTTTGAGATAGAGTTTTGCTCTTGTTGCCCAGGCTGGAGTGCAATGGCACGATCTCGGCTCACCGCAACCTCTGCCTCTGGATTCAAGTGATTTCTCCTGCCGCAGCCTCCTGAGTAGCTGGGATTACAGACATGCGCCACCACGCCCAGCTGATTTTATATTTTTAGTAAAGACGGGGTTTCTCCATGTTCAGGCTGGTCTTGAATTCCCAACCTCAGGTGATCTGCCCGCCTCTGCCTCCCAAAGTGCTGGGATTACAGGCTGAGTCATGCCACCCAGCTGATGTTGATCTTTTCTATCCATGAGCATAAAGTAATTTTCAATATATTTGTGTCATATCTGACTTATTTAAGCAGTGTTTTGTAATTCTTGTAGAGATCTTTCACTTGCCTGATCAGCTGTATTCCTGGATGTTTTATTATTTTTGTGGCAATTGTGAATGGGATTGTGTTTTTATTTTTGTTTGTTTATTTGTTTTTTGAGATGGAGTTTCGCTCTTGTTGCCCAGGCTGGAGTGCAATGGTGCAATCTTGGCTCACTGCAACCTCGACCTCCCGGGTTCAAACGATTCTCCTGCCTTAGCCTGCCAAGTAGCTGGGATTACAGGCCTGTGCCACCACGCCTGGCTAATTTTTTGTTTAGGAGAGACGGGGTTTCACCATGTTAGTCAGGCTGGTCTTGAACTCCTGACCTCAGGTGTTAGGCGATCCACCCACCTCGGCCTCCCAAAGTGCTGGGATTTCAGGTGTGAGCCACCAGGCCCAGCCTGGGATTATGTTTTTGATTTGGCTTTTGGCTTGGATGCTGCTGATGTACAGGGATCCTACTAATTTTTGTACATTTATTTTGTATTCTGAAATTTTGCTTCACTTCTTCAGTTTAAAGAACGTTTCTGTGGAGACAGAAAAGAGAAGAACTTTTCTGTGGGTTCTCTAGATATAGAATTATGTTGTCTGTGAACAGGGATAGTTTGACTTTTTCTCTTCTATTGAATACCTTTTATTTTAGTCTCTTGCCTGATTAACTGTGGTGTGGACTACCAATTCTGTGTTGAATAGGAGTGGTGAGAGAAGGCATCCTTGTCTTGTGCCAGTTTTCATGGAGAAATGCTTCCAGTTTGTCCATTCAGTACGTTGGTTGTGGGTTTGTCTTGGATAACTTGTTATTTTGAAATATGTACCTTCAATGCCTAGTTTGTTGAAGGTTTTTAACATGAAAGATGTTAAAATTTTTTTGAAAGCTCCTGCATCTATTAAGATAATCTTGCAGTTTTTATCTTTATTTTTGTTAATGTAACGAATCACATTTATTAATTTGTGTATGTTGAACCAACCTCATATCCCAGAGAAAAAGCCTACTTGATCATAACTGATTAACTTTTTGGTGTGCTGCTGAATTTAATTTGCCAGTATTTTATTGAAGATTTTTGCATATCAATGGTCCTCAAGGATATTTGCATAAAGTTTTCTTTTTATATCTGTGTCAGGTTTTGGTGTCTGAATGATGCTGTTCTTACCTAATGAGTTGAAGGAGGGAGTGTCTTCTCAATTTTTTGGAATAGTTTTAGAAAGAATGGTACCAGCTCTTTTTTTTATACATCTTGTAGAATTTAGCTGTGGATGTCTCTGGTCCTGGGCTTTTTTTGGTTGCTAGGCTATTTATTACTAATTCAGTTCTGTAGTTTGTTATTGTTCTATTCAGAGATTCAATTTCTTTTTTGTTCAGTCCTGGGAGGATGTATTTTTCAGGAATGTACTATTTCTTTTAGATTTTCTAGTTTGTGTGCATGGAAGTGTTCATAGTAGACTTCAATAGTTATTTGTATTTTTCTGGGGTCAGTGGTAATGTCCCTTTTGTCATTTCTAATTGTATTTATTTGAATCTTCATTAATCTTGCTAGTGGGTTATTTAGCTTATTAATTTTTTTAATAGATTTAACTCCTGGATTTCTTGATCTGTTGCATAGTTTTTTATGTCTAAATCTCCTTCAGTACAGCTCTTGTTATTTTTTGCCTTCTGCTAGCTTAGGGGTTTGTTTCCCCTTGCTTCTCTCCTTATTTTATTCATAATGTTAGGTTGTTAAATTGAGATCTTTTTAACTTTTTTATGGGGGCATTTAGTGCTATAAATTTTTCTGTTAGCACTGCATTAGCTGTGTTGCAGAGATTCTGATATGCTGTACTTTGTTCTCATTTGTTTCAAAGAGCTTTTTGATTTTGCCTTAATATTATTATATACCCAAAAGTTATTCAGGTACAGGTTGTTTAATTTCCATGTACTTGTATGGTTTCAAGTGGTTTTCCTTGTATTGAATTATATTTTAATCAATCTGTGGTCTGAGTATGTGGTTGGTATAATTTTGGGATGTTTGAAATTGCTGAGGATTGTTTTATTTTGGATTGCGTGGTCAATTTTAGAGTATGTGCCACATGGTGCTGAGAAGAATATATATTATGTTGTTTTTAGATGGAGAGTTCTGTAGATTTCTAGTAGGGCTATTTGGTTAAGTATTGAGTTTAGTTCTTTTTTAATTTGCTGCCTCAATAATGTGTCTAATAGTGTCTGTGGGGTGTTGTAGTCTCCCACTATTGTATCAGAATCTAAGTCTCTTCATAAATCTCTAAGAACTTGCCTTATTCATGTGCACCTGTGAAAGGAAATTAAATCTTGGGACCCAAAACTCATTAAGCCAAACAGAAAAGTTAAGCTGGGAACGGGGTCACACAAACCTGCCTTCCTCTTTTGGCTCTGTTGACGAAGAGTCAAACTCTGTAAAATATTTTAAGAGATTTATTCTGAGCCAAATATGAGTGACCATGGCCTGTGACACAGCCCTCGGGAGGTCCTGTGATCAGGCCAAGGTGGTCGGGTTACAGCTTGGTTTTATATATTTTAGGGAGACATGAGACATCAATGAAATACATTTAAGAAATACATGGATTTGTCCGAAAGGCAGAACAACTCAAAGTGGCGGCTTCCGGGCTATAGGCAAATTTACACATTTTCCGGTTGACAGTTGGTTGAGTATATCTGAAGACCTCGGATCAATAGAAAGAAAATGTTCAGGTTAAGATAAAGGATTGTGGAGACCAAGTTTTATTGTGGAGAGGAATCTCAGATAGCAGACTTCAGAGACAGCAGGTTGTAAAAATGTTTCTTCTTACTGGACTTAAAAAGGTGCCTGGCTCTTAGTTGATTGATTATCTCCTGGATCTGGAATGTAAGGAAGGAAAACAAAAGAGGAAAGGGGATTGTCTATAGAATGTACATTTTTCCCACAAGAGACTTTTGCAGGGCAATTTCAAGGCATGGCAAGAAAATATATTTTGGTGTTAAATATTTTGATTTTTTTTTTCTTGTCTCATAATGTTACGCCAGAGTCAGATTGGAAAGTAAGTCACGATCTATAGGGTCAAATAAAACCCATCTGATGAGAATTTATGGTTTGTAGGGCATGACCCCTTACAAACAATTAGATAGAAATTTGGGCAAGATAAAAAATTCAGAGCTTAGTCCTCAGTTCCTAAATAAGATGGCTACAAGAAGAAAAGCTACATACCTCCCCCATCTTTTGCCCACAAGAAAATTTCTAGTGAGCCGCAAGATCTTTACCCTAAGGTGTTTCTGTTAAAATGTAAACTGATAGCTTATCTTTACAGATACAGTCACCCCCCTGCCCAACAGACACAAATGCATATCTGATTGTTCCCCTGCCTCGTTTTGTCTTGTCTTATGTTAAAAAAAAAAAATGCAGATTCACTGAGCCAGACAATGGCATGAGTGACTATTTTTCCCTACCCCCCTCTTACATAACAATTGTGTACTTCTCAATATCTCACTGTAGGAGAAAATATAAATTAGAAATAAGAGGGTTTATTCTCCTGCATGAAAATAAGGGAGGATATTTTGTTAATTTATTTTTCTTTAAAGCACTTAAATTATATGTAGATTTTTTTCTTTGTTGTTTGAAAGATATGTAAATCATATTAACAGCTAAATCTTTTGTCATTGTTTTTGACTCAGGATTGTCTTTATCTAGGACCTCAGATTCATTGCTTTGTTTTTGCTTTGGCAAAGGTTTTTTTTTTTTTTTTTTCATTTAATCTGTATCTTTTAAGGTAGACACAGATTTGTTTAGATTAAAGCTCATTTTAAGAGCACACAAAAGTTGAGCACAAAGATAGGATTACATTTAGCAATACAGAATGATGAAGACTAAAAGATACCAAGTAAGCTCCTTTGACAGAAAACAGATTATCCAAGGTAATTATTTAATATTTGCAGGCTGAAGTACTTACATTGCAAAAGCGAGGTTCAGTGTATGAACTGAACAGTGGAGTCTGTGGTTGTGCTTTGGTTTCTGCTTATTACTTCAGAACAATTAGCATAGTTATGTGTAGTGTTTGTAGACAAACTGCATTCATATAAATTAAGCAGTATTTTATACAGTAGTGTGAATATAACACCACAATATTTGCTTTGAATGAATCCCTTAGTAATTTCAATATTTTTATATTCATACATTTGGAATATAAAGTGTTTTAATTGGATTATGGTTACAGACAATTTTTAAAAATCCTATGTACATTATAAATAGTACATTAAAATTATACTAAGTGTATCTAATCAAAAAAGTTACTATCAAATTATTACAGTAGATATTAGTATAACATGGTTACTAATTTATCCAATAGAGATAATTATAGGTAAGCATAACTTCAGTGTCTTTCGTTTCACTAAATTGGAATGCTGCTGTTACAGGAAAAATAAACAAGGGTGATGTGGCCACCCAAAAACCGTAATAGCTCTTCACTTACCCATGATGCAAGCTCAAATATATTCCACTATATTAACAAAGTCATATTCCAATTCTTCATTAAAAAGTTCTGGTGGGGATAAGGGAGGAGACCACCCCTCATACTGTCTCATGCCCAATTTCTGCCTCCAAAGAAAGAAGTAAAAACTAAAAGGCAGAAATGAAATCCACAGGCAGACAGCCCGGCGCCACACCGTGGGCCTGGTAGTTAAAGATTGACCCCTGACCTAATTGGCTATGTTATCTATAGATCACAGACATTGTATAGAAAAGCACTGTGAAAATCCCTGTCCTGTTCTGTTCCGTTCTAATTACCGGTGCATGCAGCCCCCAGTCATGTACCCCCTGCTTGCTCAATTGATCACAGCCTTCTCATGTGGACCCCCTTGGAGTTGTGAGCCCTTAAAAGGGACAGGAATTGCTTACTCGGGGAGCTCAGTTGTTTGGAGTTGTGAGTCTTGCTGAAGCTCCCGGCTGAATAAAGCCCTTCCTTCTTTAACTCAGTGTCTGAGGGGTTTTTGTCTGCAGCTTGTCCTGCTACAGGGAGAGGCGGAGGTGGGTGGATCATTGCAGTCAGGAGTTCAAGACCAGCCTGGCCAACATGGTGAAACCCCATCTCTACTAAAAATATAAAATAAGCCAGGTGTGGTGGCACATGCCTGTAATCCCAGCTACTCCAGAGGCTGAGGCACAAGAATCACATGAACTCAGGAGGCAGAGGCTTTAGTGAGCTGAGATCGTGCCACTGCACTCCAGCCTGGGTGACAGAGTGAGACTCTGTCTCAAAAGAAAATGTTCTGGTGAAAACTGTCAGAGGCATTCCATTATAGATCCTCTCATTTAATGGCTAGGAGATGAGAGCGGCAGAGATGGAAGAGAAACCTATTAAATTCTGCTGAGAATCTGCTCCCTTTCTTCATAACACCCGTGTTTCTCATGTCGAGAGTAGCGGTGCACTTTGGGTGTTTAAAAAAAATTCTTTGAGACCCTATTTCTATCCCATGGTGTCTGTGAATGAGGTGGGCTGTCACAGGAGAACTCTTGGAGCTATCCCTATCTGGACTCATGCTGAAAATCCAGCAGTATTTTTTCCATGTCACCACTATAAATAGAAACTGATGGCCGGGCGCAGTGGCTCACACCTATAATCCCAGCACTTTGGGAGGCCGAGGTGGGTGGATCACGAGGTCAGGGGTTCAAGACCAGCCTGACCAACATGGTGAAACCCCGTCTCCACCAAAAATACAAAAAAATTAGCTGGGCGTGGTGGCAGGTGCCTGTAATCTCAGCTACTCAGGAGGCTGAGCCAGGAGAATTGCTTGAACCCGGAAGGTGGAGGTTGCAGTGAGCTGAGATTGCGCCACTGCACTCCAGCCTGGGCGACAGAGCAAGACTCTGTCTCAAAAAAACAAAACAAAAAAAAAAACTGAGGCTGAAACAGTGCTCCTATTTCCATTACTGTGAAGGTGCAATTCTACCTAGGAGTCCTGCAGGCTCCTCCTGCAGTTCAGGCCTCACTCCGATGTGGCACTGGAGTGCTGCTGTGGCAATTGGGATTCATGTAAGATGTAATCTGCCAGCTGTGAGCCCTGTGCTGTGGGCTGTGTCTCAAGGGAAGATGGTAAAAGTCAAGAGAGGACACCAGCCACTAGGAGAGGGCAAGCAGGAGTGCTGTAGCCCAGTGCTCAGGGCGTAGCATAGCCATAAAGTAAATAGCCATAAAGATAGCACCCTCTTCAACCATTTCTATAGGAGAGTGAGAGCCTACCTTCAGCAGGCACCTGGCTTCAAGTTGCAAAATTACCTCTTGTCATGAAGATGTGAAAAGTTTATTTTGTCGTTGGTTATAACCAATTAACACACATGGATGGCCTCCCCAATTACCAGGTGAATTTAGGATGAACTACATATGACATGGTGTTGTAAATTCTACTTGTGGATTAATTATGGTGACCATCTTTCTGTCTTTGCAATCTCTTAAACAGATTGAGTGTGATGCATGTCACATTTGGTTGAATTGTGTAATAAAACAGCTTTCTTTCTGTTCTGTCATTGTGGAGTTATTCTGGTGCTGGAGAACTCTTTTCTTTTAATTATATTTTCCAATCACTGTAGAATAACCACATATAATATAAACATACAGGGTGCCAACCAAGCTTTAATCTAGAGGGGCCTTTCTCAGGCTTCCAGTCAACTCACGGTTGTGCTGCAAAGTGCATGCTGTCCCCTAAATATGCAGGCAGAATTGTGTCTCTGCCTATTTTGTATCTATAGTACTCTATAGTTAACATTTAGAGAGGCTAGACCTGATTTCTAAATACTTCATAGGACAGCAATCAACCATTTTACCTCTTTCAATGACTCTTTAGACCAGAAACTGATTCAGAGACCATGGGGCCCAGAAACCCAATCAGAGTAGCATGTGCACTGAGTAGACATGCAGGCATGAGAATCTCCCCTTTCCCTTTCCTCCTCCTCTTACAATGCCCACAATGTACAGATGACACCTGCTGCTACTCCACCCATCCAGTACCTAAATTTGCAGCTCCAAACTCTGAATCTAGGTATTGAGATTTGGGGAAAACAAACAAACATTTATTTGAGAAATGCAAATTCTTTTAGTTACAAGGCTCAAAGAGACATTAAAATGAGACCACAATTATGTCTTTATCCCTTCTTTGAGCTGTGTATTTATTTCTTGAAACTGCTTGCTATTTCTACAAGTAGCTAAAAATTAAACTAATAATGACACACTGGACACTATAACCCATGCCCTATAGCTTAACAATGTATATCCAATTAGTAATGTTATTTTTTGTAAATAAGAATTTCTGGCAACCTTTTATCAGCCCACTCTGTTGTTGGGAACAGGCTCCCCAAAATCTGGCCATAAACTGGCCCCAAAAACTGGCCATAAGCAAAATCTCTGCAGCACTGTGACATGTTCATGATGGCCATAAAACCCACACTGGAAGGTTGTGGGTTTACCGGAATAAGGGCAAGGCACACCTGGCCCACCCAGGGTGGAAAACCACTTAAAGGTGTTCTTAAACCACAAACAATAGCATGAGCGATCTGTGACTTAAGGACATGCTCCTGCTGCAGATAACAAGCCAAACCCATCCTTAATCTGATATCTATAGAAACAATGCTAATGACTGGCTTGCTGTTAATGAATACGTGGGTAAATCTCTGTTCAGGGCTCTCAGCTCTGAAGGCTGTGAGACCCCTGATTTCCCACTTCATGCCTCTATATTTCTGTGCATGTGTCTTTAATTCCTCTAGTGCCCCTGGGTTAGGGTCTCCACAACCTAGCTGGTCTGGGCACTCTGTCCCTCTTTTTGCCTTTACAAATCCACTTATAACTGCTGCTAATCAAAGCGCAGATTTCAGGCAACTTGAATCTTTGCTTCCAGGTTACAATTCTCAAACTTGCTCCAAATGAACTGTCTACTTATATTCATGTTGCCTCAGCTCTTTCATTTTAGGTAGACGTATCACTTAGAATGTGCTAGAGCAGGCTGTATGAGGGGATCTCTCCTTTGGTTGTACTTTGCCTCCTGTAACAGTCAAGAATGCAGAGCCAGGTTGATTCAATCTAGAATCTACACAGAAGGTGTAAATCTCTGCCTGAGATTTACAAAGCAGGGCCAGACTTTGGATTCAGAATGTACAGAAAACCAACAGGAGGCATTTTCTGCGTTGTGAGATGTCAACATAGACATCTTAAAGCCCCGCTTTGGGAGTGTGGCTCTTTGAGCTTTTCAGATCTTGTTCAGTGATCTGCTACAGTAATGTAAGATGCTCTTGTGTAAATAGAATCTGATGGCAGAATCTGTAAGTGTAAACAAGCATCTTAGGAGTGACAGATCAAGGTCACAAGGTATCCACAGCCATGACCACAACTGTACCTACCCATAAAATGTGATACTGGAGTAGAGTATTCTTGTCTTTCATTTTACGCAAGAGCTAGCCAATCAAGACAGGTGATCCAGGTTCTGGAGCTCCGCTAGGGCAGTTTCATTTTTTATTTAGAATCAGCCTGTCCCACTCCTGCTTGGCTTATCCTTAAGCAATCAGCCTAGGGTCACTGGGAATCCTCTCACAATCACCTAGGCATCTCTGAGACATTTGAGGATGTCCAGGGATGAACTGTGTCAGGCTGACAAGAGTGGTTAATTCTGCGTCTGTCTCAGTGTAAGAGAAATGAGTCATCCTGTGTTTGTTCCTCCCCTCATACAAGAGATGTCTTTGGTTGGTACCCAGATGAGAGTTTCTTCAGTTTCCTGGTACTTGGATGAAAAACAAGGAGGTGGTCTGGAGACCCAAAGGGATAAACTAATTGCTTGCATTTCCTATGGCCATTAGAAAAATAGATGAAGCAGTCATGATCCCTACCATCCAGGAACTGTTAGTCTTGACTAGCAACTGAATACATGGTTGAATTAAGCATCATATGGTTGGCATAATAAATAGATGTGGGCAAAAAAAGTGTACTTTATTTGGGCCACTTTATATTTTTGTAACTTACGAGGTCATTTCTATGGATATTTATGGACACAACAGTTGCTATTAGTATTTCTGTTTCTTTTTTTTTTAAATTTATTTATTTTTTATTGATAATTCTTGGGTGTTTCTCACAGAGGGGGATTTGGCAGGGTCATAGGACAATAGTGGAGGGAAGGTCAGCAGATAAACAAGTGAACAAAGGTCTCTGGTTTTCCTAGGCAGAGGACCCTGCGGCCTTCCGCAGTGTTTGTGTCCCTGGGTACTTGAGATTAGGGAGTGGTGATGACTCTTAGCTGCCTTCAAGCATCTGTTTAACAAAGCACATCTTGCACCGCCCTTAATCCATTTAACCCTGAGTGGACACAGCACATGTTTCAGAGAGCACAGGGTTGGGGGTAAGGTCACAGATCAACAGGATCCCAAGGCAGAAGAATTTTTCTTAGTACAGAACAAAATGAAAAGTCTCCCATGTCTACTTCTTTCTACACAGACACGGCAACCATCCGATTTCTCAATCTTTTCCCCACCTTTCCCGCCTTTCTATTCCACAAAGCCGCCATTGTCATCCTGGCCCGTTCTCAATGAGCTGTTGGGCACACCTCCCAGACGGGGTGGTGGCCGGGCAGAGGGGCTCCTCACTTCCCAGTAGGGGCGGCCGGGCAGAGGCGCCCCTCACCTCCCGGGTGGGGCAGCTGGCCGGGCGGGGGGCTGACCCCCCCACCTCCCTCCCGGGTGGGGCGGCTGGCCGGGTGGGGGGCTGACCCCCCCACCTCCCTCCCGGACGGGGCGGCTGGAGGGGCGGGGGGCTGACCCCCCCCCACCTCCCTCCCGGACGGGGCGGCTGGCCTGGCAGAGGGGCTCCTCACTTCCCAGTAGGGGCAGCCGGTTAGAGGCGCCCCTCACCTCCCGGACGGGGCAGCTGGGCCGGGTTGGGGGCTAACCCCCTGAACCTCCCTCCCGGATGGGGCGGCTGGCCGGGCGGGGGGCTGACCCCCCCCACCTCCCTCCCAGGATGGGGCGGCTGGCCGGGCAGGGGGCTGACCCCCCCCACCTCCCTCCCAGATGGGGCGGCTGGCCTGGCGGGGGGCTGACCCCCCCCACACCTCCCTCCCAGACGGGGTGGCTGCCGGGCGGAGACGCTCCTCACTTCCCAGATGGGGCTGCTGCCGGGCGGAGGGGCTCCTCACTTCTCAGACGGGGCGGTTGCCGGGCAGAGGGTCTCCTCACTTCTCAGACGGGGCGGCCGGGCAGAGATGCTCCTCACCTCCCAGACGGGGTCGCGGCCGGGCAGAGGTGCTCCTCACATCCCAGACGGGGCGGCGGGGCAGAGGCGCTCCCCACATCTCAGACGATAGGCGGCCGGGCAGAGACGCTCCTCACTTCCTAGATGTGATGGCAGCCAGGAAGAGGTGCTCCTCACTTCCTAGGTGGGATGGCGGCCGGGCGGAGACGCTCCTCACTTTCCAGACTGGGCAGCCAGGCAGAGGGGCTCCTCACATCCCAGATGATGGGCGGCCAGGCAGAGATGCTCCTCACTTCCCAGACAGGGTGGCGGCCGGGCAGAGGCTGCAATCTCGGCACTTTGGGAGGCCAAGGCAGGCGGCTGGGAGGTGGAGGTTGTAGCGAGCCCAGATCACGCCACTGCACTCCAGCCTGGGCACCATTGAGCACTGAGTGAACGAGACTCCGTCTGCAATCCCGGCACCTTGGGAGGCCGAGGCTGGTGGATCACTTGCGGTTAGGGGCTGGAGACTGGCCTGGCCGACACAGCGAAACCCCGTCTCCACCAAAACCAGTCAGGCGTGGTGGCGCGAGCCTGCAATCGCAGGCACTCGGCAGGCTGAGTCAGGAAAATCAGGCAGAGAGGTTGCAGTGAGCCGAGATGGCAGCAGTACAGTCCAGCTTCGGCTCAGCATGAGAGGGAGACCGTGGGGAGAGGGAGAGGGAGAGGGGGAGGGGGAGAGGGAGAGCGTATTTCTGTTTCTTATGCCTTGCTAAGAATACTTATTTGGCTTCCAATAAAATTACTCTAGAAAACCCTAAGAGATTTGTTTAAATTGCTTATTAGTATATGTTATAAAATTGACAGGGCAGTGACTAAAAAAGATTAGAAGTTCACAAACTGTGGGATTTAATTTTCTTTTGGGTAAGCTTAGCAAAAACAATAGGAAATACCCCAGTGGCATAGAGAGCAGAATTCTACATAGGGTACACTCCCTGCCCCAGCCTTGTTCAAATTTACTGTTTTTGGAGGCCTTATTTAGGTCTGGCCCCACCCTGGAGTCTTGCCTCACAGAACTGATTAGAAGAGATGAGAGTACTGGGTGGTGAATCCTGCAGCCTTTCTAGAGCCAGTGCTCACGGTATTCTGAAACCTAAAAGCAGATAAATGGAAAAAATAAAGTATGTATTTTAGGGTCTTAATTTTTAGTTTTTTTATTAAAACCAGTGCTTGCAGAGACATTCCATTTACCAACCTGTTTTCTATTCTTGGAGATGTTGTTGCTCTGCAAGTCAGAAAAAAGTAAATATAAACACAATAAAAATTTCTCTAAGCTGCATTAAAGTTTTTCTTTCTGTATCCCTCTCCTCTGTCTATATTTAGCTTTAATTCTATACATTTTTTAAAAAAATCAGTGACAGAGAAACAAAAGAAATAAAAATGCTGGGCCCTTTTTCTAAATCCAGGGAATTATTAAACACTTAATACCAGCTCCCAAGGTGCTATGAGGATTAAATCATGTAATGTGTTATTCCCAGCAAAGTGCTCTGTAACAGTCCCTTCAGCACATAGTACCTGCTTAATAATCATTGCATTAGTACATGTGAAAATGTTATTTTTCTTTTCTTTTTTCTTGAGACAGAGTGTTGCTGTTGTCGTCTAGGCTGGAGTGCAATGGTGGGATCTCGACTTACTGCAACCTCTTCCTCCTAAGTTCAAGTGATTCTCCTACCTCGGCCTCCTGAGTAGCTGGGATTACAGGCACCCGCCACCATGCCCAACTAATTTTTGTATTTTTATTAGAGACAGGGTTTCACCATGTTGGCCAGGTTGGTCTTGAACTCCTGACCTCAGGTGATCCACCTGTTTTGGACCCCCAAAGTGCCCGGCCTGTTTTTCAAATGCAGATTTATTCAGACATAGCTGCCTTCTGTTTGTTCTGTAAACTTAAAAGAGCCAGCAAAAAATATGAAAATTGATTATCTTCATTTGTCCTAGAAGTATTTGTATTTTGACAAGAGTGCTGAGTGTAAGGAACTCTGCTGTGTCTGCTTTCTCTAACTAATGCTAATAATGAGCCCAAGGGGAGCAACATCAGCTTTGACAGGAGACTTGTTTAAAACTCCCATTCATGAACCCTTTCCAAACCTGCAGTATCACATTACATAGGGTGAGTCCAAAATCACCAAGTGATGTATAAACTCATTAAAGCTTGAGAGGTAATGCTTAGCTAAATGGTTATTAGCCCAGACTTCTAATTAGGATTACATGGCCAATTTGCAGTAATCTTTTTACTTATACCCTTTCCACATGTTCTGTTTATTATTCTGGGTGGAAGCATTCATGTTGTTTTAATTAAGTTCCTCCTGTGACTCTCAGGTGAGGACAGAATCAAGTAAGAGGGGTTCAAGATACACTCATGAGAGTTAAGTGGGTTTTTTTTTTTTTTGAGACCCAGTCTTGCTCTGTCTGCCAGGCTAGAATGCAGTGGCATGATCTTGGCTCAATTCAGCCTTCACCTCCTGGGTTCAAGTGATTCTCCTGCTTCAGCCTTTTGAGTACCTGGGACTACAGGTATTCACCACACGCCCGGCTAATTTTTTTTTTGCATTTTTCTAGAGAAGGTTTCGCCATGTTGGCCAGGATGGTCTTGAAATCCTGGCCTCAAGTAATCCAGCAGCCTCTGCCTCCCAAAGTGTTGGGATTACAGGTGTGATCCACTGTGCCCAGCCTGAGAGTTAAGTTTTACCTTTTCACTAAAGGGTGGTCACAGGACTGGTTCTATTTGGATTTGATGGGGACAGAGCAGTGTGGCCCATATTTCCATTACTGTAGTAGAAATTGCAGAGAAGAGCACCTGAGGACAGGAAAGGAGAAACTTGTATTATTATTTCCATAGAGCAGCTTATTGTTCTGAGTCTCTTCTGTTATAAAGGAAAGAAATGAGTGAACTTTTTCTGTAGGTCTTGGTTCTTTGGCCAAGTGTGACTGTGGTGGTAGCAGGTAAACAGGTGGTGCTGACACCTTTAAAGGCATAAACTGAAGATGCAGGTGTAATTTGTCCAGAGAATCTCATCTGAGAAGGAATACCAGAGAAGAAGGAGAAAGGGGAAAAAAATTGCCTTTTTTTTTTTTTTTTTTAGCTTAACATGTCTCAAATCGAGAACTGTGTCCACTCTTCCTCCTGGAATGCCATGCGTTTAGTACCTGTAAACCTTTACTTCTCTAATTGTGTTGTTTCTCCCTAATAGGTTTGTTTTAACTACTTTTAAAAATTCTTATGATAGTCAAGGGTCTCTGAAAAAAAATGTTTTTTCCTGCATACCAGAGCCTTCCCTACATTCTCTACATCATGCTGTCTTACAGGCCATATAGAATTCTCATGAATTTATAACCTGCAACATTAAAAATGTTCCATTTGTGGAAAGATGTGAATACTCAAGGTTTCTGTTGGGGGAAAGCTGGGGTCCTTAGTAAAGAAGGAGAACATGTAATCTTGAAGTTTCATCTGTGTTCTCCATTGGTTCTATGCAGAACAGGATTAATAAAATGCTGTTTTAAACAGAATGGCACTCGTTACCCAGAAAGTTCTGAAAAAAATTATTAAGAGATCCCTGCTCTTTGGGGTGCTAAAGAAAGACTACTTAAAATCACTATTAGAAATTACAGAACATGAATTACCTGTATCTTAAAGTTTGCATAAAAATGATTTTTTTTTTTTTTTTTAATGGAGTCTCGCGCTGTCGCCCAGGCTGGAGTGCAGTGGCGGGATCTCCGCTCACTGCAAGCTCTGCCTCCCGGGTTGACGCCATTCTCCTGCCTCAGCCTCCCCAGTAGCTGGGACTACAGGTGCCCGCCACCACGCCCGGCTAATTTTTTTGTATTTTTAGTAGAGACGGGGTTTCACTGTGTTAGCCAGGATGGTGTCGATCTCCTGACCTCGTGATCCGCCTGCCTCGGCCTCCCAAAGTGCTGGGATTACAGGCGTGAGTCACCCCGCCTGGCCAAATGATTTTTTTTTATGGTTACATTCAGACTACAATTTACTTTTGGGGGCAGTATTGCAGCAGTGATGCCGTGTTTTTCTGTGTGCATCAACACCGCATAAAATTTGTCTTAGTGCAGTTGATGTTAATGATTCACTTGGTTAAAGAGCTCTTGGACAGATTTCTTTACTATAGAGTTACTTATTTTTCTCTGCATTATTAAGTATCTTTATGCTGCTGATGTGGATAAACCATCACATTTAATCTGGCAGCTGCCTTTCTATCTTAGGTTTCCTTTGCATATATCTGTCTTTGGAAAATCAAGGCTCTCATCTTTGTTTACAGGCCAGAAAAACTGGGAAAATCACAGGCTCTTCCACTTACTGGATATTTAACAAGATATTCTTCTTGAGCCAAAAACATTGACATTAGCGGTGAGCTTGTTAGAAATTTAGAATATCAGACTTTATTCCATATCTTCAGAAAAAATAATCTGCATTAACCAGATCTCGAGTTTATTGTACACATTAAAACTTGAGAGGTACCTTTTAACTCAACGTGCCTTTTCCATCTGAAAAATACACACAACTTATTCTGTATGATGCACATATAGCACTCAGAAATGGACATGTTTGTGTTTATGCCCTTAATTTTATACTTTATCATCCAGAAGAGTACCATGTGTATGCTGATTCTGTGGATCTTATGCCACTTTCTTTTCTCAGGGCAAGAAGTACATTAGAAAATATTTCTGTTAAAAATTATTTTATGGGCTGGTCCTGGTGGCTCACACCTGTAATCCCAGCACTTTGGGAGGCCGAGGAGGGTGGATCACGAGGTCAGGAGTTCGAGACCAGCCTGGCCAACATAGTGAAGCCCCGTTTCTACTACAAATACAAAAAATTAACTAGACTTGGTGGTGGGCACCTGTAATCCCAGCTACTCGGGATGCTGAGGCAGAATTGCTTGAACCTGGGAGGCAGAGGTTGCAGTGAGCCAAGATTGCACCATTGCACTCCAGCGTGGGCAACAGAGTGAGACTCTGTCTCAAAAAAAAAAAATTATTTTATGAATAATTTCAGTCACTCCTGTAAGACATAATCAGTTTTCCTTACTGTCTTATTTTACCTTGAGTCAAATTTAAAATTCTGCCCATGGCTACTTGGTTAATGTGTGTGTGTGTTTGTGTGTGCGTGTTTTTCAGGGACCACTGACATTTATGGATGTGGCCATAGAGTTCTCTTTGGAGGAGTGGCAGTGCCTGGACACTGCACAGCGGAATGTATATAGGCATGTGATGTTAGAGAACTACAGAAACCTGGTTTTCTTGGGTGAGAATAACTTCAGTACACATTTCCTAATATATCCTAAAGGTTTCATTTTTTTTTTTTTTTGGGTAGAATGTCTTTTGGTAATTTATGCTTTGCATAAATGAGTTTCAGATTCCTGTTTTCAAAAGAATCTTTGAGATTTGTCAGTGTAGAAAACAATTTCTTTAAGATGTTTCATCTTGACCTGAACTTTCCACATTTCTGAGCTGATATGTATCCTTCACTCTAGATTAGTGGTAATTCCAGAAATTTATTGGCGTAAAGTGTTGTTGCCCACACCTAAATCTAACTCCCAACACCAATTATTTTGAATCAATAGTACTGGGTAGTGAAATTAAGAATTTACAAATTTAAAATATTTTCTAAATATTTAGAATTTTCTGTTATATATTAGCATTTTGGGATTAATTTACTAGAATATTCTATTACATTCTCTTTACTGAGCACATTACTAGGTTGGTAATTGGAGAATATGAGCCAGAGTCATGTTACTTATTTTTAATAAAACAAGTATTGCTATCTCTAAGCCAGACCTGATTACCTGTCTGGAACAAGGAAAAGAGCCCTGGAATATGAAGAGACATGAGATGGTGGTAGCCAAACATTCAGGTAGGTGAGAGTGAATACACAGATGGCACAGATGAGAGGTCAAAGGCCAAGGAGAAGACCACTCCTTTAAATGTGATTTGGAAATCTGTATTCCAAAGGAAATAGTTTCTGGAAAGCCTGAGTTTTTTATTTTGCTCTTACATAAGACATCTTCTGTCTTATGTTTTTAAATTCTCTAAGAATTCTACTTTCCCTTTGGTGATCTTTCTTCAAGTTCACAGTGAGAGCCAACGTCCTTTTCATGGCATATAAAAGACTGCACAATCTGACTGCTTTTTTATTGTTTTTAAGGACACGCAAATATCTGCATAATTTTGAGAAACTCTATGTTAAACTATATTTTAAGTTCTCTTTTTGCATCGTATCTGAAATGTGTGAGTAGTGGTTTCTGTTCCATTGTGGTTTTTTTGTTCATTTTTCTGCATATTCCATTCTGTTTTTATTATAGTTTTAAAATGTAGTTTGAAATTATGAAATATGATGTCCCTCTACTTTGTTCTTTTTCCTCAAGATTGCTTTGGCTATTCAAAGTTTATTGTAGTTTCATGTAAATTTTAGAATTGTATTTTTTATTACTGTGACAAAAATGTCACTGGAATTTTGATATGGAGTATATTGAATTTGTAGATCACTTTGGATAACATGGCACTTTAACAAAATTTATTTTTTGAATCCATATAAATAAAATATTTTTAAATTTATTTGTATCATCTCATTTTTTTATTGATATGTTACATTGTAAAAATTTTTTACCTCTTTGGTTAAATTTGTTCTCAGAAGTTTATTATTGTAATGCTATTGTAAAGATTGTTTTCTTTCTCTATTTTATCAGATAATTTGTTTTAAGTATATGGAACCATAATTTATACTTGTATGTTAATTTTATATTTCGGTAATTTACTGAGTATATTTATCAGTATTGACATGTTTTAATGTACTTTTTGTTTTTTAATATATTAGATCACATGGTCTACAACCAGCAACGTTTTACTTGTCTTCAATGGCATTTTTTTTTCATATTTTAAACTAATTCTTTTGCCACATACTTTCAATGCTATGTTAAAATAGAAGTATTGACAATGACACAATATAGTTTTGCATTGGTGCTTGTGATTTTGAAGGAGCAAACACCTCTTCACGTTTTTATATCCTGGTTTCAGGAGGTAAAGATCTTTTGTTGGCCCCCAGGTGATGGGATGCCCTCTGGGTTTGTAATGGAGAGGGGTGTCGCTTGGTCACAAGGCTGCTGGGCCTGCACTAGGGCCCACCTTTACTGGCTTGTTACAACGGGCTTGGGCTGTTGTAATTCCCATTTTATTTTTGGACAGATTAAATATCCTTCAGCACTTTGCTCTGTAGGGCAGCCACTAGGGCAGGTTTTTGCAGTTTGGTCTGCATATGGTGGGCCTTATATCAGGATATGGATGAGTATGGCTTTCACTGAGTACCAGAGAGGATTTTTCCAGGTCACTGTGTGGGTTTCTATGTAGGCAGAACTGGCCATGAACTGTGGCTAAGGGAACTAGAACTGAGTCATTGAAATGCTTCAGGGACCACAGTAAAGGGCAAGGTCTGCAGGCCTGCCTGCATGGCGGTAAATGCGTGTCTTCCTTCCTGCAGGCCTCTGGAAGAGCAGGACCTCTCCCAGACTGTGATTGGGAGGAGTTTGGGATGGTTACAGAGTAAGTTCAGAATTCTCAGTGGGACCAAGTTGGGTGGGCCATTTCTTGGTATGTAGCCAAGAACGGGAATCTTGCAGTTTGCCACCTGAATGAGGGTCTGCTTTCTGAAGAGAACACTCCTCCATCTGGGGTTTAGCAGTTTCACAACTCCCTCCCTGGATCTCAGAGCTCTCTTAAAAACACTTATTTTTGACATGGGGTCTTGCTACATAACCCAAGCTGGTCTTGAAATCCTGGCCCGAAGCAATTCTCCAATGTGAATGTACCATGTAGCTGTCATTACAGGTGTGAGCCATGATGCCTCGCTCTCTGATAAAGGAATTTTTGTCAGGGATGGCTGATAAATCTTTTTGCTGTTGGGGCATAAAAAAATAGGGCATCTTTTATATTTCCATTTTACCGATATAACTCTTCATATACGTTTTTATTTTTTATTTTCTATTTCATATTTATCTGTAATTTTAGATTCAGACATTTAGAACAGTATGCTAGAATTTATAAGTTATGCTGGAAGTAAATTAGTTAATTAGTAGGCACTCCATATTTACTAAAATAGTTACTTATACATTTAAGTTTGCTGTAGGTAAAGAGGAATTACAGGATTTTCACTTACTTTCTTCAGCCTGTATCTTAATAATAACATTATTTATTATTATTATTATTTTTTTTTTTTTTTGAGACCGAGTCTCACTCTGCACCCAGGCTGGAGTGCAGCAGTACAATCTTGGCTTACTGCAACCTCTGTCTCCCAGGTTCTCCTTCCTCAGCCTCCCAAGTAGCTGGGATAACAGGCATGCACCACCACACCCAGCTAATTTTGTTGTATTTTTAGTAAAGATAGGGTTTCACCATGCTGGCCAGGCTAGTCTTGAACTCCTGATCTCAAGTAGTCCCCCCACCTCGGCCTCCCAATGTGCTGGGATTACAGGTGCGATCCACCACGCCCAGCCTGAATATTTCTTTTATATAAGCAGAGGCTCTAACTATATTTTACAAAGTATATGTATATTTCTTTATTTAGCAATGTAAGGGTGTTCTTTGCTTCCACAGTTGGATTACAGCAGTTTCATTTGTGTAGGAGCAGCATATATTTAAAATATCAAAATTATGTATAGTTTCTTTAAATGCTTGTTGAGCCGGATGTGGTGGCTCACGCCTGTAATCCCAGCACTTTGGGAGGCTGAGGTGGGCAGATCACGAGGCCAGGAGTTCGAGACCAGCCTGGCCAACATGGTGAAACACTGTCTGTACTAAAAATACAAAAATTAGCTGCGCATGGTGTCGCATGCCTGTAATCCCAGCTACTCAGGAGGCTGAGGCAGGAGAATCACTTGAACCTGGGAGGCAGAGGTTGTGGTGAGCCGAGATCATGCCTCTGCACTTTAGCCTGGGTGACAGAGCGAGACTCCATCTAAAAAAAAAAAAAAAAGTGCTTATTGAAAATTTCTCATTACAATCTTCTATTCATGGTTATGCTGCATTTCCTCTGAAATTTTACTGCCATACAGTGGATGGCACTAATTCAAAATACCTGCCTTCCATGAGTACACAGTCAAATATTGCAGTTATCTGGACAAATTCTTTCTTAATGTTACACCAATATTACAAGCCAGATTTTATGAGTAAACATGTCTCTTATTATTGTTTTGTAGTTCTGTATTAGTGTGTTTTTTCAGTGTAGGTTGCTTAATATTAGTTTATTGTAATTTTTTTGTTTTACTTACATATTATTATTTAAGACATTTTGCAATTGTTTGTACACTTTAAGTCAATGTGGGGTTTAATAGATAAATCAGGAACATGTCTGTCACAATCAGATTATGTATGTATGTGTTTTATTTACAAATATGACCCCTATTTTGGTTATGGCTTATCTTGTTTATATTCATTCTTAGCTGATTTTCAATGGTCGTTTTATTTTGTGTAAGTGAGTAATCATGGAAATAGTCTTATTTTTACCATGAGTTTTATAATGAATATATATTTCCTTGTGTGAGAGAAACACTTTTGTGGTTTCAGGGTAATTTTTTTTTTTTTTTTTCCATTTTTGGAGATTGAGTCTTGCTCTTTTGCCCGGGTTGGAGTGCAGTGGAAGGATCTTGGCTCACTGCAACCTCCACCTTTTAGGCTCAAGTGATTCTCCTGCCTCAGTCTCCTCAGTGGCTAGGATTACAGGTGGCCGCCACCATGCCTGGATATTTTGTTGTATTTTTAGGAGAGATGGGGTTTCACCATGTTGCCCAGGGTGATCTCAAACTCCTCAGCTCAGGCAATCTGCCCGCCTCATCTTCCCAAAGTGCTAGGATTACAAGCGGCAGCCACCACATCCGGCCTGAGGGTAATTTTTGAAAAGATTTATAATTCTGTATTTTTCTCAGTTTTTCAAAAATTAATTGTAAAAACTCATAACATAAAATTTACCATCTTAAATCTATTCAAGTGTGCATTTCAGGGCCAGGCATTGTGGTGGCTTCCATGTGTAATCTCAGGATTTTGGGAGGCCAAGACAAGAGGATTACTTGAGCATGAAAGTTTGAGACCAGCCCGGGAAACATGGAGATTCAACTACAAATTTTTTTTTTTTTTTAATAGCCAGGCATGGTCTTGTCCACCTGTGGTCCCAGCTTTTTGGGAGATTTAGAGGGGAGAATTACTTGAGCCTAGGAGTTTGAGGCTATAGTGAGTGATAATTGTGCCACTGCACTCCAGCTCAGGTGACAGAGTGAGACTCTGTCCCCGCAAAAAAGCTGTTCATTTCAGGCATGTTAACTATATTCACATTGTTATGCAAAAGACTTTCAGAAATTTTACATCTTGTGAAACTAAAATTTAATACCAATTAAGTAACAACTGCCCATTTTACCTTCTCTTTATCCCTTGACAGACACCCTTCCACTTTGGATTTTATGGGGGCGGAGTGTGACTACTTAAGATACCTTATAAGTGGAATCATCCAGTCTCCATCATTTTGTTACTGGATTATTTCAGGTGATATAATATTCTCAAAGTTTATCTAAAATGTCACAAGATTTTCTATTTTAAGGCTGAATAAAATTCCATTTTGTGTATATGTTACATTTTTTGATGTGTTTGTAAGTCAAGGGACAGTTGCTTCAGCCTTCCAGCTTTTGTGAATACTGGTACAATAAACATAGATGTTCAAATATGTTTTTCAGGTCCTGGGTTGCATAGTTTGGATATAGATTCATAAATGGGATTGCTGTAGTTGATGATAGTTTTATTTTTGAGATGGAGACTGGTTCTGTCACCCAGGCTGGAGTGCTGTGACACAATACCAGGTCACTGCAACCTCTGCCTCCTGGATTCAAATGATTCTTGTGCCTCAGCCTTCTGAGTAGCTGGAATTACAGGCACTCACCACCATGCCTGGCTAAGTTTTGTATTTTTAGTAGAGACAAGGTTTCACCATTTTGGCCAGGCTGGTCTCGAAGTCCTGATCTCAAGTGATCTGCTTGCCTTGGCCTCCTAAAGTGTTGAGATTACAGGCGTGAGCCACTGCACCCAGCCCATAATTTTATTTATAATTACTTGAGAAACATTTATAAAATTTTAAAATAATGACTGCATTCTTGTTTTCCACCAACAATCAACATGGAGTTTATTTTTATTGCATTATCAACAGATTTGGTGTTTTTAAAAAAAATTGATGATGGCCATTCTAATTGGTGTGAGGTGATTGTTTTTTTTTGTTTTGTTTTTGGTTTTTTTGTTTTGTTTTGTTTTTTGTTTGTTTGTTTGTTTGTTTGTTTTTGGGACGGAGTCTGGCTCCGTCGCCCAGGCTGGAGTGCAGTGGTGCAATCTCGGCTCGCTGCAACCTCCACCTCCTGGGTTCACGCCATTCTCCTGCCTCAGCCTCCTGAGTAGCTGGGACTACAGGCGCTTGCCACCACGCCCGGCTAATTTTTTGTATTTTTAATAGAGACGGAGTTTCACTGTGTTAGCTAGGATGGTCTTGATCTCGTGACATTGTGATCCACCCACCTCAGCCTCCCAAAGTGCTGGGATTATAGGTGTGAGCCACGGTGCCCAGCCTAGGTAATTGTTTTTTATTGTAATTATTATGCATTTCTCTACAAATATTAATTTAGTGTGTTTTTTCAAATGCTTTTTCCATTTGTGTATCATTTTTAATGAAAATTTACTTCAATTATTTGTTCATTTCTAAATCAAGTTATTCAACTTTATATTCTTTTTGTTTGTTTGTTTTCGAGACACAGTCTCACTTTGTTGCCCAGGCTAGAGTGCAGTGGCATGATCTCAGCTCACTGCAACCTCCACCTCCCGGGTTCAAGTGATTCTCATGCCTCAGCCTCCTGAGTAGCTGGGATTACAGGCAGGTGCCACCACGCCTGGCTAATTTTTGTATTTTTAGTGGAGACAGGGTTTCACCATGTTGGCCAGGCTGGTCTCCAACTACTGACCTCGTGATCCTCCTGCCTTGGCCTCCCAAAGTGTTGGGATTACAGGCATGAGCCATCATGCTGCTCTTTATTTGGTTTTAAGAGTTGTTTATGTATTCTGAATATAACTCCTATCACATGTGATTTGCAAATATTGTCTTTTTTTTTTTTTTTTTTTTTGAGACAGAGTCTGGCTCCGTCACCCAGGCTGGAGTGCAGTGGCGCGATCTCAGCTCACTGCAAGCTCTGCCTCCTGGGTTCACGCCATTCTTCTGTCTCTGCCTCCCGAGTAGCTGGGACCACAGGTGACCACCACCACGCCTGGCTAATTTTTTTGTATTTTTAGTAGAGATGGGGTTTCACCGTGTTAGCCAAGATGGTCTCGATCTCCTGACCTCAAGATCCACCCACCTTGGCCTCCCAAAGTGCTGGGATTACAGGCGTGAGCCACCGTGCCTGGCCAATTTGCAAATATTTTCACCCATTTTCTAGGAGACCTTATCACTCTATTGAATGCTGTATTTAATGTGCAGAGATATTGAAGTCTAGTGTAGTTCAATTTTTCTGTTCTTTTCTTTGTTTCACATGCATTTAATGTTGTGTCTAAGAAAGTAATGCCAAGATCAATGTCATGTTTTTTTCTTACATTCATTTCTAAGAGATTAACAGTGATTTTTTAGGTCTAAACATTTTTTTTAAAAAAATATTTTTTGTATGTGGTTCGAGAAAATGATCCAACTTAATTTATCAGTGTTATCCAATTTTCAACATTACTTTTCCAAGAGACGATCTTTTCTCTATTGTGTGCTCATGGCAACTTTGTGGAAGATCATTTGATCATATATAGAAGGGTTCATTTCTGGGCTGTCTTGTTCTTTCATCTGTTTATCTATTTTTGTGTCAATACCACATTGTTTTTGTTACTGTAGCTTTTATTATGTTTTGAAATCAGAAAGTATAATGCATCTTCTTTTTAATGGATGTTTTGCTATAGTTTTTAATCAAATTTAAAAATTTTAAACTATTTCTGTAAAAAGATTGCGCTATTAGAATTTTGTTAGAGATTATGTTGAATTTGTTTACCGCTGTATGTTGTATTGACATCTTTGAAAAATTAATTTTTTTATTTTTTTTTTTTTTTGAGACAAAGTTTCACTCTTGTTGCCCAGGCTAGAGTGTAATGGCACGATCTTGGCCCACTGCAACCTCCTCCTCCCTGGTTCAAGTGATTCTCCTGCCTCAGCCTCCTGAGTAGCTGAGATTACAGACATGCACCACCACGCCCGTCTAATTTTGTATTTTTAGTAGAGACGGGGTTTCTCCATGTTGGTCAGGCTGGTCTTGAACTCCCGACCTCAGGTGATCCGCCCACCTCGGCCTCCCAAAATGCTGGGATTACAGGCATGAGCCACTGCGCCTGGCTGAAAAATTAAATTTTTTGACCCTTGAGCAAGAATATGTTGAAGAGTATGTTTTATTTTTATATATTTTTAGATTTTCCAGTTCTACTTTTGCTTTTAATTCCTAGGTTTATTCAGTTTTGGTCAGAAAACACACAGTGTATGATTTTGGTTTTAAATGCATTTGTTGCTGTTTTGAGATGGGATCTTACTATGTCACCCAGGCTGGAGTGCAGTGGCATACTTTTGGCTCACTGCAGCCTCAGCCTCCTGGGCTCAAGTGATCCTTCAACCTCAGCCTCCTGAGTAGCTGTGACTACAGACATGCACTACCATGTTCAACTAATTTTTTGATTATTTGTAGGGACAAGACATCACTATGTTGCCCAGGCTGGTCTCAAACTTCTGGCTTCAATGATCCTCCCACCTTGGTCCCCCAAAGTGTTGCGATTATAGGCATGAACCACTGCACCCAGCTGGTATTCTTAAATTTAATGAGGCAGCTGGGCGCAGCAGTTCACACCTATAATCCCAGCACTTTGAGAGGCTGAGGCGGGTGGATCACGAGGTCAGGAGTTTGAGCCCAGCCTGGCCAATATGGTGAAACCTCATCTCTACTAAAAATACAAAAATTAGCTGGGCGTGGTGGCACGCGCCTGTAGTCCCAGCTACTCTGGAGGCTGAGGCAGAAGAATCACTTGAACACCGGAAGCAGAGGTTGCAGTGAGCTGAGATCGTGCCACTGCACTCCAGCCTGGGTGACAGATTGAGACTCCACCTCAAAAAAATAAATAAATAAATTTAATACGGCTTGGTATGATTTATAACAGAATACACCAGATGCAGATAAGAATATTCTGTATTCTCTTGCTTTTGACTGGAAAGTTTGCACATAACTGTTAAGCCTAGTTGGTCTGTAATATGGTTTGGATGTCCATGTTCTCCAAACCTCATGCTGCAATATAATCCTCAGTGTTGGAGGTGGGACCTAGGGAAGTGTTTGGGTCATGGGGGCAAATTTTTCATGAATGGCGTGACACCATCCTCTTGGTAATAAAAAAATTTACACTTAATTCACATGAGAGCTGGTTCATTGAAAGAACCTAGCTTCTTTACCCCACAATTCCTGTCCCTTACCATGTCACATGTCCAGTTACTCTTTGCCTTCCACCATGATTGTAAGCTTCCTGAGGCTCTCACCAGAAGCAGATGCTGACACACACTTCTTGTACAGTCTGCCAAACTGTGAGCAAATAAACCTTTTTTCTTTACAGATTATCTACTCGGGTATTCCTGTGTATGCAAAATAATTAATATAGTCTATAATGTTGTCTAAGTTTTCTGTTTTCTCTTGATTTTTTATCTGAACTTTCTATTTATTATTGAAAATGGGGTCTTGATTTCTGCAATTATTATGTTGCTATGTATTTCTTACTTGACTTTTGTCAATATTTGCTTTCTACATATTGGAGCCCTGATGTTGTACATGCACATACATAGACAAATATAATAGTTATAAATTCTTGATAAATTTACCCATTTTAGTATTACATAATATCAGTTTTTGTCTCTTGCTAGTACTGGACTTAAAGCATATTATGTTTAATATAATTATGACTTCCTCACGCAATTGTGGTTACTATTTGCATAGAATAAAGATATTTTCCATTCTGATACTTTCAGCCTATTTGACTCAACGCTTATGAGTCTCTTTTTTTTTTTTTGAGATACAGTCTTGCTCTGTCACCCAGGCTGGCTCAATGCAACCTCTGTCTCCTGGGTTCAAGCAGTTCTCCTGCCTCAGTTTCTCAAGTAGCTGGGATTATAGGCATGCACCACCTCACCTGGCTAACTTTTGTATTTTAATTTTTTTAGTAGAGATAGGGTTTTACCACTTTGGCCAGGCTGGTTTCAGCCTCCCAAAGTGCTGGAATTTCAAGTGTGAGCCACTGTGCCAGGCCTAAAATGAGTCTCTTGTAGGCCGCATGTTGTATGCTCTTTTTTTTTTTTTTTTTTTTTTTTTTTTTTTTTTTTGAGACGGAGTCTCGCACTGTCGCCCAGGCTGGAGTGCAGTGGCGCGATCTCGGCTCACTGCAAGCTCTGCCTCCCGGGTTCACGCCATTCTTCTGCCTCAGCCTCCCAAGTAGCTGGGACTACAGGCGCCCGCCAACAGGGCCGGCTAATTTTTTGTATTTTTAGTAGAGACGGAGTCTCACCGTGTTAGCCAGGATGGTCTGGATTTCTGACCTCGTGATCTGCCCACCTTGGCCTCCCAAAGTGCTGGGATTACAGGCCTGAGCCACCGCACCCGGGATTGTATGCTTTTTTCTTAAGCCACTCGGGCATTTTCTTTTTCTTTTTCTTTTTTTTGCTATTTATTTATTAACTTTTTTTTTTTTTTTGAGACAGAGTATTGCTCTGTCGCCAAGCTGGAGTGCAGTGGCACAATCTCGGTTCACTGCAACCTCTGCTTCCCGGGTTCAAGCGATTCCCCTGCCTCAGCCTTCTGAGGAGCTGGGACTACAGGTGCTTGCTGCCATGCCTAGCTAATTTTTGTATTTTCGGTAGAGACAGGGTTTCACTATGTTGGCCAGATGGTCTCGATCTCCTGACCTGGTGATCTGCCCACCTTGGCCTCCCAAAATGTTGGGATTACAGGCATGAGCCCCCGCGCCTGGCCATTATTCATTTAGTTTTAAGATACTGTTACACTTCGTCAATCAGGCTGGTTTGCAGTGGTGTGATCATGGCTCACTGCAGCCTCAAACTCCCAAACTCAGATGATCCTTTTATTTCACCCTGTCAAGTAGCTGTTTACACGTAAGTACCATTACACCCAGCTAGTTATTTATGTATTTTTTGTAGTGATAGGGTTTTGCCATGTTACCCAGGCTTGTCTTGAACTTCTGGGATCAAGTGAATAGCCCCCCTTGGCCTCCCAAAACCCTAGGATTAATTTCTTCCTATTGAATAGTTTAATTTATATTTAAATTGATTGTTTAAAGAAAGGAAATTAGTTACTAGTTTGTTATTGTTTTATGTGTTTCCTGTAGTTTTTTTTCTGTTTTACTGCCTTAATTTTTGTTTATTTTAATTGTGTAGTGACGTGCTTTGATTATTTATTTGTTTATTTATTTATTGAGACAGAGTTTCGCTCTTGTTGCCCAGGCTGGAGTGCAATGGCACGATGTTGTCTCACCACAACCTCTGCCTCCCGGGTTCAAGCGATTCTTCTGCCTTGGCCTCCCAAGTAGCTGGGATTACAGGCATGCACCACCATGCCCGGCTAATTTTTTGTATTTTTAGTAGAGACGGGGTTTCTCCATGTTGGTCAGGCGGGTCTCAAACTCCTGACCTCAGGTGATCTGCCCGCCTCGGCTTCCCAAAGTGCTGAGATTACAGGTGTGAGCCACCCAGCCTGGCCTTAATTTTTTAAATGTGTGTATTTATTAATATATTAATATTTCATTTAACCTTTTTTTAAAATTTTTTTTTAGACAGAGTTTCACTGTCTTCACAGAGTTTCATTGCACCCAAGGCTGGAGTGCAATGGTGTTATCTCGGTTCACTGTAACTTCTGCCTTCCAGGTTCAAACAATTCTTGTGCCTCAGCCTCCCAAGTAGCTGGCATTAAAGGCACACACCATAATTGCCAGCTAATTTTTGTATTTTTAGTATAGACAAGGTTTTGCCATGTTGGCCAGGCTAGTCTCAAACTTCTGGCCTCAAGCAGTCCACCTGCCTCGGCCTCCCAAAGTGCTGGGATTACAGGTGTGAGCCACTGTGCCTGGCCTCATTTTTCATATTCTGTAGAAGAAGTTTAAGGGTTTTATGCACCATCATTATTATAGTAAAGAATATGTGTCTATATACATTTATAATAAAGAGGTTTATATTTATAAATGTTTTTATAATGGTGTCCATCATTTTTCAGCATAAGGGACTCATTTTAGCATTTTTTTTTTTTAATATGCAGTGTCTTACTATGTTGCTCAGGCTGATCTTCAACTCCTGGTTTGAAGTGATCTGACTGCCTTGGCCTCCTAAAGCTGTAGAATTACAGGGATGAGCCACTGTGCTTGGCCACCATGAAACTTTTTTTTTTTTTTAAGACAGAGTCTCACTCTGTCACCCAGGCTCGAGTGCAGTGGCACAATCTCGGTTCACTGCAAGCTCTGCCTCCCGGGTTCACGCCATTCTGCCTCAGCCTCCCGAGTAGCTGGGACTACAGGCACCCGCCACCACGCCTGGCTAATTTTTTGTATTTTTAGTAGAGACAGGGTTTCACCGTGTTAGCCAGGATGGTCTCGATCTCCTGACCTCGTGATCCATCCGCCTCGGCCTCCCAAAGTGCTGGGATTAACCATGTAACATTTTTTTGTAGAAGTGTTCTAGTGGTAATAAACATCCTCACCTTTTATCTTGGAGAGTCTTTATTTTTATCTTGTTTTTGAAGTCAATTGTGAATCAAGTATTATTAGTTAGATTTTTTTTATTACATCAAAATTTGGAAAGTTTTCAGACATTTTTGTCTTCAAGAAAGCTCTGGATTACTTTTTTTTCAATATTCTTCTAAGATTTCTTTCATGAATATATTGATGTACTTGATGGTGTCTAGTAAGTTTTACCTTTCATGTTTTAATTTTCTTCTGCAATTTTATACCTGTGAGTTAGATATTTTAGGGTATGCCACCTCACACCAATCAGTTGTATTTTGATGTTTATATTGTGTATGACAATATTTATCTCTGTACAATTTAAGACAGTGTGGAGCAAAGTCAAATATGAACCATATGTCTACTGCCGATATAATTCTCTGTTTGCCTCTATGAATATTATCCTTGTGTTTTTTATAACTTATTTATTTGTGGTGTTGGTTTATTGTGAATGGTTGTTTAATCTTGTCTAGGTAAAAAGTCAAAAAAATTCTCCTAATGTCAACATTTATTTGTGAACCTATATTATGTTTGTTTGAGAGAAAAAACTTTTGGATTTGAAGATAATTTAAAAACTATCATAATTCTGGTTTTTTTTTAGGTATTGTTTATTTTTACCTGTCAAAAACACATAAAAAATTTACAATCAAGTATTTTTAAATATTCAGTTTAGTCATCTTAATGTTATGCAACATATCCCTAGGATGTTTTTACCTTGCAAAGCTACATCTCACTACACATTAAACAACTACCATTTTTTTCCATTTCATGGCAGTTTTCAAACACTATTTTGTTTCCTGATTCTAAGAGTGTAACTGCTTTATATATCTTAATACAATCTTTTCCATGGCTGGCCCATTTCATTTTGCATGTTATGAAGATTTATGCTTATAGTTGTTACAATATTTCCTGCTTTTTGAAAAATGAGTGATATTTTAAATTATATTTACTGAATGATTTGTTGACCGAAATTTGCATTGCTTTTACCTATTGGCTTTCACTAACAATTCTGCAAAAATTATGAGTATAAAAATGACTCTTCATATGACTGTATATTTGAAAGTATATATATGTTGCATTCTATTTTATTAGTCTACTTTTTAACATTTGTACTCATACCAAATTGTTTTAATTCTGTAGCTTTGTAATATGTTTTGAAATCAGAAACTGTTCTGCCTCCGACATTGTTCCTTTTTTTTTTTGAAGTTTGTTCAGTACTTTATTGTCTCTCGACATTTTATATACCTTTGGTGTTGCTGTTTCTATTTCTTGAAAACTGCAATGAGAAATTTGGAAAACATTGCATTAAATCTGTATATTACATTGAGCAGTATGGATATATTTACAACACTTATTATTTCAACCTTTGAACAGGAGTATGCTGAAGAGTGTGTTGTTTACTATCTATATATTTGTGAATTTTTGGTGTTTTCTATTGTTGTATACTCTTACTCCATGTTTGTCATAGAAAGTGATCTATACAAATTCAGTTGTAAAAAATTTGTTAAGACTTCTTTTTTGGCCTACCAAGTGTTCTATTGAGGAGAATGTTGTATGAGCTATTGAGGAGAGTGTGTATCATTAATGTTGTTAGGAGTATTCTCTATACCTCTGTTAAATATAATTGTTTTATAGTGCCTTTAAGCCCTCTCTTTCCTTACTAATATTTTGTCTTATTTTTATTAGAGCAAGTAAGTATTAAAATACTCTACTGTAATTATATTGCTCTCTATGTGTTTCCTCCATTCTTTCAATATGTACTTTACATATTTGGAAACTTAATGTGAGATACACAAACTCAAACACACACACACCACACACACACATATGTAGAAATTTGTCATAGGTTCCCAGTGAATGAATCTATTATTTTGTAATTTTTAAAAATCTCTTTGGCGTTTTGACTTTAAAGTATGTTTTATAAAATGACAGTCTTTAACTTAAGATGCAGCTTGTGTAATATTATTAATATATTTTAACCTGGTAAAAAATAAACTTCAGTTGCATTCAACAATTCTTTCTCATTACATTTGTTCTCAATTTTGTTGGTGATGTTGCTAATTGTATTTTTCTATGTGGTATGTTAGCAGATGTTTATAAAAATTTTTATGCTTTTATCTTTCACATTTTAGAGAATAATTAGAAATGTTTTCTGCACTATTATGATAATGCTAAGGAATTCCATTTTTGTGTATGTGCATGTCTTCCCTAGAAAGTTATGTTATAATGGTAAGGAATTCCATTTTGTGTATATGCATGTCTTTCCCAGAAATTTATGTATTTTCATATGATTATGTGTTGCTTTCTTGCATTGTGTCATTTTTAGTGGAAGAAACTCCTTTCAGCATCTTTGATATGTAGCACAAATGGCAGTGCCAATATACTTTTTCAGGATTTGGTTATTTTGGAAGGTCTTTTTATTTGGCAGGACAGTTTTGCTGCTGGTATTATTCTCACTTGACAGCTGTTTTCTTCAGGACTTTGATTATGTCACACAGTTTTCTTCTGGCCTGCAAAACTTTCATGAAAAATTAACTGGTTATCTCATAAGATTATGCTTATAAATGACACATTATTTTCATCTTGCAGCTCCCAAGATTCTCTTGTCTGTGACTTTTTAAATTGTGCTTATATATGTGCTTGTTATATAAATATCTTTGTGTGTATTCTAGTTTGTTGAGCCTTTTCATTTTTACATCATTTTATCTTACAGTATTTCAGTTATTTTTTGTATTTTTTCCCTCCACAATTTGTTTTTTAATATCTTTCATTGTTTTTGTTGTTATTCCCATTTTTCTGATTTTTAATAGTTGTCTGTGTTCCTGTTACACTAGTGGAGTATTATTCAATTTATTTTAAATTTTTAAAATATATTTGTGCATCTTTTTTTGTTTTGTTTTGTTTTTGTTTTTGAGGCAGAATCTTGCTCTGCATTGGCCAGGCTGGTCTTGAACTCCTGACATCAGGTCATCTCCCCACCTCATCCTCCCAAAGTGCTGGAATTACAGACATGAGCCACCATGCCCAGCCTGTATCTTCATTTTTTAATGCTTGCTTTCTGAAAATTTTATAATAATTGATAGGGCTATGTTGCCCTAATATTTTGTATACATTGTAATCTTCAATTGAAATTTGAACATTAAAAAAAGCTACCTGTCAGTGTTTATAATGCAACTTTGTCCTGGCAAAGTCTGAGACCATTTGTCTGGCTAAAGATTCTGAGAGTCTTTCAGACATGTTCTTAGGATGTGTCAGGTCTGAAATTTTTTAGGGTTTTTTTAGTTCATTCTTGTTTCATCTTAATAGTCAGTAGTCACTTGCTACAACTGTTCCCTGTCTCTTTGCAGCTGTAGCATTTACCTTTGATCTCAGTGGACTCAACATTTTGTCATTCCAAAGTATCCTGCCATTTGTTTCAGCACTTTATGTCATGGGAAACAGAAACCAGTGTCTGCAAAAGCACCTAGAAGCCAGAAATAAAGATGTATGTGTTATTATTTCTCTTGCCTTTTGAAAAAGAAACCAAGAGTTGGCAGTTTACTTCTAGAGGCACTATGTTATATCGGGGAACAGAAAGAGCTGTGTTGGGTAAATGTAACAGACTTTTCTCTCTCTTCTGTGTGGCTCTTTGCATTGTGCAAACCTGGGGCACTGCACACACTTAACTCATTTATTCTCCACAGATATGTTTTGGTATGTTTTTGTTACATTTATATGTCTATAAAGGAATTAGAACCTGTGGTATTTTGCTATGCCATCTTGCTTATGTAGTTTGTATGATTTTATAGGTTAGATTTGTAAAGTATATTCATCTGAGTCTAGCAGGTGGAGTAATTTGTTATTTTTTGTTTCTTTCAGCTCTGTGTTCTCGTTTTGCCCAAGACCTTTGGCTAGAGCAGAACATAAAAGATTCTTTCCAAAAAGTGACACTGAGCAGATATGGAAAATATGGACATAAGAATTTACAGTTAAGAAAAGGCTGTAAAAGTGTGGATGAGTGTAAGGGACACCAAGGAGGTTTTAATGGACTTAACCAATGTTTGAAAATTACCACAAGCAAAATATTTCAATGTAATAAATATGTAAAAGTCATGCATAAATTTTCAAATTCAAATAGACACAAGATAAGACATACTGAAAATAAACATTTCAGATGTAAAGAATGTGACAAATCACTTTGCATGCTTTCACGCCTAACTCAACATAAAAAAATTCATACTAGAGAGAATTTCTACAAATGTGAAGAGTGTGGAAAAACCTTTAACTGGTCCACAAACCTTTCTAAACCTAAGAAAATTCATACTGGAGAAAAACCCTACAAATGTGAAGTATGTGGAAAAGCCTTTCACCAATCCTCAATCCTTACTAAACATAAGATAATTCGTACTGGAGAAAAACCCTATAAATGTGCACACTGTGGCAAAGCCTTTAAACAGTCCTCACACCTTACTAGACATAAGATAATTCATACTGAAGAGAAACCCTACAAATGTGAACAATGTGGCAAGGTCTTTAAGCAGTCCCCAACCCTTACTAAACATCAGATAATTTATACTGGAGAGGAACCATACAAATGTGAGGAATGTGGCAAAGCTTTTAACCTATCTTAACAACTTACTGAACATAAGAAAATTTACACTAGAGAGAAAGCCTACAAATGTGAAGAATGTGGCAAAGCCTTTAACCAGTTTTCAACCCTTATTACACATAAGATAATTCATAGCGGAGAGAAACCCCACAAATGTGAAGAATGTGGCAGAGCTTTTAACCAGTCCGCAAAGCTCACTGAACATAAGTTAATTCATACTGGAGAAAAACCCTACAAATGTAAAGAATGTGGAAAAGCTTTTCACCGATACTCAATCCTTAGTACACATAAGAAAATTCATACTGGGGAGAAACCCCACAAATGTGGAGAATGCGGAAAAGCCTTTAACTGGTCCTCAACTCTTATTACACATAAGATAATTCACAGTGGAGAAAAACCCTACAAATGTGAAGAATGTGGCAAAGCTTTTAACCAGTCCTCACACCTTATGAGACATAAGAAAATTCATAGTAAAGAGAAACCCTACAAATGTGAACAGTGTGGCAAGGTCTTTAAGAAGTCCTCAACTCTTACTGCACATAAGATCATTCATACTGGAGAGAAACCTTACAAATGTGAGGAATGTGGCAAAGGTTTTAGCCAACTCTCAAACCTTACTAAACACAAGAAGATTCATACTAGAGAGAAACCCTACAAATGTGAAGAATGTGGCATATCTTTTAACCAGTTCTCACAACTTGCTATACATAAGATGATTCACACTTGAATGAAACCCTACAAATGTGAACGATGTGGCAGTTGTTTTAACTAGTTCTCGAACTTTACTATGCATAAGAAAATTCAAACTGGAGAGAAACTCTACAAATGTGAAGAATGTGGCAAAGCTTTTAACCAAGTCTCAACACTTACTATACATAAGATAATTTATACTGGAGCAAAACCTTGGAAATTCAAAGAATGTGGTAAAACTTACAATCCTCAAAACTTCTTACACCTAAAATTCATGCAGGAGAGAAACACCACAAATGTGAAAAATTTGGTAAATTCTTTAACAAGTCTTCAACCCTTTCTGCACATAATATAATTCATACTGGAGAGAAACCCCACAAATATGAAGAATGTGGTAATGCTTTTAACCAATTCTCAAATCTTACTAAACAAAATTAATACTGAAAATGTTACAAACCAGAAAAATGTGAAAATGATTTTAACAAAACCTTCAAATTTTTCTAAACATAAAGGAAATCATACTGGTAAGAAATTATAAAAATGTGAAGAATGTGACAAAGCCTTTAAATGGTTGTCACACTTGATTGTAGGTAAGATAATTCATACTGGCAGAAACTCCCAGAAGTGTGAAGAATATGGCAAAACTTTAATTCCTATACCTTATTGCACAGGAAAGCATTTATACTTCAGAAAATGTTGTACTGATATAAAGAATGTAGAAAAGCCATTAATATGTGCTTACATCTTATTCAACATTAGAGAGTTAGTACTTAATAAAAGCATTATAAATGCAATTACTGTCAAAACTCAGCATAAGGTTTTGTTTTAGTGTGTGGTTTGTTTGTTTGTTTGTTTTGTTTTGTTTTTTTTAAATGAGACTACGTAATACTCTCTCCCAGGCTGGAGTGCACTGGTGCAATCTTGGTTTACCGTAACCTCTGCCTTCCAGGTTCAAGCAATTCTCCTGCCTGGGCCTCCAGAATAGCTGGGACTACAGGCATGTACCATCACGCCCGGCTAAGTTTTGTATTTTTTAGTAGAGACAGGATTTTACTGTGTTGGCCAGGCTCATCTCGAACTCCTGACTTGAAATGATCCATACACCTCTGCCTCCCAAAGTGCTGGAATAACAGGTGTGAGCCACTGTTCCCAGCCAATATAAGCCTTTAAAGTAAAAAAAGAGTTTTTATTTTGAAGACAAACATTAGAAACATAAAGAGGGTTGTAGTGCCTGCCTTACTTGTATCACAGATCTTATTGTACACATTTTGTATCCGAAGCAGTTGCTCAAACTTCGTTCAACATCAGGGAATTTATATCGGAGAAAAACTACAAATGTAATACATTTCAAAAATTTTTCAAAAACTACATCTTAGAAAACACCAGGGGATGCATACTAAACTATATTTTTCCACATGCAGTAAATATAAAAAAAATCAAAAATAAGGCTACGTAAGTATCAGAGAATTCACAGTAAAAATATCTAAGGCACTGACACTTCAAACATTGCACTAAGTAAATGTGCTGAGTATATAAAATAACCCAAAACTAAAGTGGGTAGATAAATTATTTGTACATAACTTTAAAAGAAGTAGAAATATTTTTGCAGAGTTACAATTACATTCAAAGTATACTTTTTTCCTTGAAAAAAATTGCAGAATTTATGAAAAGTGAATAATGTAATTCAACTCAAATTACTTCATGCTCTTCATTCCTATTGCATTCACTAGTGAAAGCATGTGATCAATTGTTGCTGCATCAAAGGTATGAGAGATTCTTTTTTGTTATGTCAATATTGTTTTTGAATTTTTCTATGGAAGAGTAAAGACATTACAATGTAGGATGCATGACAAAAGTCTAAGTGGAGAGGCTCTTTGTGTTTAATTTATAATATTGAGTGATGTATGAGGTAAGTGTTCAGAGTAGTATTCTGCGTTATACTCCAAACAAAATAATTTTAGTTAAAATTAATTAGTATATAATTTTACTAATTGTACTTTTATGTAATAAAATGCAGTACAGTTTGAAAGGCAATGGAAGGGCACCGTGGATCAATAAGGCCAAGAGGCGAGACAAAGAGGGCAAAAATCTTTATTGAGCTCTCGGGCGAGGTTCACTGGTCCACAGGGGGAGGGCCAGGGAAGTCGCACTGTGCCAAAGGTGCAGCGCGCTTTTATGGATGCTGGGTGAGGAGTGGGCAGGGTAGGGGCGGGGTCGGTTGAGTTTCACACTTCTGAGTGTGACACGCCCTAGTGGGCATGCGCGTTAGTCGGGGTGACGGGAACAGGAAAGGTGAACCCGGAAATGCTGAGTCGGGGTATCTGAGGTGGTGATCGCCATCTTGGAGTCTTCACTGGAGTCCAATCAGTCCAGCCTATTTTTGGTTATAGAAAAGGGGCGACGAAATCATCTGGCTACTTCCTGCTGTTAAGGGGTGTCACTGGGGAGAGGGCCTAAATCAGAGGTTGGCAGTTGGACGTAGGGGTGAAGTAACATCTGGTTGAAAGTGACCCTGGTGATTTCTTGTATCCGCTGGCGGAGAAACTGTACTAGGATTGGGGCAAAACACATTATTATACAGAGAATTATAATTGGGATAAGGAAAGGGAGCATCTGTTGAACCACAGGTGAAAACCACCAAGAAGGACCAGGGTGGAGAGGGTCCTAGGAATGTTTTAACTCCTCTTGGATCTTTTTTTTTTAAAGTTTGTAAATTGGTCTCAACTACCCCTGACACGTTGAGATAATAGCAGCATTCTTCCTGTAAGAATAAACATGTCCCTCCTTTTTCTGCTGTAAGCAAGTCTAAGGCCCGCCTGTTCTGTGCTGCGACCTGTGCTACCGAAGTGATCTGTCGCTGTAGGGAGGCCAGGGACTCGGCCGATGCCTCAATGGCCAACTGCAGGCGAGTAGACAGATCTTGAGATGTTTGGATTGAGTGGGTGAGGGCTCCTTTTCCTAGCCCTGATGCCACTAAGGAGGAGGCTAAGGAGATGCCTAGTACTAAGGGTAGGAAAATAGCCCGTTTGCTTTTATTTTGCAGCCTTGGCTCGGTCCAGGCTAGCAGATGGCTAAGTTCGTCCTGACTATATAGGGTCAGGCTAGGGATGAGAGAGACGAGTAAGCACAAGGTGTGATTACCAGTTGAGTTAAGAACTTTAGTTAGTGTGGAGTTACACCAGAAGTAGCCTCCGGGTGGTGCCAGGGCGCTGGTAAGCATCCTGGTCTGGTTACACCAAGAGGCATTTGGGGTAGAGTAACAGAACGGGAACTTGTGTCTTGTAGGGTCTGAGAATAGTGGGACCTGTCCTTTTGGGACCGGTGGTATAGGGGTGGATGAATTTCTTGTATAATTAAAGGGGGTAGGGAGAGGAACTGCTACTAAGGGAGGTCTTCCGAGGGCTGCACAGAGGAAGCAGTGGGAGAGGTTTTGTACCCCTGTGGATTGGAGCAATTGTGCACCTTCTGAAATTAAAAACCACGAGAAGGGGGAGGACTTGGCCTGGTCAGCTGCCGGTTGAAGCTGGCTGGCAAGCTCTTTCTCGGCTGACTGGATTGAGGAGGCTAAGTCGGATAACCCTGTGACAGTGGTTTTAAGGGTCCTGGCAATGCGGATCTTAGCTACTGGATACATAAAAGTTCTGTGCTCATATAGTCCTCCATCTACACCAGAGGCCCAGCGGGGGTCCTAAGGGTCAGAGATTTGGAGGTTAAATCCGTTAAAGCCGTCCCATCCTCCAGTGGAGGTACTGACATAGAACATTGGGTCAGATCCTTTTTCAGTACGAATTAATGCCTCATGGATATTGCACCAGTGCCACGGACAGCCTACATTTTCTTTGACCCAGCTGGTATTGCATTTGGAGTTACTTTGATCATACAGGAAGCAAAGTGCAGGGTTTTTTCTAGCCTGGCCTAGGGAAGAGAATTTTAGACCTAGGAAAGCTATGGGTGCCTGGCACCCTGCTGGCGGGCATGCTGCCATGGCTAGTAGTCTAGGAGACTGCCTGTGTGGAACTCCAATTCTCAGTGAGGGGAAAAAACCCAGTGAGAGGGAGTCTGAGAGGGGGCTTGTCAAAGCGAACTTCATGTTGGTGAAAGTTCTGGAGGGAGCCTTGCCACACCAGTTCGTCTATATAGGACAACAGATTTTCAGGCCAGCGAAAGGTGTTAGCAAAAGTAGGGAATGACCAGCTTTCCTCGAGAAGAACCTGAATAAATTGTTGGAGCCTGTCACATGGAGAATTCATGCGGTATTTGATTTAAAGAGTTTCAGTTTGGTTGGGGGGAGGGAAGTGACAGTCCAAGTGGCCTGATGTTGTGTAGGTGCCCTCTTAAGATGGGAAATATGGTACCAGGAGGGAAGGCCTGTAAGTTTAGCTGCCGTCGGTGTTGTAAGAATTACCATGTAGGGGCCTTTCCACGGGGGGAGAGACCTCTTGCCTGGAGGTCTTTTACTAGTACCTGATCTTCTGGGGTTATTATGGCTGGACTGTCTGGGCTGAGCGGTCCGGGCTTTGGAAGGCTGCAGTTGGCATGTTCTCTTAGCAGCTCCCTTAACAGGGTGAGGTAGGGCAGGTACGTGCCAAGAGGTGGGGTATTCACAGGGAGCTCTTGAAAGAGGAAGGGGCGCCTGTATAGGAGTTCAAAGGGGCTAAGGCCTGTGGGGCTTTGGGGTGCTGCCCAGAGCCACGCGAGGGCAAAGGGAAGTAAGGTTACCCAAGATTGGCGCGTCTCGAGAGCCAATTTGATTAGGTGTTGTTTGACAAGGCTGTTGGCGCGTTCCACTTTTCCAGAAGACTGCGGATGGTATGGAGTGTGTAACTTCCAGTTAACGTCAAGTGTGGTTGTCACCTGTTTGACTATTTTGGAGATAAAAGCAGGCCAAATCTTGGGGTTATCTGTTCGATGAGGGTTGAAGCTACTACCTCTGCTGTTTTATGAGTGGTAGGGCAGGCTTTAACCTAACCTGAGAAAGTGTTTACTAAAGTAAGAAGATAAGTTGATGTATTTGCTTTAGTAAGGAATAAAGGGAAGGATGGTAGATTATGGGTTCAAGAAAGTTATATAGTGGTCTAGGCGGAAGGGCAGTGAAGGCGTCTGGCGGTAGGTGGAGGGAATGCCATCAATCCTTATAACAGAGATTGAGGAGGGGCGGCTGGGTCTGCTAAAAGATGGCAAAACAGAGTAGGTAGCCCTTGTGTCTAGTAAAAAGGAAATGGACTTACCCGCTACCTGAAGCATTACCCTGGGCTCGGCAAGGGTGAGAGGGGTTCCCAAGTCTGGGCCTCTTCAGTCGTCATCCAGTTGGAGGAGCTGGAGGGCACCTTCGCCATCCGAGGAGGGGTCGCCATGTGGAGACACAGCGGCCGCTCCGAGGCCGGGGCAGTCTGACTTCCAGTGCCCCATTTGTTGGCAGTTAGGGCACGGGCGTGTTGGCGGCTTGGGGTTTGGGCACTGTTTTGCCCAATGACCTGGATTGCCACACTTGAAACAGTTGCAAGGCAGGCAGGACGGTTGCTGTTGGCTAGGGCACCGGCTGGCCGTGTCCTGAGTTGCCGCACTTGAAGCAGGTGCCAGACGGGGCCTGGGAGATCGTACCTCTACCTCTCCTGCTGGGGCTCTTAGGGAATGCCGGTTGCAGGGCAGCTGCCAGGGCTTGGGTTTGGAGCTGAACTTTTTGTTTCAGTCTTGCCTGTCGTTGTACCTCAGCCGCCTCCTCTCGGGAATTAAAAACTTTGAACGCCAGCTTTACTAAGTCCTGGATAGGGGTTTGGGGGCCCTCCGCTGCCTCATCCAGGATTAGCGGATATCACTGCCCGCAGCGAATGTGTTAGGAGTTGTAGATGTAGTGGACTGGTATGGCACTACAGGGAGGTGGAAATAAGAATGGGGGTAAGATGGAAGCCAAGGAGTTAGGTGGGCAGGGTTAAAAGAACAAATGGGAACTAACAGGAATTAAAATGGCGGCCAAATGGCGGCAGAAGAACTAAAATGGTGGCAGAGAAAAAAGGAAGTAAGATGGCGGCGGTGAGGAAGCAGGTAGTAAGATGGCAGTGGTGCAGAAGGAGATGGCGGCGGAGAGACTAAGATGGGGGCCGTGGACAAGATTAATGGCAAGAGAGGCTGGTCAGACTTCAAGGGGAAGGCTAGCCAGAGGGACTTGTGCCAGCGAAAACACTTGGCGGCAGCGGTCTGACGAGAGCGGAGGTCCCAGAACCTTTGAACAAATTTGATTTTTGACTATTTGCCTCGCCTCTGACAAAAATTGGTAAGGTCGTTTAGGATATTGAAGTTGAGTGTGCCTTCGGGGGGCCAGCGAGATTGGTTGTCTAAGGTATATTGCGGCCAGGCAACTGTGCAGAAGAAAATTAGTTGCTTTCGTTTTAAATCTTGGTCGAGTTGTAAAGTTGGGAGGTTGCGCAGGAGGCACCCTAAGGGGGTGTTTTGCGTGATTTTGGACTGGGTGGACCCCATCCTCTTCCCTTTATGGCAGCCGTCTGAGGGACAGCAGAAGCGTCCTTCTGGGGTCACTCAGACCACGCAGCTCCTGGAGCCTCGGATCGGCTACTTCAGACACAGACGTCTCTGAGTCGTCAATGCCGATTTGGACTTCCCCTGGGGAAGTAAACTTGGGTCTCCTGGTGACCCGGACTGGCCTTCCCTTGAGGAAGGAAACTCTCCCTGGGTGTGCGCATGACTCTCGGCCAGGGAGGAATGGACAAAAGGAAAAAGGAGGGGTACTCACCCAGCGTCTGCCGAATTGGACTGGAGTAGCTGCAGCAGCTGTGACCTGGCGGCAAGTAACCGGACGAAATGGACCGATGGCCGTGGAGGAGAAGCCTGACCTGACTGAGGGAGAGGCCTGATCCGACCAGGAGGGGAGTCTTCCCGAGCCTCTGGGGGGCTTAGGAGGTGTCCCCTCCCGTGTTTCGGCACCAATGAAAGGCAATGGAAGGGCACCATGGATCAATAAGGCGGAGAGGCGAGACAAAGAGGGCAAAAATCTTCTTTATTGAGCTCTCAGGTGAGGTTCACTGGTCCGCAGCGGGAGGGCCAGGGAAGTCGCACTGTGCCAAAGGTGCAGCGCACTTTTATGGATGCTGGGTGAGGAGTGGGCGGGGTAGGGGCGGGGTCGGTTGAGTTTCGCGCTTCTGAGTGTGACACGTCCTAGTGGGCATGCGCGTTAGTCGGGGTGGTGGGAACAGGAAAGGTGAACCTGGAAATGCTGAGTCGGGGTATCTGAGGTGGCGATCGCCATCTTGGAGTCTTCACCAGAGTCCAATCACAGTTTTAAAGATTTAGATTATTATAAACTTAATTTTTTAATTAAAAATTTTAACATAAGACCACTGTGCATTCAATGAAGTATTATTATGCCACTAACTTTTACCTATCCTACCTTACTCAAGGGTGTAGGTCAAAGATGGTAACAATAGACTATTTGATAACATAATGGACTAACATCTCCAATAATTTATTTTGCCAGTGGCTTCAAACTGCAAATAAATTAATGAATATCGTTCCCGTTGGTTAAATTTTTTATTTATAATTTAAACTTATTTTTCTCAATTTTTGTGTGTACATAGTATCTGTTTATATTTATGTCATTATATGGCATTTTTTGATACAGTCATATAATTTATGTATTAATCAGATAAGGGCAAATGAAGTTTCCATCAACTCTAGCATTTATCTTTTGGATTACTAACCCATTCTACACTTTTACTTACTTTAAAATGTACAATTAAATGCTACTGACTACAGGGTCATTTTTATGAGTGAAATAAAAATTATTTACAAGTATAAATAAAACCCTGAGTCTTAAAATTCTGAGTTCTGCTTAAACATTTAAAAAAATTTGTTATGTATTTTTCTTTGAACATTTGGTCTCTCTCTGCCTGCAAACATACAGAATTTTAGTTTTAATTTACATAAAATTAGCTATGCACGTATGTTACTCTAAATAAACCTTAGGTGCAAGAAAATTATAGAGTATATATGAGGATGAGTCTGTACCTATTTTCAGAAGAATAGAGCAATATTGTAACAAAACAAATATTTTAATAAGGTGACTTATTAACTGAAACTGAAAACCTCAAAAATGCTGAAAGCAAATCTATACTCTGCTTTTTTTTTAAATTTATTACTGTAAAATCTTCTGACTTAGGGTTCAGAATCTCCCCATGAAAAATTTCTGTTTTTCCTTGCCTAGTACTCATGCTAGACCTATAATTTTCTTGTCTCTTACGATTTTTTCTTTTATAGTTTATGAGGTATTCATTACGTGAGCTGGTCATGACTAATAACGATTTTTATAAAATTTAATGCACACTGAACAATTTTTAGATGTATTTCCAAAATTGTGTATTTTATTAGGACATTTGATTTTTTCTTTTAATTGGAGAATTCTACATAAGCCTGTATTTTTTAACTTTTTTTGTTCTCATTATAATTGACATAAATATATTTATTGAGGCAATTTGTTCAGATAAGAACTCGGGATGCTTCATAAGTCATGATGTTTTTTAATATATAAATGTGGCGAACAAACATGACAGTGCTTGCTGTGTAGCAGATGCTCCATGATAAGCCATAAATATTCCTGCTAGAGTTAGTTTGTAAGTTCAAGTCGGAGAGGGAAAATATCAATAGTGAAGAAATAAGATTGATTCTTCCCGTGGAGATAACAATTGTTTTCATGCTGCGAAGCTAAATATTGCTGAACCTAAAGAGAAACTCTGTTTCTTTTATTTCCTAATTATCTTTAGTTTTGTTTGTCTTATTATGTGTCTTCTGTGTATTCATCACAGCCCCTCTCCCTTTTTTCTACGTGATTGCTACAGTTTTCTCATTGTCTTCATGCCATGTCATTTTACATGGTACTTTGTAGGTTTTGATGAGAAAGTTGGTATTTTTAATGCACTCAAAAATTGGTTTTAGTTAGAGAGTTTGCTTATCAATATAACTTTCAGATCAGTTAATTAAGATAAAACGCATACACTGTCCATAGATCAGAGGATTAAATAACTTAGCATTGTTTTTCTGTTTGTAAACGGAAAATCTTATTAAATTCTTACACAGAGTGTGACACATTTAATATTTGCTAGAAAATGCATCTTAGAAATTAAATTATTAAGAGTTAGTGGTGAGGAATTTTAAATTTAATGTTCTATGATATAGCACAACACAGATTTATTTATTTATTTATGAAATGGAATCTTGCTCTGTCACCCAGGCTGGAGTGCAGTGGCGTGATCTTGGCTCACTGCAACCTCCGCCTCTTGGGTGCAAGCAATGCTCCTGCCTCAGCCTCCCTAGTAGCTGGGATTGCAGGTGCCTGCCACTACACCCAGCTAATTTTTGTATTTTTAGTACAGACGTGGTTTCACCATGTTGGCCAGGCTGGTCTCGAACTCCTGACCTCGTGATCTGCCCTCCTCTGCCTCCCAAAGTGCTGGGATTATAGGCGTGAGCCACTGTGCCCTGCTGAATCTTTTATTTTTAAGTGTGAATGTTAAAGGTTGCAAAATAATAAAATGACCTCTGTGGATTTGAAATTTGGAATAATATTTCTTGTCCATATTGATATTACAACTCAGAGGAATTTCACCCTGTTATTTTATGTGTCTTTTTAGTGAGTGAAGGTCAGTGTACAGTTTATATTCTTAGTCACCTGTCGTCAACTTCTTGGTCATTTTCTCTGGAAAAATTCTGGAGATGATGGCAACTTTTAGATTATTTTGTGTTACTTTTTATGCAAACTTGTTCATTGTGTTCCCAGAGTGGCCAGTCATAAGTCTGTAAGCAACACCTTCCCTTTTAGTGTCTTCCATGTCATCACCATCTGTAATAAATAAGTAAATGTGTATTTATTTTGTAAAACATAATACTTGGAAGTATATATACATTGTCAAATGCTTAATTCTAGGTAGTTACCTCACATAGTTAACATTTTTGTGGCAAGAGCATGTGACATTGTCAGCATTTTTCAAAACTACAAATACATTATTTTGATCTATAGTCACTATGCTGTACAAAACAATCTCTTGAACTTATTCTATTAACTATAATTATGTATTTTTTGATCAACATCTTTTCAAACCCTCCTTTCTCCTAAATAACTTGTGTCTGGTGGCCACCACTTTACTTCAATAAGATTAAGTTTTTTAGAATCCCTTTGTAAGTGAAATCATGAAATAATAATCTTTGTGCCTGGCTCATTTCGACAAATATAATGTTTTCCTCCAGGTTAATTCGTGTGATTGAAAATAATAAAATTTCCTTCTTTAAAGATGAATAGTATTCCATTGTGTGTATATACCACATTGTCTTTATTTACTCATTAAATGTTGAAACCACTGATTTTATATTTTGGTAATTGTGAAGAGTGTTGTAAAAAACAGGCACATGTTTCTTCATTCTGATTTCGTTTGTTTTGGATGTATAACCAATAATAAAATTGCTGTATTTGGTGGTTTAATTTTAAATTTTTTTGAGAAATCCTTATTTTGTTTTTTGTAATGACTGTCCTCATTCACATTCAAACCATCAGTGTGCAAGCATTGCCATTTTTTCACACCTTGACTAACACATTTTTAAAATAGGAGTAATTCTAACAGAAATAAGTTGATATAGTTTTTTTTGCTTTCCTTTCCCTGATAATAACTGATATTGAGCATTTTTATGTGTCTCTTGACCATATGTATGTCTTGAAAAATATTTAAGCCTTTCATTCTTTTTAATAGTCTTTTGTCATATAGTCATTTGAGTTTCTTATATATTTTTGATATTAACCCCTTGTCACATGAATGATTTGCAAATATTTTCTCCATTTTTTTAGTTGTCTCATTTTGTTGATTGTATCAGATTCCATGCAGCAGCTTTTTAATTTGAACTAATCTGACTTACCTATTTCTCTTTTGATTCCCTGGAATTTTGAGGTTAGTTTATTTTTTTTATTTTTTTGTTTTTTGAGATGGAGTTTCGCTGTCACCAGGCTGGAGTGCAGTGGTGTGACCTTGGCTCACTGCGTCCTTCACCTCCCCAGTCCAAGAGATCTCCTGCCTCAGCCTCCTGAGTAGCTGGGACTACTGGTGTGCGCCACCATGCCCAGCTAATTTTTGTATTTTTAGTAGACACAGGGTTTCACCATGTTGGCCAGGCTGGTCTCAAATCTCTTGACTTTGTGATCTGCCCGCCTTGACCTCCCAAAGTGCTGGGATTACAGGCCTGAGCCACTGCGCTGGCCAAGGTTAAGTTTTTAAAAAGTCACTGCAGCCTAGAACTCCTGGGCTTAAGATGTCCTCCCTCTTCACTCTCCCAACTAGCTGGGACCACAGGCCCAAGCCTGTGTGCCCAACCTGTTGTTATTATTTTTAATGTTTGCTAGTTCCAGGGGTGCACAGAGATTTAAAGGGCACATTTTCTCAGGGTTTGGGCATAACATGAGCACTGGGAATGGAAAAGGTCCTACAGTGCCCAGAAGAATAGAGTCTGGATGTGGGTCTTACCACTCCCTTTCTCAATTTGATTCATTCTTCTTTGAGGAGACAGTGATAGCAAAAGGGAACTTGGGCTTGGGGTTGGAGGGTCTGATTTTAGGTCTGGAGTCGATCTCTGAAAGGCTATGTGAGATTGGCACTGTCTACAACCTCTCTTCTGCATCCGCAAAATGAGAAAGGTGAGGCTGGATGAGCCCTGAGGTCCCTTTCACTCTTTTTAATTTTTTATTTTTTTTTAATTTCCATAGGTTTCGAGGAACAGGTGGTATTCAGTTACATGAGTAAGTTTTATGTGTTTTTTTGTTTTGTTTTGTTTTGTTTTGTTTTTATGAGACAGAGTCTTGCTGTGTCACCCAGGCTGGAGTACACTGGCACAATCTCTGCTCACTGCAACCTCTGCCTCCCGGGTTCAAGTGATTCTCCTGCCTCAGCTTCCTGAGTAGCTGAGATTACAGGTGCAAGCCACCTCGCTCAGCTAATTTTTGTATTTTTAGAAGAGACGGGGTTTCACCATGTTGGTCAGGCTGGTCTCGAACCCCTGACCTCGTGATCTGCCCGCCTCGGCCTCCCAAAGTGTTGGGATTACAGGCGTGAGCCACCGTGCCTGGCTGAGTAAATTTGTTAGTGGTGATTTGTGAGATTTTGGTGCACCCATCACCTGAGCAGTGTATAATTAACCCAATTTGTAGTCTTTTATCTCTCACCTCCTTCCCAACACTCCTCTCTGAGTCTCCACCATCCACTGTGTCATTTTTATGCCTTTGCATCCTCATAACTTAGCTCCAACTTATGAGTGAGAACATACAATGTTTGGTTTTCCATTCCTGAGTTACTTCACTTAGAATAATAATCTTCAGTCCTATCCAGGCTGCTGTGAATTACATTAATTCTTTCCTTTTTATAGGTAAGTAGTATTCCATCATATATATACTACAGTTTATTTGCTCGTTGATTGATGGGCATTTAGGTTTGTTTCACATTTTTGCAATTGCAAATCATTCTGCTATAAACATACATGTGCAAGTATCTTTTTTGTATAATAACTTTTTGCTCCGGGTAGACACCCAATAGTGGGATTGTTGGATCAAATGGTAGTTCTACCTTTAGTTCTTTAAGGAATCTCCACACTCTTTTTCATAGTGGTTGTGCTAGTTTACATTCCCACCAGCAGTGTAGAAGTGTTCCCTTTTCACTGCATCCACACCAACATTTATTATTTTTTGATTATTTGATTATGGCAATTCTTGTGGGAGTAAGGTAGTATCACATTGTAGTTGGGATTTGCATTTCCCTGATTATTAGTGATGTTGAGCATTTTTTCATATGTTTGCTGGCCATTTTTATATCTTCTTTTGAGAATTGTCTTTTCGTGTTTTTAGCACACTTTTCGGTGAGATTGTTTTTTCCATGCTAATTTGTTTGAGTTCATTGTAGATTCTGGATCTTAGTCCTTTGTCAGATGTATAAATTTTGAAAATTTCCTCCCACTCTGGGTTTTTGTTTATAGTTTTAGGTCTTAGATCTTAGATTTAAGTCTTAGATCCATCTTGAGTTGATTTTTGTATAAGATGAGAGATGAGGATCCAGTTTTATTCTTCTACATGTGGCTTGCCAATTATCCCAGCACCATTTGTTGAATAGGTTGTCCTTTTCCCACTTTATGTTTTTGTTTGCTTTGTCAAAGATCAGTTGGCTGTAAGTATTTGAGTGTATTTCTGGGTTCTCCATGCTGCTCCGTTGGCCTACGTGCCTGTTTTTATACCGGTACCATGCTTTTTTGGTGACTGTGGCCTTATAGTACAGTTTGAAGTTAAGTAATATGATGCCTTCAGATTTGTTGGTTTTGGTTGGTCTTGCTTTGGCTATGTAAGCTCTTTTTTGGTTCCATATGAATCGTAGGATTGTTTTTTATAGTTCTGTGAAGAATAATGATAGTATTTTGATGGGAATTGTGTTTAATTTGTAGATTGCTTTTGGCATTGTGGTCATTTTCACTATATTGATTCTACCCATCCATGAGCATGGGATGTGTTTTCATTTGCTTGTGTCGTGTATGATTTCTTTCAGTAGTGTTTTGTAGTTTTCCTTGTAGAGGTCTTTCACCTCTGTGGTTAGGTATATTCCCAAGTATTTTGTATTTTTATGCAGCTGTTATAAAAGGGGTTGAGTTCTTAATTTGATTTTCAGCTTGGTTGCTGTTGGTATATAGCAGAGCTACTGATTTGTGCACATTGATTTTGTATTGTGAAGCTTTGCTGAATTTATCAGTTTTAGGAGCTTTTTGGAGGAGTCTTTAGTGCTTTCTAGGTATACAATTATATCATCAGGAAAAAAAATACAGTTTGAGCTCTCTTTACCAGTTTGGATGCCCTTTATTTCTTTCTCTTGTTTGATTGCTTTGAGTAGGACTTTCAGTACTATGTTGAATGAAAATGGTGAGAGTGGACATTTTTGTCTTGTTCCAGTTCTCAGAGAAAAATGCTTTCAACTTTTCCCCATTCACTATTATGCTGGCAGTAGATTTGTCATAGATGGCTTTTATTTCATTAAAATATATCTCTGGTATGCCAATTTTGCTGAGGGTTTTAATCATAAAGGGATCCTGGAATTTTGTCAAATGCTTTATCTGCATCTATTGAGATAATCGTGATTTTTTGTTTTAATTCTGTTTATGTGGTGTATCACATTTATTGACTCCACATGTTAAACCATCCATGAATCTTTGGTATAAAACCTACTTGATTATGGTGGATTATTTTTTAATATGTTGTTTGATTTGGTTAGCTAGTATTTTCTTAAGAACTTTTGCATCTGTAGGCTGGGCTTTGTGGCTCACACCTGTAATTCCTGCACTTTGGGAGGCTGAGGTGGGCAGATCACTTGAGGTTAGGAGTTTGAGATCAGCATGGCTTACATGGTGAAACCCCATCTCTTCTAATACATATATATATATATATATTTTTTTTTTTTTTTTCTGCAGTTCTTGGTTAGAATGTTCTGTAAGTAACTGTTAAGCCCGTTTGTTCTAGGGTATAGTTTAAGTCCATTGTTTCTTTGTTGACTTGCTGTCAGTGGAGTATTAAAGTTTTCCACTATTGTGTTGCTGTCTATCTCATTTCCTAGGTCTAGCAGTAATTGTTTTATAAATTTGGTAGCACCAGTGTTAGGTGCATATATATTTAAGATTGTGACATTTTTCTGTTGAACAAGGCCTTTTATTATGATATAATGTCCCTCTTTGTCTTCTTTAACTGCTATTGCTTTAAAGTTTGCTTTGTCTGATATAAAAATAGCTACTCCTATTTGCTTTTGGTGTCTATTTGCATGGAATGTTTTTTTTCCACTCCATTACCTTAAGTTTATGTGAATCCTTATGTTAGATGAGTCTCTTGAAGACAGCAGATAATTGGCTGGTGAATTCTTATCAGTTCTTCAATTCTGTATCTTTTAAGTGGAGCATTCAGGCCATTTACTTTCAATGTTAGTATTGAGATGTAAGGTACTATTTTATTCATTGTGTTATTTGTGGCCTGTATACTGTTTTTTTTTAAATTGTATTTTTGTTTTATAGGTCCTGTGAGATTATGCTTTAAAGAAGTTCTGTTTTGACGTGTTTCAAAGATGTGTATCAATATTTTGAGCTCTTTTTAGTAGTTGTTTTAGTGCTGGCTTGGTAGTGGCAAATGCTCTCAGCATTTGTTTGTCTGAAAGAGACAGTATCTTTTCTTCATTTATGAAGCTTAGTTTCACTGGATAAAAAATTCTTGGCTAATAATTGTTTAATTTAAAGAGACTAATGTCCCAATCTTTTCTAGCTTGTAGGGTTTCTGCTGAGAAATCTGCTCTTAATCTGATAGGTTTTTCTTTCCAAAGTTTTAGACTTCTCTTTCTCGTCAGAAACACCAATTATTCTTAGGTTTGCTCACTTAAAATCATTCCAAACTTCTTGGAAGCTTTGTTCATTTTTTCTCATTCTTTGTTTCTTTGTTGTTGTTGGGTTGGGTTAATCCAAAAACCTTGTCTTCGAGCTCTGAACTTCTTTCTTCTGCTTGCTTGATTCTATTGCTGAGACTTTCCAGAACATTTTGCATTTCTCTAAGTGTGTACTTCATTTTCTGAAGTTGTAATTGTTTTTCGTTTATGCTATCTATTTCACTGAAGATTTCTCCCCTTATTTCTTGTATTTTTTTTATTTTCCTAAGTTGGACTTCACCTTTCTCTAGTGCCTCCTTGATTAGTTTAATAACTGACCTTCTGAATTATTTTTTCAGGTAAATCAGGGATTTCTTCTTGGTTTAGATCCATTGCTGGTGAGTGTGATTTTGGTGGATTTTTTTTTTTTTTTTTTTTGAGACAGTCTCGCTCTGTCGCCCAGGCTGGAGTGCTGTGGCATGATCTCTGCGCACTGCAGGCTCCACCTCCCGGGTTCACGCCATTCTCCTGCCTCAGCCTCCTGAGTAGCTGGGACTACAGGTGCCTGCCACCACGCCAGGCTAATTTTTTGTATTTTTAATAGAGACAGCATTTCCCTATGTTAGCCAGGATGGTCTCAATCTCCTGACCTCGTGATCTGCCCAGCTCGGCCTCCCAAAGTGCTGGGATTACAGGCATGAGCCACCACACCTGGCTGGGGGGAATGTTAAAGAACTTTGTTTTGTCATACTACCAGAATTGTTTTTCTGGTTCCTTCTCATTTGGGTAGGCTATGTCCGAGGGAGTGTCTAAGTGTCAACACTACTGTTCAGATTATTTTGTCCCATGGGGTATTCTCTTGATGTAGTACTCTTCTCATTTTCCTATCAATGTGGCTTCTTGAGAGCCAAGCTGTAATGATTGTTATCTTTTTTCTGGATCTAGTCACTAGGCAGGTCTCCAGGCTGGTACTGGGGGTTGTCTGCACAGAGTCCTGTGATGTGAATTGTCTGCAGGTCTCTCAGCTGTGGATATTAGCACCTGCTTTGGTGGAGGTAGCAGGTGATGAATTGGACTCTGTTAAGGTCCTTAGTTTTGGTTGTTTAATGCACTATTTTTGTACTCGTTGGCTACTTGCCAGGAGGTGGCGCTTTAAAGGGAGCATCAGCTGTGGTAGTATAGGGAGAATCAGGTGGTGAGTGGGGTCCTAGGACTCCCAAGAATATATGATATTTGTTTTCAGCTACCAGGGTGGGTAGGGAGGGAAGATCATGTGGGGACATGGGTAGGCATGTCTGAGCTTAGCCTCTGCTTGGGCGGGGTTTGCTGCAGCTGCAGTGGGAAGTGGGGGTGTGGTTCTCCGGTCAATAGAGTTATGTTCCCAAAGGATTATGGCTGCCTCTGCTGTGTCATGCAGGTTGTCAGGGGTGTGGGGGAAAGGGGGAGAGCCAGCAGTTACATGACTCACCCATCTCTCATGCAACCCCAAAAGCAAGACTCATTCCCACCATGCTCCCCACCCCCAAGAGCACCGAGTGTTCTGCCAGGCAGTGAGGGAACAGAGCTAAGAACTTGCCCCTGGCTACCAGCCTCCCAGCTGCAAAAGCAAGCAGGGCTTTTGTGCCTTGCTGCCTGTGGAGTCTGCTCACCCAATTCACACCCTTTCCGAATTTCTGGTCAGGAGACTTCACGTTTGGTTAGAATTGTTAGAAAGTTCAGCTGGAGGTTTCCTTCTCCCTGTGGTCCTTTCCAAGTTCCCCTGGCAGCCCTCCCCAAGGGCCCCTTTGACGCAAGTCTAAAATGGCTTCCCAGAAGACTCAGAGCCCACCGGGCTTTTCCCACTTCTTCTACCTCTGTATTTAGCTCAGCTCTCTAAATTGACTCAGCTCCAGGTAAAGTCAGATTTCTTATTCCATGTTCTAGACTTTCAGGTTCCCCAGTGAGGGTATGTGTTCAAGGGCAGACTATCCCTTTTTCCCACTTTCACATCTTGAACACTATCAATATTTTGGCTGTCTGCCAGGTCCTGTTGGAGCAGTTTGCTTCCGTCAGAGGGTCTTTGGATTCTCTCAGCTCTCCTGGTTTATTCCTGCAGTACTTCTGGAGAAAAGTTAATGATGCGAGTCTCCACATACTGCTCTGAGTGGGAGCTGCAATCTAGCCCTTGCCTCCTGTTCGCTATTTTTTCCCCCAGAAAAGGGGTTTTTAAATTTCTCTTTATTTCTACTAATTTAGAAAATTCAAAGCCAAAAATGTTGGGTCAAAAATAAAAAGTAGCATTGGATGAGAGGGTGTTGGGCATAATGGTTAAGATTGAAACGCCGTATCAGGTGGTTCCTTGTTTCATTCCAGTTTTGCCATTTATGGACTATATGACATGAATACAGTTTCTTGATCTCTCTGTGCTTGACTCTTCAGCTCTTTACTGCCTAAATCATAGGGTTTTGGTAAAATTAAAGCAGTTAATACAAATAAATGTGCCCAATAAGTCCCCAGCACATAGCAAGTGTACAGGAAATTTATTCACTCTTATTTATTGATTCTTTTAGATCATGATTAATGTTAAACCTAAAAACAAGGTGGCCACATCAGTGGTTTGTAACCCATGTTTCTTCTAGTCAGTCTGGGGGTATAATAGTAGTTGAATGTTTTAAATACTATCCTTTTAAAAATATATATATTAATAGCATTTTTCATTCACCAGAGTTCTGTACATTATGGGGTACAATGAGATATTTGAATATATGTATATAGTATGAAATGATTTTGTCGAGTTAAATAACAACTTGCTTACCTATCATTTTTTTGTGGTGAGACACTTGAAATTTACTCTTAGTTATTCTGAAATATACAATACATTATTGTTTACTATAGTCACCCTGCTGTGCAATAGAACTCAAAACCTATTTATCCTGTCTATTTGAAACTTTGTATTTTTTGATCAACCCCTCTCTGTTTCCTTCCCACCACACCCAGCCTCTGGTAAAGATTATTCCACTTTGTACTTTTTTGAGTTAAACTTTATTCTTTTTTTTATACAACAGCAATTTAAAAAATTAAGTATTTATTTGAATAACAAGTTTAAGTTTGGGCTGCAATGTTGGCAATGCAGGTTTTTAACACAGATCACAAAAAGCGTGCACAAAAATGTACGAGCGCAAAGGACAAAATAATGCTAAGAATTACGCTAAATAGCTGCTGATTTTAAGAAAACAAAAGGCCTGAAATCACTATACAAAATATAAAATGTATTAAACACTACCATCCACAGAACAGTCTTTATTATTGATTATATTTAAAAATTATTTGCGTAATTATATATTGAATTGTAAATGAGTATTATACATGAACCTCCATTTGGAAGGCAATTCCTTGTAGCACTATAAAATACCTAATTACATTGCAAAAAGTATCCTTTTTTTGCTATCGATAAAGAAAACAGTTAATGGTATTACTGTAAATGTCAGGAAGCCTCCAAAAAAAGAAATAAGATTTCTTTTTTGTCTTCAAAGTGTTTTCCAAGCAGTGAAGCACTTGCCGTGTTGAACTGAATGCACTACTGGAGAATGTTCTGGGTCCAAGATGCTCTTGAGAGAAGACTAGGCTTTTCAAATCAAACACTCAAAGGAATCATGCAACCCTCTTATGACTGGGATGCCGTCATGTGCCACTGACCAATGCTATCTCTCCAGAAAACCATTCAAGACTCTTAAAAAATCAGACTTATAATAAATATACATAAAATGAAGACACCAACTGCTCTTTGACATGACTACGATAATGTCTGTGCTATGTGGAAGCACATTTAAAAAGAGCCTATTCGGCAAAAGGTAAGTGTCTAAAGATTCAAAATGTATCAACAGTATTGGATAACAATATAATTCTCAACTCAGAAGCTGCCTCAAGATTAGGTGCATCTTCAGTTAATGTGACAGGAAAAAAAGGCATGGATTTTATTTTATTAATTGTATCCACTTACAAACTGACCTAAGGTCACCTGATATGTAGATACAGTGAGATTTTTGTTGCTTATAGTCTTTAATTGAAGCGATGATAAAGGAAATAGATCTATTTAAAAACAAAACCAAACAGCTATTTCTGCTTAGATTAAGAGGTGGCCCCGGGTGTGGGATTCACATTTTGAGTGGCCACTTGTGGTGCAATCTCGATGATCAGGGGTTTGTCTATGATTCTGGCTGTGTGGTTGCCCTTCTCTACAATCCCAATAATCCATGCTTGGTGGTCTTCACCATATTTGGGGGACTTTATCTCTGCACAGAACCGAGCTGTTTGCTCACATGGTAAACAGATCAGAAGCCCGCCTGTCCTGTTGAGCCTCGCCATGTTCATCATCACCTCCTCGTAGGCCAGCTCTACATCTTCTTGGGTGACCACTAGTTTAATATTATTCCATTTCTTAGGAATATCCAGCCACTGATGCACAGCCACTGCCCCCTGTGTCCCCAGGGGTTTTGTCAACACCAGCACATCCCCTGGTACTGCATTGTCTGGCATGATAAATTCACTGGGCTGACAGACAGTGGTAGTGACTCTTCCCAGGACAATCCAGGGGTTTAGTACTGTTTGGCCGCCCATTACAGACGTTTCTGCCTCCTCAGCTGCGTCTTTAAAACCTTGGATAATCAGAGGCATCACTTTATCCATTTCCCTGTTGGTCATTTTATTACTGACTCCAAGGAGCATCAGCATATTGTCACATTCTGTGACCCCCATTGCGTAGAGGTCACTGAGGACATTGGCACATGCTATCCTGCCTGTCACGTAAGAGTCGTCTACAATTGGGTAAATGTAATCTGTAGTTTGAACCAAGGAAAGCCCACCGTGTCTCAAAGGAATGACAAGTATCCATTCCAATGCCAAGCCTTGGCATAAAGGCTCCCAGAAACTGCTCATCTTCTTGGAAGTGGTTCTGTAAAGATTCCAGCAATTTTTGCAGGACATCTTGGGGCACTTTGTAGCCTGTGCCCTTCAGTTCAGTGAATCTGGTTAGCCGGAAGCTTTTGTCCAATTCGTAACTTTCCGGGTTAAAGGACTCCCATGTAGATATGGTTGTTGGGCCCCACTCTCCTCACAGCTCAGCCCCTCCCTTCCCTCTGCGAGTTGGCTGGGTTCTTTATGGATCCACCGGCTCGCTTTGCGCCCCGAGTTAAACTTTTTTCTATATATATGAGATCATGTAGTATTTGTCTTTCTATGTCAGGATTATTCCATCTAGTATGCTGTCTTCTAAATTTATCTATATTGATTCAAATGATGAAACTTACCACCTTTGAAGGCTGAATAGTATTCCATTGTGTATCTATACAACATTTATTTTAAAAAATTAAATATATTGATTGAAAAACTCATGTGTTATAAAAGGGCATTCCCGTCTTAAAGCACATACTAGTGTACTTCAGCATATACATATCATATTAATCGTTAATTTGTACTGAGCATTAACCATAATACTTTAATGTGTTAATAAATTTAATTCTCACAGTAACTGAATAACATAGGTGTTATTATCCTCAGTTTGCAGAGAAAGAAACACAGCCAATATTAAAACACAGGCAAATGTGTCTCCAGAGATAACACTCCTTAGTATAACAATAAAAACCATCTTTAATCGTTTGAACCCAGGAGGTGGAGGTTGCAGTGAGCCGAGATCGAGTCACTGCACTCCAGCCTGGGTAACAGCAAGGCTCTGTCTCAAAAAAACAAAACAAAACAAAAACCTCTTTAACCAGAAAAAAAAAAATAATTATTTTCACACTCACTTTTAATAAAAATTAACAAAAATTGAATAATTGGTTACATTTTCATTGTTTAATGTTTTTGTGAATGTATAAAATGGTACACAAGGAATAAATAAGCCAGAAAACTTAATATTTTTAGAGGATTCTACTATACTGTAATAAAATATTGAACTTTAAACACACACACACATACATATGTACTTCTTTTTTTTGGAGACAGAGTCTCACTTCATTGCTCTGGCTGAAGTGCAGTGACGTGATCTCAGCTCACTGCAACCTCCATCTCCCAGGTTCGACTGATTGTCCTGCCTCAGCCTGCGAAGCAGCTGAAACTACAGGCACACACTACCACACCTGGCTAACTTTTGTATTTTTAGTAGAGATGAGGTTTCACCAACTTTGCCAGGCTAGTCTTGAACTCCTGACCTCAAGTGATCGGCCCACCTCGGCCTCCAAAAGTGCTGGGATTATAGGCGTGAGCCATCACACCTAGTCATAATATAAATATTGCTTGAATGCATGAACATTTATGTAGATATTTGCTCTTAGATTAACATGACAAAAGTAACAATTAGAAAAAAACATTTGAAATGGGATAAAACTAGTCAAAACCACATCTTTTCAATGGCTTGGCATAATTGACATGCTTTTTGAAATGGCCAGATTACTGACAAGAAGCAAAGAGAAGATTTAGACTTCGGTCTATCGTTAAGGTTTTTATTTTTGAAATCTAAAATCCTGGCTAAAGGATTTGAAGAGAGTATTCTTTAGGTGGCTTCCTAGGGTTTTCAAGGCAATACAAATAATTTTCATGGGTAGGAAAATGCATACTATATACATACATTGCTTTTCTCTGATTTAACATTAAAAGATTGAAGATTGCAAATCTAATCTCTCAATTTAGAATAAATTAAAGGATTTATTTTTCAGCCAAGCAAATAATTATATTGAATTAATAGGTAACAAATGTCATTAGCTGACAAAAGATAGTATGACTAGATTCAGTAAGTATGTAGCCATGTAACTAACAGTCCATTAAATTAAGGCCCTTATAGGTGCGTGTGGACATCATTTCTGTACAATGTCATGCACCTCCACCCAGCACCTTCATTTGCCTGTTTACAGAGATACCAATTTCCCCTGAGTGACTCAGGGTGAATACTAAGAATTGAGAATGCTGTGTTCAGAGGGATTACTAGGAACATATTATAAAGAAATTCTGTAAATCTTACTCTGCCTCCCAAAGGCTATTAGTAAACAATTGTTTATTTACAGTGCTCAATTGAATTCATGGAAAATTTCAATATTCCTGGTAAGTCAGAGACGCTTAAATGTCAACAAAATTTCATAATACATACATGAATGAGATAAAGTCTTCTTAGTTAAGAATTTTATTTTATCTTGCGTGCAAAAATGTAAGGGGGCCTCTCCCTCTCCCTCTCCCTCTCCGTCTCCCTCTCCCTCTCCGTCTCCCTCTCCCTCTCCCTCTCCCTCTCACTCTCCCCACGGTCTCCCTCTCATGCGGAGCCGAAGCTGGACTGTACTGCTGCCATCTCGGCTCACTGCAACCTCCCTGCCTGATTCTCCTGCCTCAGCCTGCCGAGTGCCTGCGATTGCAGGCACGCGCCGCCACACCTGACTGGTCTTGGTGGAGACGGGGTTTCGCTGTGTTGGCCGGGCCGGTCTCCAGCCCCTAACCGCGAGTGATCCGCCAGCCTTGGCCTCCCGAGGTGCCAGGATTGCAGACGGAGTCTCGTTCACTCAGTGCTCAATGGTGCCCAGACTGGAGTGCAGTGGCGTGATCTCGGCTCGCTACAACCTACACCTCCCAGCCGCCTGCCTTGGCCTCCCAAAGTGCCGAGATTGCAGCCTCTGCCCGGCCGCCACCCCATCTGGGAAGTGAGGAGCGTCTCTGCCTGGCTGCCCATCGTCTGGGATGTGAGGAGCCTCTCTGCCTGGCTGCCCAGTCTGGAAAGTGAGGAGCGTCTGCGCCCGGCCGCCATCCCATCTAGGAAGTGAGGAGCGCCTCTTCCCAGCCGCCATCACATCTAGGAAGTGAGGAGCGTCTCTGCCCGGCCGCCCATCGTCTGAGATGTGGGGAGCGCCTCTGCCCCGCCGCCCCATCTGGGATGTGAGGAGTGCCTCTGCCCGGCCGAGACCCCGTCTGGGAGGTGAGGAGCGTCTCTGCCCGGCCGCCCCGTCTGAGAAGTGAGGAGACCCTCTGCCTGGCAACCACCCCGTCTGAGAAGTGAGGAGCCCCTCCGCCCGGCAGCTGCCCCGTCTGAGAAGTGAGGAGCCTCTCCGCCCGGCAGCCACCCCATCTGGGAAGTGAGGAGCGTCTCTGCCCGGCAGCCACCCCGTCCGGGAGGGAGGTGGGGGGGTCAGCCCCTGCCCGGCCAGCCGCCCCATCCGGGAGGGAGGTCGGGGGTCAGCCCCCCGCCCGGCCAGCCGCCCCGTCCGGGAGGTGAGGGGCGCCTCTGCCCGGCCACCCCTACTGGGAAGTGAGGAGCCCCTCAGCCTGGCCAGCTGCCCCGTCCGGAGGGAGGTGGGGGGGTCAGCCCTCCGCCCGGCCAGCCGCCCCGTCTGGGAGGTGAGGGGCGCCTCTGCCCGGCCGCCCCTACTGGGAAGTGAGGAGCCCCTCTGCCCGGCCAGCCGCCCCGTCCGGGAGGGAGGTGGGGGGGTCAGCCCCCCGCCCAGCCAGCCGCCCTGTCCGGGAGGGAGGTGGGGGGGTCAGCCCTCCGCCCGGCCAGCTGCCCCGTCTGGGAGGTGAGGGGCGCCTCTGCCCGGCCGCCCCTACTGGGAAGTGAGGAGCCCCTTTGCCCGGCCAGCCGCCCAGTCTGGGAGGGAGGTGGGGGGGTCAGCCCCCTGCCCGGCCAGCTGCCCGTCCGGGAGGTGAGGGGCACCTCTGCCCGGCCGCCCCTACTGGGAAGTGAGGAGCCCCTCTGCCCGGCCAGCTGCCCCGTCTGGGAGGGAGGTGGGGGGGGGTCAGCCCCCCCGCCCGGCCAGCTGCCCCGTCCGGGAGGTGAGGGGCGCCTCTGCCCGGCCGCCCCTACTGGGAAGTGAGGAGCCCCTCTGCCCAGCCACCACCCCGTCTGGGAGGTGTGCCCAACAGCTCATTGAGAACGGGCCATGATGACAATGGCGGTTTTGTGGAATAGAAAAGGGGGAAAGGTGGGGAAAAGATTGAGAAATCGGATGGTTGCTGTGTCTGTGTAGAAAGAAGTAGACATGGGAGACTTTTCATTTTGTTCTGCACTAAGAAAAATTCTTCTGCCTTGGGATCCTGTTGATCTGTGACCTTACCCCCAACCCTGTGCTCTCTGAAACATGTGCTGTGTCCACTCAGGGTTAAATGGATTAAGGGCGGTGCAAGATGTGCTTTGTTAAACAGATGCTTGAAGGCACCATGCTCGTTAAGAGTCATCACCAATCCCTAATCTCAAGTAATCAGGGACACAAACACTGCGGAAGGCCGCAGGGTCCTCTGCCTAGGAAAACCAGAGACCTTTGTTCACTTGTTTATCTGCTGACCTTCCCTCCACTATTGTCCCATGACCCTGCCAAATCCCCCTCTGTGAGAAACAACCAAGAATTATCAATAAAAAAATAAATTTAAAAAAAAAAAAAAAAAAAAAAAGAATTTTATTTTATCAGTAAATTTAGAGAAGAATTAAAAAAAAACAGTGCTTTGGGCAAAATAACAGTGGCACATCAGTACCACCCAAACAAGTGCTTTTCATCATCATCGTTAAAGTCGCAATAGCACCACATGCTTTCCTGGGACCAGGTGGCCTGTTTCCCACTGATATAAAGTGGAGACAGCATTGAAATAGCAAAGGAGGGTGATATAAATTGGATACCTATATAAAATACAAATTTTAATAAAAAGCGTTTGATATTGTAGAACTATAGATGAGACTATTAGTATGAGATCATAATATTTTTACTTCTTTTGACAGAACAACTTCACAATATTCTTATTTCAAAAAATATTCCTTTTTCTGTGCATATTGCCTAGCTTTTGGTCAAATATTACCCGAGCTCCATAGAAATCAATGAAATGAATCTATATTTTGCCACAAGCATTTTATTTCTGATGAATATGCTTGTTTTGCTTAAAATACATTAGCTTTTCATGAAAAATCTACACTTTTCTTTCAGGGTTTTATTTATTGCTGAGAAGTGTCCTGCCAGAAAACTGCTATTCTCAGCTCTACTTACATTGACTAATAGTGAGTGGAAGTGATGTGTGGATAAAAAGCAAATGTGTCTTTTCTACATCTCTTTGTTAATTTATTCACAGAAGAAAGAGGAGGATGCAGATAGAAGATGAAAGAAGACATGATTACTAAAAAATCATGGGGAAGTCTTTTTATCAAGGAAAAAACCATAAGGGATAATGTGAGAAGAAAATATATTATTTTGCTAAGCCTCTGAAATGTCAGTATACAATCTGCATTGCTTTAACAAATATATTATTCCTTCAGTTTTGAGTCTTCAGGATATGATTCAGTTCCCCAGTGAATCAAAACTACAAGGAGAATAACATTTGTTAAGGTAATAGATGTAGGGAAGACCCATTATGTTTGGCCAAAATCTTTTTCACCCCCTGTCGCAGGCAATCATTATTCTACTCTCTGCTTCTATTAGTTTGAATTTTCTTTTACACTCTGCATAGAAATGAGATCTTTTTAAAAATTTTTTTCAATGCTGGCTTATTTTACTTAGCATAATGTCCTTCAGGTTCAATAAGCTTTTTGCAAATAACAAGGCTTTCTTCTTTTTAAGGGCTGAATAGCATTCCATTGTGTAAATATACCACATTTTCTTTATTCATTCAACTGTTGATGAACATTTAGGTTGATTCCATATCTTGGCTATTGTGGCTTTCTTCTTTCTCTTTCATTTTTTTATATCTTCTTTTTTATTTCTAGTGCAGTGATGTGATCTCAGTTCACTGCCACCTCCACCTCCTGGGTTCAAATGATTCTTCTGTCTCAGCCTCCCAAGTAGCCTGGATTACAGGCACACACCACCACACCTGGCTAATTTTTGTATTTTTAGTAGAGATGGTGTTTCACCATGTTGGCCAGGCTGGTCTTGAATTCCTGACCTTGTGAACCACCCACCTCAGCCTCCCAAAGTGCTGGGATTACAGGCATGAGCCACGACGCCTGGACAACTTTGTCATTTTTAGTGATACTCAGATATGTTCCATTGCAGAAAATTGTATTTTATTAGTTATTATTGTGTTTTTTGGACTCATCTACATGGGATGAGTCCTAAGAGATTCAGTTTAAAAAAGTTTTTTTAGGTACATTAAGGACATTATTTATCTTTTGTAACCTGTTCATGTCTATGTCTGTTACTTGCATCAGGCAGTGACTCAAACAATTCTCAAAAAACAGAAAGTATATTTCTCTTAAAGTTGGCTTATTAAGGGACTATGAGGTGATCCAATTCAATAAGAACCAAACTAGACCTACTAAGATTAGTCAGGACTATCAGAGAATTTTTCAAATACATTCACCATTAATCCAGAGATAATTGTGAATCCCAACTTTTACCCTAAGAAAAATTATTGCAATGTAGTAAAGTTGATTCTGTCTTTAAAAAGAAAGAGGAGCACAATGAGATTTCCTGTGGCCAGTTGAAGTTCATGAAGTTTGTCAAAGAATTTCACATACATAGTAAATCTTCTGATAGCATTTAGTTCCAATCACAATAAATTATACTTGTCTCTGTCTTCTATAATTAATCTCTTCTCTCTTTAAAAAACTCTGTATTTTCTGTATAAAAATAGTGATTATTGGCTGTGCACGGTGGCTCACGCCTGTAATCCCAGCACTTTGGCAGGCCAAGGTGGGTGGATTACGAGGTCAAGAGTTTGAGACCAGCCTGACCAACATGGTGAAACCCCATCTCTACTAAAAATACAAAAATTAGCCAGGCATGGTGGCACGCACCTATGATCCCAGCTACTCAGGAAGCTGAGACAGGGGAATTGCTTGAACTCGGGAGGCGGAGGTTGCAGTGAGCCAAAATCATTCCACTGCACTTCAGCCTGGTGACAGAGCAAGACTCTGTCTCAATATAATATAATTATACAATTATAACATCCTAAGTATGTATTTGTTGGGTACACTGTCATATTTTTATGTTTATGCTGTAAAATGTTTAAATCAAGCTAAGTAACAAATTCAGCACCTCACATACTTATTATACTTTTGTGGCAAAAACATTTAAAATATTTTTATACCAATTTTGAAATATACACTGCATTATTATTTATTATAGTCAATATTCTGTGCAATTAATCACTAAATCTTATTTCTCCTAAGTGAAACGTGGTACACTTCCATCAACATTTTTTCTTTCTTCAACCACTTCTTCCCCAGCCTCTGTTACGTTTTTACTTACACTAAGTTACATTAGGGCCATTAATGTAATTAAAGAAATTAAATCTTTTGGTATGCAATAATGATATGAACATAAATAATGTTAAATAACTTTATTAGAAAGTTTGACTAATTAGGCATATAAATAAATGGGCAGCACTTTTGGCTAGTAAACTAAAAATACCCATTATTTTCAAACACCAGACAATTATTTTAAATGGAAAGGTTTTGGGCCTAATATATGTCACTGAATTTATGAAAGCACAAACCCAGGAGGGTAGTATTTTCTGAGCATTGTAAGTAACAATGAAAATTATTGACTAAAGTGAATTCAAGTAATATGTAGCCAAATAAAAATCTCATTAAAAAATTTAAAAGTACTGGATGCAGCAGCTCATGCTTGTAATTCCTGCACTGTGGGAGGCCAATGCAGAAAAATTACTTGAGCCCAGAAGTTTAGACGGTGCCTCAAAAATAAAAATTTTAAATTAAGTTCTTAATCAAATGGAAGATTTAAGCTGAGATCATTTTTATTGATTCAGAACAGTGCTGGCTGGGTGCAGTGGGTCATGCCTATAATCCCAGCACTTTGGGAGGCCGAGGTGGGTGGATCACCTGAGGTAAGGAGTTCCAGACCAGCCTGACCAACATAGAGAAATCCCATCTCTACTAAAAATACAAAATTAGCAGGGCGTGGTGGCGCATGCCTGTAATCTCAGCTACTCGGGAGGCAGAGGCAGGAGAATCGCTTGAACTTGGGAGGCAGGGGTTGTGGTGAGCTGAGATCACATCATTGCTCTCCAGCCTGGGCAACAAGAGCGAAACTCTGTCTCAAAAAAAAAGAAGAGGAAGAAGAAACAAAAGAAATGTGCTAATGGAGAAGCATGGTGATCAAAGCCAAAAACTTGAATTTAGATCAGTAATTTTGCCATTGTCTTACTGATACAGAAAAACAGTATTCTGGCCATATGTAGGTATTAGTCTCTACAGTTAAGTACATTTACTTCAGATATTTGTAAAAATATAAAATCGATTTTTTAGTATTAAAAATTAAGGTATACTGGCCAGGCGTGCTGGCTCTGCCTGTAATCCCAGCACTTTGCGAGGCGAGGCGGGAGGATCATGAGGTCAGGAGATCAAGACCATCCTGGCTAACATGGTGAAACCCCATCTCTACTAAAAAAAAAAAAAAAAAAAAATTAGCCGGGTGTGGTGGCGGGCGCCTGTAGTCCCAGCTACTTGGGAAACTGAGGCAGGAGAATGGCGTGAACCCGGGAGCCAGAGCTTGCAGTGAGCCGAGATCGCTCCACTGCACTCCAGCCTGGGTGACAGAGTGAGACTCCATCTCAAAAAAAAAAAAATTTTTTTTGGTATATTGAGGAAAGAATATGTTCTAACTGATGTAACTTGAGATTTCTCATAAGATGTTATTGTCTGCCACACAAGAAAATTGTAAAATATTTTCCTCAGGTATATGCTGTTGATATTTGTGCATTTTGGAAAGATATTATATATTTGGAAATCTTTAAATATAAAAATAATTTACATGCTAAAATTCTGAGAAAGTTACAAGAACCTTTAAAATCCTGAGTAGAATATAAAGAAACATATGAGAACTTTCCAGGTACAAAAGAAAGCCAAAGGAAGAATCCAGAATGTAATTAAACTAAGAAGCAATTGTTCTTCTTAGATATGGGTGAACACACAAATAAAAAATTTCTGTGGGTTGTCCAACTTGCCATTAGACAAATGAAAAAATAACAACATAAGGGAGGAGGGATAGCATTAGGAGAAATACCTAATGTAAATGACGAGTTAATGGGTGCAGCACGCCAACATGGCACATGTATACATATGTAACAAATCGGCACATTGTGCACATGTACCCTAGAACTTTTAAAAATCACCCTAAAAAAAAATAAAAATCCTTTTCTACAAAAATAAAAATAAAAGTAACAACATAAACTAACTGCAGACATTGCAAACGTAATATCTTTCACAAGCGAGAAACAAATTACAACTTATATTACCCACAGTTACAGGACTTAGGTTTAAAATGTTTAATCCAACACAATGGGGAAAACAGAAAATATACCAATAATGTGAAAAGTACAAGAAGCTACAAGGGTGACAAGTCATATTTGTTTGTTTTTTGTGCATGTGGGGGTTTTTTTGTTTTGTTTTGTTTTTTTGTTTTTTGAGACAGAGTTTCACTCTTGTCGCCCAGGCTGGAGTGCAATGGCATGACCTTGGCTCACCACAACCTCTGCCTCCTGGGTTCAAGTGATTCTCCTGACTCAGCCTCCCAAGTAGCTGGGAATACAGGCACCCACCACCATGCCCAGCTAATTTTGTATTTTTAGTAGAGACGGGGTTTCTCCATGTTGGTCAGGCTGGTCTCCAACTCCCGACCTCGGGTGATCCACCCGCCTCGGCCTCCCAAAGTGCTAGGATTACAGGTGTGAGCCACCACACCCAGCAACAAGCCATATTTGAAAAACAGCCAGCCTTTCCTCAGGCGTCCCGCATCTGCTGATTCCTCCTTCCTGGTCACTGCGTCCTTGGCTGGCATCAGAAAAGTGGCTACAAACTTCCTAGTACATGAGAAGATCTGGTTCAACAAGTTAAAATGTGACAATGCAGAAAGGAGATTCTTCAAGCAGATGAACAAGGCTGTGGCCAGCACCTCCCGCCAGGAGAACGGCGCCAGCATGATCCTCCATGACATTGCGAGAGCCAGAGAGCATTTCCAGAAATCCCTGGCCAGAAGCTCAGGCCCCGGGGCCTCCAGCAGCCCCAGCGGAGACAAGGCTGAGCTCATCTTTCAGATCACCAGTCTGGAAGTGGAGAACCAGAGCCTGCGCAGGGTTGTGCAGGAGCTGCAGCAGGCCATCTCCAAGCTGGAGGCCCCACTGAACGTGCTGGAGAAGAGCTTGCCTGGCCACCACAGCCCTGCAGACCCAGCACGAGTCTCCTATGTGCCAAGTGGAGCCCCTGGCCAAGAAGCCAGCCAAACCAGCAGAGGATGACAAGGACGATGACATTGACCTACAGGGGATAGGCCCCCAAATCTGGCCATAAATTGGCCCCAAAACTGGCCATAAACAAAATCTCTGCACTACTGTGACATGTTAGTGATGGGCATGACAGCCATGCTGACAGTTGTGGGTTTACCGGAATGAGGACAAGAAACACCTGGCCCACCCAGGGTGGGAAATCCACTTAAAGGTGTTCCTGAACTACAAACAATAACATGAGCGACCTGTGCCTTAAGGACATGTTCCTGCTGCAGATAACTAGCCAGAGCCCATCCCTTTGTTTCAGCCCATCGCTTTGTTTCCTGTTTTAGTTAATCTATGATCTATAGAAACAATGCTTATCACTGGCTTGCTGTCAATAAATATGTGGGCAAAACTCTGTTTGAGGTTCACAGCTCTGAAGGCTGTGAGTCCCCTGATTTCCCACTCCACACACTATATTTCTGTGTGTGTGTCTTTAATTCCTCTAGCGCCACTGGGTTAGGGTCTCCCCAACCAAGCTGGTCTTGGCATTGACCTGTTTGGCAGTGACAATGAGGAGGAGGACAGGAGGCAGTACTGCTGCGGGAGGAGCGGCTGCGGCAGTACACAGAGAAAAAGGCCAAGAAGCCCATGCTGGTGGCCGAGTCGTCCATCCTGCTGGACATTAAGCCTTGGGATGATGAGACTAACATGGCCCAGCTGGAGGCCTGTATGTGCTCCATCCAGCTGGACAGGCTGGTCTGGGGGGGCCTCTAAGCTGGTGCCCGTGGGCTATAGTATCCAGAAGCTGCTGGTTCAGTGTGTAGTGGAGGATGACAAGGTGGGGACAGACTTGCTGGAGGAGGAGATCATCAAGTTTGAAGAACACGTGCAGAATGTTGACATTGCAGCTTTCAACAAGATCTGAAGACTGAGTGTGAGTGTGTGTGTGTGTGTGCACGCGTGCATGTGCTTGAGGCCCCGCCATGATTAAAAACTGAGACCGGCAAAAAAAAAAAAAAAAAGAAAAGAAAAGAAAAAACAGCCAAATGTGAAGTAAACAATTGAAAATATAATCAGTCTACTTAATATACAACATATGTGTGAAACATTAAATTAGTCTGAAATGATGAGAAGATTAGTGAACTAGAACACTAAGCAGTAATTAATTACTGTAAAGACAAAAGGAGAAAAGTTATATTAACAAAATCTAAAATATACATGTATGACAGGGAGCATGAGATGGAGTAAAACAAGTCTGATTATTTTTATAGAATATATTTTCAAAATCAAAGTCAGTATTCAGAGTTGGTGACTCATAAGTTTCTAAAATTGAAAAGCAGACATAATTACTTCTCAGCCTTTTGGCTAAAATCAAGTGAAAACCAGATATAAGTGCTTGAATTCAAATGTGCAGTGTTCCAAAAAGAGAAAAATAACAAAATTAATTCCTTAAAATAAAAAAATAAATTACTTAAAACGGGCTGCATAACACCAAGGAGAAGAAAAACACTACAAATCTGTGAGAAGAATAAAGATAATTTACAAAAATGAAAGTAAAGTTTTCAAACCTTGCACAGAGCCAAAAATCAGAGAAATAAATGTTAAAGGAGCTGAGAGAAATTATCATTAAAGTTAGAAATGCATACTTACACTGCAATATTTTTAACACAAATGGGTAAATTAAAATACTTTCCAAAAAACCCACTGGTTTGGTTTTCAATAGGATTCTCTTAAAAGCATACCTAATAAAAATATTGTTTTATTATTATACTTTAAGTTCTAGCGTACATGTGCACAATGTGCAGGTTTGTTACATCTGCATACATGTACCATGTTGGTGTGCTGCACCCATTAACTCGTCATTTACGTTAGGTATATCTCCTAATGCTATCCCTCCCCCCTGCCCCCAACCCAAAAATATTTTTTGTATCTAAAGTTGAAGAAGAAAATGAAAAAGTACAAAAATTGATTTGGAAGCTGGCATGTTCTTTCTCAGGATTTTAGGTAACCGGCAATCTTTCACTCTCATACAACACTCTAGAGTTTAAAAAATATTTTTCTACCTATCTTTTCTCTGATCTTTACATCCTGTGAGGCTCTGCAAAATAGGGGCTTGTGTCCCATTTTGCAATTTAAAAAGCCGAGGCTCAGACAAATGTCACACAGAAAGTTTGGGACAGAACTGGGACTAGAACCCATGACTTGCAAAGTAGTGCTCTTCTCATCCCTAAAGCAGTCATAGGGCTAGGAATACATTAAGACAACAAAAGATAGAGCACTGCTTAATACATTCAACCAAGGTGAGACCTGACGCACCCCAAAATGCTAAGCAGCTCCAGGGCCCTGTGGCAGAGATTTCAAAGTGGAGGGTGATGCTTACATCTGCATATCTGAGCTCCAATACAAACGCTGCCACTCAGCTATAGAACCACACTTTCTGAGCCTCAGCCTTCTCTCCTATAAAATGGCACTACAAAAGGCACCAAAAAGCTCAAGATGAGGGCAAAACAGCATCCTGAATGCAGGAGTGCCTGGAGAGAGTAAAGTACTCATTGACTTTTGATTTAAGCACATGGATAATATACTGTGTTTCATTGTGTCTTCTCCATGGTGTCTGGTTAATGACTGTAGATCCTGGGGTCCTCTGGTCAATCCTAATGCTATGCGATAGAGGCATGAATGGATATAGATGGGTGGATGGACAGGTATGTGGATGCATGGACATGTGCTCAGAAGAGCAGAAAGAAGAAAACAGGGAGTCAAAATGAGAATGAAAAGATGATTGAAGGATCAGGATTGATGGAATACGGCACAGTCTCCAGTCCTCTTGCCCTCACCAAGCCCTACCACCACCTGCCTTGGGTAACAGTGGCATATGCTGTATATGACATCCCTGGTCACCATGACGCTGCTGCAGAAGGTGCTGTAGATCTGAGGCTAATCATAGCTCATTAGGAATGTGCCAAGGGCCAGCAGAAAAATAACCCAACACAATGAAGCTGATGTGGACTGTCTTCTCATCTGCCATGGCTGCCTGGCCAGGCCCTAGACTATCCACCCCTGGCAGAGGGAATGCATGTCCATCCAGCAAAAATACCCAGACAGGGTCACAGGGAAAGATGAAGCTCTAAGTTTGCTGCAAATTGAGGCTTAAAGGTAAAGGAAGAGCAAGAACACTTTAGGTCTGGACCCAGTCCCTAGATGCACAAGTTCATCATGGTTGGAGGCAGAATGGTTAAGTGAACAAGTGCACCCACCCACCCACCCACCTTCACTCCTCACCCTCTTGTTTTCCCATTGGGTCAAGCAGGACTAGAATGCATGTATGAATCTGAGTGAGGGAGCATGCAGGGGAAGGAGAAGGGAAGGCTTTGAAATCACACTACAGTGAAGCAGAACTAGGTAAATGTACTGCCCTACACCTTCCAACCCTGCAAAGAAGCATAAAATTCTGCAGCTGGAAGAGGTTAGCATGAAGCTGACAGATTCCAGGATCCCACAGTCTGGCATTTCAAAGTCCAGAATTTTAAACTCTTCAAGGATATGCGACCATCCAGGGTTCAGACATAATAGATGATATTATTACTAGATGGTGACTGTGTACATGGCACTGTTCTTTTTTTTTTTTTTCTAGAGATGGAGTTTCACTCTTGTTACCCAAGCTGGAGTGCAATGGTGTGACCTTGGCTCACTGCAACCTCCACCTCCCAGGTTCAAGCAATTCTCCTGTCTCAGCCTCCTGAGTAGCTGGGATTACAGGTGCATGCCACCACACTTGGCTAATTTTTGTATTTTCAGTAGAGACGGGGTTTCGCCATGTTGGTCAGGATGGTCTCGAACTCCGGACCTCAGGTGATCCACCCGCCTTGGCCTCACAAATTGTGGAGATTACAGGCATGAGCCACAGCGCCCAGCCCATGGCAATGTTCTAAACATGTTGCATCTATTAACTTATTTAAGAGACCCCCCTGAGGCAGGTGCTACTGTCCTTACTTTATAGAGGAAACTGAGCACAGAGAAGTAACTTGCCTACAGTCACAGAAATGGAAATAGCAGAGAAGCTGAGATGTGAACACAGAGTCTGTGTATCTAGCCACAGTGCAAACCTGCTTAACTGCAGCATGAGGTTATGAGTCCAGGCTCTGATGATGAGGCAGGTTACCTGGGTTTGGATCTTGGCTCTTCCACTGTGGGGCAACATGGTCTTGATCAAGTTCTCTTCCTTTGTTTCAGTTTCCTCCTCTGTAAGATGGACATAATAATAGTATCTCCTAGGATTGGAGCTGTCTTCAGGCTTAGACTTTCTGGGTTTCTCTGTTTTCTTCACACTCTGTGCACCATCCAGACCTACTTTAATGAGCTTCTACCCATCCCCCTCCAGGGCTCTGGTGAACTAATATTTTCAGGGTATAAATGACTGATAACAACTTCCTCAATTTCTGTGGGGGCCTAATCCAGGAAGATGCCATCATCAGATGCCTGAGCCTGCCTCCCGAATGGGCATGCGCCAGTCTCAGGGCACCAGTGAGCCACGGCTCGCATCACAGTGAACACCACCTTTGCCTGGCGACTAGTCCCTGTGGCTTGGCAGAAAAGGAGTCCTCTGTGGAGGTGCGTCAGCGATGGACTCTAGTCTGTCTTCTCTGTGGGATCCACGGGATAGTCCCATGACCCTAGGAGAGGGCAGCGGCGAACCAGCCTGAAGAAACCTCAAGCGGAGCCCCAGGGATACACCGCAAAATCCCTAAGGATGGGGTCCCGCACCTTCACCTGCAAAAAAAGGTGCAGACTGATGACACAGAAGGTGCTTCCAACTCCATCCTTACATTCGCTTCATTACACAATCTGTCCACACCATGGCCCGGTGCCCAGGTGGGAGGACTCCAAAGTGCGGGGAACAGTTGGAAACAGTCGGAGTGCAAACTGCAGCCTTTCCGGCCAGCTCCTGATTTGGGGTTTCATTCCCAGAGCCCCTTGAATCCACCTCCAATTCAGTTCCCAGCCGAGTAGGTGCTTCACGTCGTGAGGCGGGCACTCTTCCATCTTCTGGGGATTTCATTCTGGGACGGAGAGTGTGAGCAGCAGTAAGGTCAGATGGGGGTGAGGATACAGTCTGGTGAAATGTGGTTTGGGTCCCGCATCTTCACCTGCAAAAATGGTGCAGAGAGATGACACAAGAGGTGCTTCCAACTCCACCCCCGCATTCCCTTCATTGCACAAGCTGTCCACGCCATGACCCGGCGCCCAGGTGGGAGGACTCCAACGTGCGGGGAACAGTTGGAGCTCAAACCCCGGCCATTCTGGCCAACTCACGATTTGGGCTTTCATTCCCGGGGCCACATGAAAGTGGGATAGATTGATGCTGGGTGAGATGTGGCCTCCACACTGACATCCTCTTATCCTGACTTCCATGTTCCTCATGGGCCTAGGGTTTCCTGGGTCTGGCTCAAAGTCGTCCACAGTAAACGTTTCCCAGTTCACGGAGGACGACCCTCATGGGGATCCATTGCATGAGTGTTTCCTTCTAAACACTGTCATGTTTTAATGACTGGGCAGCTGTGATATTTTGGAGCCATAAATTCCCGTTATATCCACCAACAAGGAAACTGTTGTTCTCCCACTTCTATTGGAGGGCTGCATGACTCCTGTAGGATGAGAAGTAGGCAGCCATGTCTGGCTTTTGACTGGTAATCTAGGCCCTGTTTCATTTCATCTGCACGTCCTTTCTAATTGTGAAGAAGGTCTCTCATTGGGCTGTTGCTGGGTGGGACAGCCTCTGTATACGGTATTTGGCTGCCACGGATTTCAGGAAGCAACAGGGACTTGGAGTAGGCTGGCTGCACTCTAGGTTGTGAATAGTGGCCTCCTTGTGGGCGCTGGGATTGTTTGCACTTTGAGGAGGCTCTCGGGTTTTCTGGCAGGAATCCTTGAACGGGAGGCTTGGGCTCCAGCACAAGCCCTCTTGTCCTCCCAGGCTAGCCTTGATTTTCCTTAGCTTTCATGGGGGGGGGTCCACAATGCCCCTCAACAGCACTCCTGGACACCCTTTTCAGGATTGCAATCGCCCCATATGGCCTCTGAGACACTCTCTCAACCTCATCTGCCCCCATGGGATGCCAGTTACAGGTGTGAGACCTCTGCTCCACTTTGGACTTGCCTTTGTCGTGGTTCCTGCCTTTTCCAGATAGCAGTGCTGAGAAGCAGAAGCCCCTTGGAGGCCCAGGATGAAGGGAGTCAGTGAGCTCAAGGGCCTGGCATTCTTCTGCTGACACCCTCCTCTGGGATCTCAGGTATGATTCCATCACCCGGATACCCCTCAACATCTCACCAGACTGTATACCCATCCTTCTGGGACCTGATTCCTGCACACAGCCTCTTTGGGGAAAGGAGTCAGAAGAACAGTTTCCAGCGCCCAACTTACAGTCTCGAAACGCCTCCTCCTCCAGCGGGATGAACCACGGAGACGCCCCAAAGAGGCTGTACTGTCGAGACTTCTAGGGTCCCACAGTGGGTTGTCGCAGGCAGCCTTTTTCTTTAGATCAGACCGGCTATGCCCGTACTATTTTCCCCTGCTTAGGCAGGCTGACATCCCTGACAGCTGGGCGCCCGAGCCGGCCTCGCGAATGCACATACGCCAGTTGCGGGGCACCAGGCACGAGTGGTGAGCTGCGGCTGTCGTCACAGTGAACGCCACCGTTGCCTGGCCACGGGTCCCTGCGGCTTGGCAAACCAGTAGACTTCTGTGGACGTGCATCGCCGCTGGACTCTCACCCGTCTTCTCTGAGAGATCCACGGGATAGTCCCCTGATCCTAGAATTGGGCAGGGCCGACCCAGGGTGAAGAAACCTCAAGCGGACTCCCAGGGCTGCAGATCGAAATCCCTAAGGATCCCAGGGGACCCGCAGGATGTGTCAGGCATGCCTAGGCGGTGTGGGGGTGAGTCTATTTGATAGTTGCCCCCCGGTGATTTCTAGGTAAACCCTGCCTGTGTTTCCCGGGGCTGCTCTCTCCCCGGAGGGACTTCCTGGTGGAGCAGAACCGGGTTGCCTCAGAATGTGCTGGGTTGTGTATTTCTGTGGGAGTGTTGCAAGTGTTTGATGTCTGTGTGTGTATGTCTGTGTGTGTGTTTCTGTGTGTGCCTGGAAGTGGGGTTGGTTAAAGGATCTGGCTTGCGCACTGGAGCGCTTGTTCTTTCGAGTCGGTCAATCTTCTTGTGCGCCTCTCTGTGTGCCTCCGCTTTGGCTGTGGGGCTTCGTGTTTCTTCTTTTCCCCGTGGTTCCTGAAACCGTGGTGAAGTGGGGAGCTGACTGAGACCCGCAGGGGTACAAATCACTTTTCCCTGCAAAGGAGCCACTCTTCTAGAAATAAGAGAAGCATACCACACCTGAGAAAAGACACTTCCCAGGTACTCATTGTCCTGAGGCCAACCCTGGGCCAGACCATAGGAGTCCTGTTTGCAGGGCTCCTTGAATCCAATCGAATTCGGTTCCCAGTAGAGAAAGAGCTTCAGGTCTTAAGGCGGGCGCTCCTCCATCGTCTTGATATTTCATTTCGGGTGGGAGAGTGTGAGCCTCAATAATACGGGTGAGGATATAGTCTGGTGAGGTATGGATGGGGTCCTGAACCTTCACCTTCAGAAGAGAAGCAGACAGATGGCATAGGAGCTGTTTCCAACTCCATCTCCACATTCTCTTCATTGCACAACCTGTCCACAACATAGCCCGGTTCGGAATAAGGAGGACCCCAAAGTGCCAGGAACCGCTGGAGCCCAAACTGTGGCCTTTCTGGCCAGCTCCTCCCTTGGACCTTCACTCCCGGAGCCACATAGCAGTAGGGTGAACGACTGATGCTACCTGGGCTTTTGATTCCACTCTGGCCTTCTCTTTTCCTGACTTCCATGCTCCTCATGGGCCTACAGTTTCCTGGGTCTGGCTCAAAGTCTTCCACAGTAAATATTTCCCACTTCACAGAGGACGACCCTTATGGGGATGCATTGCATGAATATTTCCTTCTAAACACTGTCAGGTTTTAAGGACTGAGCAGCTGTGATAGTTTTGGAACCGTGGATTCCCGTTATATCTGCCAACAAGGAAACTTCTGCTCTCCCTATTCCATTGGAGGGCTGCATGATTCCTATAGGATGAGAAGTAGCCAGCCATGTCTGGCATTTACTTGGTAATGGAGGCTCTGTTTTATTTCATCTGCATGTCCTTTTACATTGTGGACAGGGTCTTTCAATGGGCTGTTGCTGGGTGGGCCTTCCTCTTCTCAGGGATCTTCTTGGCAGCCATGGTTTTCAGGGATCAAAAGGGACTGCAGTTCCGCTGGCTGCAGGCCAGGTTGTGGGTAGTGATCTAGTTGTGGGGGCTGGGTTGGTTTGCACTTTGCAGGAGGCTCTTGGTTCCACAGGCAGCAATCTCTCAACGTGGGTTGGACTCCAGCATGGGCCCTCCGGTGCTCCCAGGTGAGCCTTGATTTTCATTTGCTTTCATGGACGGTCCACAGTGCCCCTCATCAGCACTCCTGGATACACTTATCAGGCTTGCAATCGCCCCCAGACGGCTTCTGAGACACTCTCTCAACCTCATTTACCCCCGTGGGGTGCCAGTTCCAGGCCTGAGACCTCTGCTCCACCTTGGACTTGCCTTGGATGTGGTTCCTGCCCTTTCCAGACAGCCGTGCAGAGAGGCAGGGGTCCCTGGGAGGCCCAGGATGAAGGGAGGCAGTGAGCTTAAGGGCCTGGCAATTTTCTGCTGACACCCTCCTCTGGCGTTTTAGCTAAAATTTCATCTTTCAGAGACCTCTCAACCACTCACCAGACTGCATCCCCAGCCCCATGGGACCCAACTCCTGCACACAGCCTCTTTCGGGAATTGAATCAGAAGAGCAGTTTCCAGCGCCCACCTCACAGTCTCAAAGCGCCTCCTACTCCAGCAGGGTCGACCACCGAGACGCCCCAAAGAGGCTGTACGGTCAAGACTTTAAGGGTCCCTCGGTGTTTGTCATAGGCAGCCTTTTCCCCGAGACCAGGCCGGCTCTGCTTGTACCATTTTCCTCTGCTTAGGCAGGCTGACAGCCCTGACAGCCAGGTGCCCCAGCCTACCTCGCGAATGCCCATGCTCCAGTCGCAGGACACCTGGCGGAAGCGGGGAGCCCTGGCTCGCATCACAGTGAAGGCCACCTTTGCCTGGTGACGAGTCCCTGCGGCTTGGCGGAGCAGGAGACCTCTGTGAACATGCGTCGGTGTTGGACTCACACCTGTCTTCACTGGGGAATCCACCGGATAGTCCCGCGTTCCTAGAAGTGGTCAGTGCCGACCCAGCCTGAAGAAACGTCAAGCGGAGCCCCGGGGATGCAGCACGAAATCACTAAGGATTTCAAAGGATGCACAGGTTGCTTCAGGCCTGCCTAGACGGTGTGGGGGTGAGTCTCTTTGAAAGTTTCCCTTCTGTGATTTCTAGGTACAGCCTGCCTGTGTTCCCCGGGGCTGCTCTCTCCCGGGAGGGTCTTTTTGGTGGAACAGAACCGCGCAGCCTCAGCAGCTGCTGGACTGTGTGTTTCTTTGGGACTGTTGCGAGTGTTGGATGTCTGCGTGTGAGTGTGTGTGTGTGTTTCTGAGTGTGTGTGTAATTGGGGTCTGGTGAAAGGATGCTTCTCACCCACTGGTGCGCTTGTTTGAGTGGGCTGACCTTCTGGTACGCCTCTCTTTGTGGCTCCGCTTGGGTGGCGGGGCTGCGTGTTTTTCGTTTTCCTCGTGGTTCCTGAAACCACGGTGAAGTGGGGGGCTGGCTGACACCCACAGGAGTTCAAATCAAATTTTCCTCAAAGGAACTTCTCTTCTAGAAATCAGAGGAGCAAACCACTCACAAGAACAGACACCTCCCAGGACATCCTTTTCCTGAGGCCAACACTAGGCCAAATCAAAGGAGTCCTGTCCGCAGGGCCCCTTGAATCCACTTTGAATTCTGTTCCCAGCAGAGAAGGAGCTTCAAGGTGGTGAGGCACGCACTCCTCCATCGTCTTGGGATTTCATTCTGGGTCGGAGAGTGTGAGCAGCAATAAGGACGGACACAGGTGAGGATACAATCTGGTGTATCTGACTGGATGAGATCCCGAACTTTCACCTTCAGGAGAAATGCAGACAGATGTTATAGAAGGTGCTTCCAGCTCCATCCCCGCATTCCCTTCATTGTAGAAGCTGTCCACATCATCTCCTGCTTCAGAAAAAGGAGGACTCCAACGTGCAGTGAACTGTTGGAGCACAAACTGTGGCCTTTCTGGCCGGCTCCCCCCTTGGACTTTCATTCCTGGAGCCACATGGCAGTGGGATGGATGATTGATGTTGCCTGGGCATTGGCTTCACCTCTGGCCTTCTCTTTTCCTGACTTCATGCTCCTCATGGGCCGAGGGTTTCCTAGGTCTTGCTCAAGGTCTTCCACAGTAAATGTTTCCCAGTTCACAGAGGACAACCCTCATGGGGGTCCATTGCATGAGTGTTTTCTTCCAAACACTGTCACATTTTAATGACTGGGCAGCTGTGATACTTTTGGAAACATGGATTCCCGTTATTTCCTCTAACAAGGAAACTTGTTCTCTCTATTCCATTGGAGTTCTGCATGATTCCTATAGGATGAGAAGTAGCCAGCCATTTCTGGATTTTGCCTGGTAATCTAGGCTGTGTTTCATTTCACCTGCACGTCCTTTTTCATTGAGAAAAGGGTCTTTCATTGGGCCGTGGCTGAGTGGGACTTCCTGTCGCCACGGATCTTCTTGGCTGCCAGGATTTCAGTGATCAAAAAAGACTGCTTTTCGGCTGGCTGCAGGCCAGGTTGTGGGTAGTGATCTCATTGTGGGGGCTGAGGTGGTTTGCACTTGGCAGGAGGCTCTTTGGTCCGCTGGCAGCAATCCTTCAACGTGGCTTGGATTCCAGCACAGGACGATTGTGCTCCCAGGTGAGACTTGATTTTTCTTTGCTTTCATGGGGGATCCACAGCGCCCCTCAACAGCACTCCAGGACACCCTTTTCAGGCTTGCAGTAATCCCCAGACGGCCTCTAAACCTCATCTGCCCCCATGGTTTTCCAGTTTCAGGTGTGAGACCTCTGCTCCACCTTGGACTTGCCTTTGACATGGTTCCTGCCTTTCTCAGAGAGCCATGCTGAGAAGCAGGAGCCACTGAGAGGCCCAGGATGTAGGGAGACAGTGACCTCAAGGGCCTGGCAGTTTCCCACTGACACCCCCCTCAGGCATTTTACCTAGGACTACATCACCCAGAGACCCCTCAATAACTAACCAGACTGTATCCCCAGCCCCACGGGACCCGATTCCAGCACAATGCCTCTTTCAGGAATGGAATCAGAAGAGCAGTTTCCAGCGCCCACCTCACAGTCTGGAAGTGCCTCTTCCTCCAGTGGGACCGACCATGGAGACAGCCCGAGGAGGCCCTATGGTCAAGACTTTTAGTGTCCCTCAGTGGTTGTTGCAGGCAGCCTTTTTCCCGAGACCAGGCTGGCTCTGCCTGCACCATTTTCCTCTGCTTAGGCAGGTTGACAGCCCTGACAGCCAGGTGCCCCAGCCTGCCTCGCGAATGCGCATGAGCCTGTCGCGGGGCACCAGACGAGAGCGGTGAGACGTCTCCCGCGTCACAGTGAACGCCATGGTTGCCTGGCGACGGGTACCTGAGGCTTGGCGGAACAGGAGACCTCTGTGGAGGTGAGTCACCATTGGACTGTAGCCTGTCTTCTCTGAGGGATCCATGGGATAGACCCGCGATCCTAGATGTGGGCATGGCCGATCCAGCCTGAAGAAACGTCAAGCGGAGCCCCAGGGATACAGCCCGAAATTCCTGAGGATCCCAAAGGATCCGCAGGATGCTTCAGGCCTGCCTAGACGGTGTGGGGGTGAGTCTCCTTGAAATTTGCCCCACTGTGATTTCTAGGTACAGCCTGCCTGTGTTCCCCAGGGCTGCTGTCTCCCCGGAGGGGCTTTCTGGCAGAGCAGAACCGTGCGGCCTCAGAAGTTGCTGAACTGTGTGTTTCTGTGGGAGTGTTGCGAGTGTTAGATGTCTGCGTGTGTGTTTCTGTGTGTGCGTGTAAGTGGCACCTGCTGAAAGGATGTAGCTCACGCACTGGAACGCTTGTTCTTTCGAGTCGGTCGACCTTTTGTGCGCCTCTGTGTGGCGCCGCTTGGGCTGTGAGGCTGCCTGTTTTTTGTTTTCTCCGCGGTTCCTAAAACCGCGGTGAAGAGCGGGGCTGGGTGAGTGAGATACGCAGGAATCCAAATCACCTTTCCCTGCAACGGAGCCACTCTTCTAGAAAATAAGAGGAGCACACCACACTCAAGAACAGACACCTCCCAGGGCCTCATTTATCTGAGGCCAAACCTGGGCCAAAGCATAGGAGTCCTGTCCGCAGGGCCCCTTGAGTCCACTTCGAATTCGATTACCAAAAGAGAAGGAGCTTCAGGTCATGAGGCCGGCACTCCACCATTGTCTTGGGATTTCATTCCGGGTCAGAGAGTGTGAGCAGCAATAAAGTCGGATATGGCTGAGGATAAAATCTGGTGAGGCAGGGCTGACCTGATGAGGTGTGGATAGGGTCCGGAAACTTCCCCTTCAGGAGAGGTGCAGACAGATGTCACAGAAGGTGCTTCCAACTCCATCCTCGCGTTCCCTTCATTGCACAAGCTTTGCACACCATAGCCCGCTTCAGAGGAAGGAGGAAGCCAACATTCGGGAAACCATTGCAGCACAAACTGTGGCCTTTCTGGCCCACTCTCCCTTTGGACTTACATTCCTGGAGCCACATGGCAGTGGGATGGATGATTGATGCTGCGTGGGCTTTAGCTTCCACTCTGGCCTTAATCTTTTCCTGACTTCCATGCTTCTCGTGGGCCTGGGGTTTCCATGATCTGGCTCAAAGTCTTCCACAGTAAACGTTTCCCAGTTCACGGAGGATGACCGTCATGGATATCCATTGCATGAATGTTTCCTTCTAAACACTGTCACGTTTTAAGGACTGCGCAGCTGTGATACTTTTGGAACCATGGATTCCCGTTATTTCCACCACCAACAACAAAAAACGCTTGTTCTCCCTATTCCATCGGAGGGCTGCACGATTCCTATAGGATGAGAAGTAGCCAGCCATGTCTGGCTTTTGCCCGGTAATCGAGGTTGTGTTTCATTTCATCTGAACATCCTTTGTCATTGTGGAGAGGGTCTTTCATTTCACTGGGTGGTGCTTCCTCTTGCCACGGATCTTCCTGGCTTCCAGAGATTTCAGGGATGAAAAGGGACTGCAGTTTGGCTGGCTGCAGGCCCGGTTGTGGGTAGTGATTTAGTTGTGAGGACTGAGGTGGTTTGCATTTTGCAGGAGGCTCTTCGATCCACTGGCAGGAATCCCTCAGTGTGGGTTGGACCCCAGCACGGGTTCTCTCGTACTCCCAGGCAAGCCTTGATTTTTCTTTGCTTTCATGAGGGTCCACAGTGCTTCTCAGCAGCACTCCTGGACACCTTTTCCAGGCTTGCAATCGCCCCCAGACAGCTTCTGAGACACTCTCTCAACCTCATCTGCCCCCGTGGGATGCCAGTTCCAGGCGTGAGACCTCTGCTCCACCTTGGACTTGCCTTTGACATGGTTCTGCCTTTCCCAGAGAGCCGTGCTGAGAAACAGGAGCCCCTAGGAGGCCCACGATGAAGGGAGGCAGTGAGCTCAAGGGTCCTGCAATCTTCCACTGACACCATCCTCTGTAGTTTTAACTAGGATTCTATCTCCCAGAGACCCCTCAACAACTCACAAGACTGTATTCCCAGCCCCATGGGACCCAACTCCTGCACACAGCCTCTTTTGGCAACGGAATCAGAAGAGGAGTTTCCAGTACCCACCTCACAGTCTCTAATCGCCTCCTCCTCCAGCGGGACACGACCACGGAGATGGCCAGAAGAGGCCCTATGGTCGAGACTTTTAGGGTCCCTCAGTGTTTGTCGCATGCAGCCTTTATTCCGAGATCAGGCCGGCTCTGCCTGCTCCGTTTTCCTCTGCTTAGACAGGCTGACAGCCCTGACAACCTGTCGCCCGAGTGCGCCTCGCGAATGCGCATGCGCCAGTAGCGGGGCTCCAGGCGCGAGCCCTGAGCTGCGTCTCGCCTCACAGTGAACGCCACTGTTGCCTGGCGACGGGTCCCTGCGTCATGGCGGAGAAGGGGACCTCTGTGGACGTGCATCGCCGTTGGACTCTCGCCTGTCTTCTCTGAAGGATCCATGGGATAGTCCCGCGATCCTAGAAGTGTGCTGGGGCGACCCAGCCTGAAGAAACCTCAAGCGGAGCCCAAGGGATACAGCGCAAAATTCCTAAGGATCCGCAGGATGCTTCAGGCCTGCCTAGACGGTGTGGGTGTGAGTCTCCTTGAAACTTGCCCCCCTGTGATTTCTAGGTACAGCCTGCTTGTGTTCTCCGGGGCTGTTCTCTCCCCGGAGGGGCTTTCTAGTAGAGCAGAACCTCCCAACCTCAGAAGTTGCTGGGCTGTGTGTTTCTGTGGGAGTGTTGCGAGTGTTGGATGTCTGCGTGTGTGTGTGTGTGTCGGTGTGGGTGTGTGTGTGTTTCTGTGGGTGCGTTTAAGCGGCGTCTGCTGAAAGGATGTGGCTCACGTGGCTCACGCACTGGAACGCTTGTTCTTTTGAGTCGGCTGACCTTTGGTGCGCCTCTCTGTGTGGTTCCGCTTGGGCTGCGGGGCGGCGTGTTTGTTTTTCCCGTGTTTCCTGAAACTGTGGTGAAGTGGGGGGACTGGCTGAGACACCAGGGGTTCAAATCACCTTTCCCTGCAATGGAGCCACTCTTCTAGAAATAAGAGGAGCACACTACACCCAAGAAGGAACACCTCCCAAGGCCCCATTGTCCTAAGGACAACCCTGGGCCAAAGCATAGGAGTCCTGTCCGCAGGGCCTATTGAATTCACTTCGAAATCCGTTGCCAGCAGAGCAGGAGCTTCAGGTGGGGAGGCGAGCACTCCTCCATCGTCTTGGTATTTCATTCTGGTCGGAGAGGTCCGATACGGGTGAGAATACAATCTGGTGAGGTGTGGTTGGGATCCCGAACCTTCCCCTTCAGGAGAGGTGCAGACAAATGTCACAGAAGGTGCTTCCAACTCTAGTCCTGCATTCCCTTCATTGCAGAAGCTTTGCACACCGTAGCCGGATTCCAAGCAAGGAGGAATCCAACATTTGGGGAACCACTGGAGCCCAAACTGTGGCCTCTCTGGCCGGCTCTTCCTTTGGACTTTCATTCCCGGAGCCACATGGCAGTGGGATGGATGACTGATGTTTCCTGAACTTTAACTTCCACTCTGGACTTCCCTTTTCCTGACTTCTATGCTTCTCCTGGGCCTAGGGTTTCCATGGTCTGGCTCAAAATCTTCCACAGTAAACATTTCCAGGTCACAGAGGATGGCCTTCATTGAAATCCATTGCATGACTCATTCCTTCTGAGCACTGTCACGTTTTAATGACTGGGCAGCTGCGATACTGTTGGAACGGTGGATTCCAGTTATTTCCACCAACATGGAAACTCTTGTTTTCTCTATTCCATCAAAGGGCTACATGATTCCTATAGTATAAGAAGCAGGCAGCCATGTCTGCCTTTTGCCTGGTAATCTAGGCTGTGTTTCATTTCATCTGCACATCCTTCCTCATTGTGGAGAGGGTCTTTCATTGGGTTGTTGCTGGGTGGTACTTCCTCTCACCGTGGATGTAGTTGGCTGCCAGGGATTTCAGAGTCAAAAGAGACTGCAGTTCAGCTGGCTGCAGGCCAGATTGTGGGTAGTGATCTCGTTGTGGGGACTGGGGTGGTTTGCATTTTGCAGGAAGCTCCTGGGTGCACTAGCAGGAATCCCTCAAAGTGGGTTGGACTCTAACACGGGCCCTCTGGTTCTCCCAAGCAATACTTGATTTTCCTTTGCTTTTATGGAGGGTCCACAGTGCCCCTCAACAGCACTACTGGACATGTTTTTCAGGCTTGAAATCGCCCTTAGACAGCCTCTGAGACACTTTCTCAACCTCACCTGCCCCGGTGGGATGCCAACTCCAGGTGTCAGACCTCTGCTCCACCTTGGACTAGCCTTTGTCGTGGTTCCTGCCTTTCCCAGACGACCGTGCTGAGAAGCAGGAGCCCCTGTGAGGCCCAGGATGAAGGAAGACAGTGAGCTTAAGGACACAGGAATCTTCCGCTAGCACCATCATCCAGAATTTTAACTAAAATTCCATCTCAAAGAGACCCCTCAAAAACTCACAAGACTGTATCTCCAGCCCAATGGGACCCGATTCCTACACACAGCCTTTTTCGGGAATGGAATCAGAAACGCAGTTTCCATGGCCCAACTCACAGTCTCAAAGCCTGTCCTCCTCCAGCGGGACAGGGCCACGGAGACAAACTAAGGAAGCCCTACGGTGAGCAACGTTGGGGGCCCGCAGTACTTGTTGCAGGCAGCCTATTTCCTGAGACCAGGCAGGCTCTGCCTGCACCATTTTCCTTGCTTAGGTAGGCTGAAAACCCTGACAGCCTGGTGACCGAAACTGCCTCATGCATGCACCAGTGGCGGGGCACCAGGAGCAAGTAGTGAGCGCGGGCTCGAGTCACAGTGAATGCCTTCGTTGCATCTCGACAAGTCTCTGACTCTTGGCAAAGAGGGGGTCCTCTGTGACGTGCGTCGAAGTTGGACTTCCGGTTGTCTTCTCTGGGGATCCATGGGATACTCCCACGATCCAGGATACAATAGAGGCAGACCATTCTGAGGAAATGTCAAGGTAAGGCCAAGGGATACATCGCGAAATCCCTAAGAATCCAAAAAGATCGGCAGGATGCTTCAGGCATGCCTAGACGGAGTGGGGGTGAGTCTCCTTGAAAGTTGCACTTCTATGATTTCTGACTACAGCACTCTTGTATTCCCTGGGGCTGCCCTCCCCAGGAGGGGCTTCCTGGCGAAGCAGAACCGCGCTGCCTCAGAAACTGCCGGGCTGGGTGTTTCTGCGGGAGTGTTGGGAGTGTTGGCTGCCCGCGTGTGATGGCGGCTGTGTGTGTGTGTGTCTGTGTGCCTGTATGTGGCGTCAACTGAAAGGAATATGGCTGAAGCACTGCAGCCCTTTTTTTTTCGAGTCGCCCCACCTTCTGGAAGCCTCTCTGTGCGAAAGGGCTTGGGCTGCGGGGCTCCGTGTCCTTTACTTTTTCTGTGGTTACTGAATCCGCTATAAATTGGCGGGCTAGCTGAGATGCGACGGGCCCCAAATTATATCCCCATGCAAAGCAGCAACTCTTCTAGAAAGCAGAGGAGCACACTACACCCAAGAACAGAAACCCCCGAGTGCCTCCTTTTCCTGTGGCCAACCCAGGGCCAGACCCCAGCAGTCCTGTGCCCAGGACTCCTTGAATCCGCCTCGATTTTGGTTCTCAATCGAGCAGGCACTTCACGTCGTGAGGCGGGCACTCCTCCATCGTCTCGGGATTTCATTCCGGGGACGGAGAGTGTGAGCTGCAGTTAGGTCAGATGGGGTGAGGATGCAATCTGGTGAGGTGTGGATGGGGTCCCGCACCTTCATCTGCTAAACAGGTGCGGACAGATGATACAGAAGGTGCTTCCAAATCCACCCCCGCATTCCCTTCGTCCACAGGCCGTCCAAACCATAGCCCAGTGCCCAGCTGGGAGGATTCCAACCTGCCAGGGAACAGTTGGAGTGCAAACCCAGGCCATTCTGGCCAGCTCCCGATTTCCGCAGTCATTCCGGGAGCCACAGGGGAGTGGGATGGACTGAGGCTGGGTGGGATGTGGCCGGCACACCAGCCTCCTCTTTTCCTGACTTCCATGTTTCTCGTGGGCCTAGGGTTTCCTGGGTCTGGCTCAAAGGCTTCCACAGGAAACGATTCCCTGTCCACGGAGGACGACCCTCATGGGGACAATTGAATGAGTGTTTCCTTCTAAACACTGTCACGGTTTAAGCACTAGGCTGCTGTGATACTTTTGGAAGGGTAAATTCCCGTTACATCCGCCAACAAGGAAGCTCTGGTTTTCCCACTTCTATCAGAGGGCTGCATGATTCCTGTAGGATGAGAAGCAGGCAACAGTGTCTGGCTTTTGCCGGGTAATCTAGGCTCTGTTTCATTTCATCTGCACATCCACTGTCCTTGTGGGGGGGCTGTTGCTGGGTGGGACTTCCTCTCACCCCAGATCTTGGCTGCCAGGGACTTCAGGGGGCACAAGGGACTTGGAGTAGGCTGACTTCACTCCAGGTCATGGGTCGTGGTCTCTTTGTGGGGGCTGGGGTTGTTTGAACTCTGCGGGAGGCTCTTGGGTCCTCTGGCAAGGATCCGTGAGCTTGACTTGGACTCCAGCCCAAACCCTCTAGTTCTGCCAGGCGAGTCTTGATTTTCTTGTGCTTTCACGGGGGATCCACAGTGCCCCTCAGCAGCACTCGTGGACACCCATTTCAGTCTTGCAATCGCTGTAGACGGACTCTGAGACACTCTCTGATCCTCACGTGCCCCCGTGGGATGCCAGTTCCAGGGGTGAGACCTCTTCTCCACCGTGTCCTTTCCTTTGTCGTGGTTCCTGCTTCTCCCAGATTGCCCGTGGGTGCTGAGAAGGGGGAGCCCCTAAACGGCCCGGGATGAAGGGAGGCCGTGAGCTCAAGGGCCCCGCAATCTTCCGCTGACACCCTCCTCTGGGGTCGCAGGTATGAATCCATCACCCGGAGACCCCTCAACAACTCACCAGACTGCATTCCCAACCCCCTGGGACCCGATTCCTGCACACAGCCTTTTTCGGGAAGGGAGTCCCAAGAGCAGCTTTCAGCGCCCACCTCACGGTCTCCAATCGCCTCCTCCTCCAGGGGGAGCCGACCACGGAGACGCCCCAGGAGGCCCTGTGGTCGAGACTTTTATAGTCCCGCAATGGTAGTCGCAGGCAGCCCTTTTCCTGACCAGGCCGTCTCTGCCTGCACCATTGTCCTTGCTTAGGCGGGCTGACAGCCCCGACAGCCTGGCGCCCGAGGCAGCCTCACGAATGCGCATGTGCCAGTGGCGGGGCACAAGGCGCCAGCGGCGAGCACTGGCTTGCTTCACAGTGAACGCCTTCGTTGCCTGGCGACTAGTCCCTGCGGCTTAGCGGAGAGGGGGCGTCGGCGTTGGGCTCTCGCCTGTCTTCTCTGGGGGGATCCTCGGGATACTCCCACGATCTAGGACAGGGCAGGGGCGAGCCAGCCTGAGGAAACGTCAAGGGAAGGCCCAGGGATACACCGCGAAATCCCTAAGAATCCAAAAGGATCCGCAGGAGGCGTCAGGCCTGCCTAGACGGAGTGGGGTGAGTCTCCTTAAACGTTGCCCCCCTGTGATTTCTGACTACAGCAGGCCTGTGTTCCCCGGGGCTGCCCTCTCCCGGGAGGGGCTTCCCGGCGGAGCAGAACCGCGCTGCCTCAGAAGCTGCCGGGCTGTGTGTTTCTGCGGGAGTGTTGCGAGTGTTGGCTGCCCGAGTGTGTATGCGGCTGTCTGTGTGTGCGCGTGTGTGTGTTTCTGTGTGTGTCTGTGTGCGTGAAGGCGGCGTCCGCTGAAAGGAATATGGCTCAAGCACTGCAGCGCTTTTTCTTTTTTTTCCGAGTGGCCCGACCTTCTGGTACGCCTCTGTGCGGCTCTGCTTGGGCTGCGGGGCTCCGCGTCCTGTATTTTTTCCGTGGTTCCTGAATCCGCGGTGAATTGGGGGGCTGGCTGAGACGCGCAGGAGCCCAAATCACCACCCCCCCCTCACCAAGCAGCAACTGGTCTAGAAAGAAGAGGAGCACACCACACCCAAGAAGAGAAACCTCCGAGCGCCTCCTTTTCCGGTGGCCAACCCAGGGCCAGACCCTAGCAGTCCTGTGCGCAGGGCTCCTTGAATCCACCTCGAATTCGGTTCCCAGCCGAGCAGGCGCTTCACGTCGTGAGGCGGGCACTCCTCCATCGTCTCGGGATTTCATTCCGGTAATGGATAGTGTGAGCAGCAAGTAGGTCAGATAGGGGTAAGGATGCAATCTGGTGAGGTGTGGATGGGGTCCCGCACCTTCATCTGCTAAACAGGTGCGGACAGATGATACAGAAGGTGCTTCCCACTTCACCCCCGCATTCACTTCGTCGCACAAGCCGTCCACACCATGGCCCGGTGCCCAGGTGGGAGGACTCCAACGTGCCGGGGAATAGTTGGAGCAAACCCTGACCATTCTGGCCATCTCCCAATTTCGGCTGTCATTCCCGGAGCCACATGAAGTTTGAATGGACTGAGGCTGGGCGTGATGTGTCCTGCACCCCGGCCTCCTCTTTTCCTGACTTCCATTTTTCTCGTGGGCCTAGAGTTTCCTTGGTCTGGCTCAAAGGCTTCTACAGTAAACCTTTCCTTGTTCACAGAGGACGACCCTCATGGGGACCATTGTATGAGTGTTTCCGTCTAAACACTGTCACGTTTTGCGGACTAGGCAGCTGTGATACTTTTGGAACAGTAAATTCCTGTTACATCCGCCAACAACGAAACTCTTGTTCTCCCACTTCTATAGGATTGCAGCATGATTCCTATATGATGGGACCTAGGCTGCCAAGTCTGGCTTTTGCCTAATATTCTAGGCTCTTTTTCATTTCATCTGCACGTCTTTTCTCATTGTGGATTTCGTTGGTCTTTGGGCTGTTGCTGTATGTGAGTGCCTCTCACCACAGATCTTTTGCTTGCCAGGGATTTTAGGGATCTCAAGGGTTTTTCAGTAGTTTGGCTGCACTCCAGGTTGTGGGTAGTCGTCTCATTTTGGGGGGCCGGATTTTTTGCACTTTACAGGAGTCTCTTGGGTTTCTGGCAAGAATCCATGAACATGGGTTTGACTCCAGCACAAACCCTCTCATTCTCCCATTTGAGCCTTTATTTCCCTTTGCTTTCATGGGGGATCCACAGTGCCCCTCAACAGCACTCCTGGGCACCCGTTTCAGTCTTGCAATCACCCCAGACGGTTTCTGAAACTCTCTCTCAACCTTATGTGTCCTTGTTGGATGCCAGTTCCAGGTGTGAGACCTCTTCTCCGTCTTGGACTTGCCTTTATTGTCGTTCCTGCCTTACCCAGACAGCCGCGCTGAGAAGCAGGACTCCCTGGGGGGCCCTGGATGAACGGAGGCAGTGAGCTCAAAGGCCTCACAGTCTTCCACTGACACCCTCCTCTGGGGTCTCAGGTATGATTCCATCACCCGGAGATCCCTCAACAACTCACCAGACTGTATTCCCTTCTCCCTGGGACCGGATTCTTGCACACAGACTCTTTCGGGAATGGAGTCCAAAGAGAAGTTCCCAGCGCCCACCTCACATTCTCGAATCGCCTTTTCCTCCAGCGGGACCCGACTAATGAGACGGCCCGAGGATGCCCTATGGTAGTTACTTTTAGGCTTCCACAGTGATTGTCGCAGGCAGCATTTTCCCTAGACTAGGCCGGCTCTGCCTTCCCATTTTCCTCTGCTCAGGCAGGCTGACAGCCCTGACAGCCCTGACAGCCTGGCCCCAGCACCTGCCTCGCGGATTCGCATGCGCCAGTCGCGGGACACCTGTCGCGAGCGGTGAGCCTTGGCTCGCGTGTCAGTGTATGCCACCGTTGCCTGGTGACAAGTTTCTCCCTCTTGGTGGACCAGGGGACCTTTGTGGACACGTGTCGGCGTTGGACTCTTGCTCCTCTTCTCTGGGGGATCCACGGGATAGTCCCACGATCCCAGGAGAAGGCAGGGATAAGCCAGCCTTAGGAATCGTCAACAGTGCCCCAAGGCCTCCCCAAGCCCTCTCTGTGGTCCTGGCTTTGCCTCCTCCAAGGTGCTGTGACCTTAAACAAGTCACTGCCTCTCCTGCAGGCCTTCTGTTAGGACAGAGATAAATGGATCAGACAGAAAACAGAAAAGGTTATTCCAGCCCTCCTCTCTTCTGCCCCTTCACTGTCTGCCTGGTAAAATTGTACCTCTTGGTCACATTTGCTACTCATTAAGTCACCTGTCCTGTGGGAAAGTCCTCACGTTGGTGATATGAGGTCCCACTATCTACCCTTTAGGAATTGCAGAGTCTCATGAATCTGTGTGTGTTCATCCCAGGGTCACTTCGCACCTACACCTCCAGACCTCTAGGTCGCCCTGGGTTAATACTGAGACTAGAGGGAGAAGCAATTACAGGAGAGAAGGAGAGGAAGTGAGGAGGCATAATAGGGGATCTGGGGTTTGGTGATGCAGGAGGGACAGGGTCACAAAAGATTCACTGGATATGAGAAGCCCGCCCACGGAAAAGCTTCTAAAGATGGGTAAGGCGGTGCTGGGGCCACAGTGCCATTGGCCAAGGCAGACATCAACTGGGAGGGAGTGGAGGAGATGAGAAAGTTAGAAGGAAAGGGAAGGCCCAGATCAGATCTTGATGCTCTTTTCTTCCTAGACCAGCATGGTTTTCATTACTCAAATTCTCACAGGGCTAAGATCTTGGTTTAAACAAATCACTCTGGCTTACCACTGAGCTCAGAAAAGACTGCAGGGGCCTTGGGCAGAAGCAGGGAGACTGATACCAGAAAGGTAGCTACTGTGATAATTATGCAGGCTTAGGTGGGGGAAACCACACTGATGCTGACTAGGTACTCTGGATTTCCACCTCTGCAAGGCAGCTTCCTCACTTATTCAGTGAGGACACAGCCACCTGTTGCAGAGCAGTTTTGAAGAAGAAATAAGGTTCACAGGCCCAGCTCAGCACACAGTAGGCTCTGAAGAGGCCTCCTTTACTCAGTTGAATGAGCCCAGAACATTTGAACTGTTGCTTGCTGTGTGACCCCGGGAAGGTTACTTCACCTTACTGAGCTGGTTTTCTCCTTAAAGTGGGGTGGGGTAGACATGTCAGGATGCAGAATGGAGCTGGACAGAATGTAGGCATTTCTGCTGCATCTGGAAAGTAAGATAAGTGAGCTCACTGTCACAAAAGGCACAGAAGAGGAAACTAAATTTGCACTTGGTGGAGAAAATTTAACTCTACTAATATAAACTGACCATCGCTACATGTTTACTGGGCACCTGGTGCAGGGCTAAGAAATCTGCCATTATAATCTGATGCAGTGGCACTGAGCCTGCAGAGTCAATGTGCACTCACAAACTCAACCACTGTCATCTCACTTAACCCTCACACATCACCTGTCAGAGGTAATCCCCAATCTCCATAGTACAATTGAGGAGACTGAGACCAAGGTGGTGAAGGATCTTAACCAAAGCCAGGTACAGTGGAGTTCTCAACGCGAAAGGAACTCACACCTGGGCACACCTGCATGAGGTGACCTACGATGCTTTTTACTTTCCATCAAAACAGTAATTGATGCTCATATCACCTTCTTGTGGTACAAGAAGGAAACCACAGAAGAGAATGAAAATGGAAAACATACATCATCACCAATGTTGCCTCCCAGAGATGAGCATGGTCCCCATGTGGAAGTCTTCTGTCCATTTCTCCCTTGGCCTGCACACATTATGATAGTGGCAGCAGATCTGTGCTGGGCATTTACCAGGCTGGGCACGACACCAAGAACTTTACAGATGTCCCTTCACTTATTCCTCACAAAGGTGTTATGTCCCAAGGACACTGGGGACCCTATGGAGACTACTTTTCCATGGTCGGTACTTGGTTTGGACTGAGGTCTCATGTGGATCAAATCCCTGTGTGTGTGCAAAGCTAGGTCTATCATTATTTTCTGATGGATGAAGTGGAGGCCATGCTGTGAATGTGTGCACGTGCAAGTCTTTGACACAGGCAGTTTTCTCTAAAATGCACAGCCTGCCTTACCAACTTAACTCCTTCCACACCTCAGACCAGCCCCTGCAATTGCCCTTTGCATGTTCTCATCTGGCCTCATGATCATCTCCTTCCACGTGGGTCTCCCTCCTTCCATGTGGCCCTGCATGGCAGGCAGGGCACATGCTAACCTGTCTTCTGGTAGTTTGGAGTGAGTGGAGAGGGCCAGTGTCCTCTGGATGAAGGACAACTGCTCCATTGTGCAGTGTTTTTGTTGTTGTTTGTTTGTTTTTGAGATGGAGTCTAGCTCTGTTGCACAGGCTGGAGTGCAGTGGTGGGATCTCAGCTCACTGCAACCTCTGCCTCCCGGGTTCAAGCGATTCTCCTGCCTCAGCCTCCCAAGTAGCTGAGATTACAGGCGCCCGCCACTACATGCAGCTAATCTTTTTGTATTTTTAGTAGAGACAAGGTTTCACTGTGTTGGCCAGGCTGGTCTTGAACTCCTGACCTCATGATCTGCCCGCCTCGACCTCCCAGAGTGCTGGGATTACAAGCATGAGCCACCGTGCCCTGTCTTTTTTTTTTTTTTTCTTAATAGTTCAGGGCTCTGACTCTGAGCAGGGTGTCCTGCCCCAGGGTTCCCCTTGACCCATTTCAGAGGGGTGGTCGGGTGGGTCACTGGTTCCTCACCCTTGTGCGAATCCAGAACTTGCATCCTGATGGGGGAAGCAGGAAGCCCTACCTGCGCTGGAGGGCATAACCCCAGCCCCAGGGCAGGCAGAAAACTCCCCCATCCCTGAGAAGTCCCAGCCCCAATGCTGGCACTCAGGCAGGACCTGCCCAAGTGGGACCTGTCTCCACCTTCCTCACACACCTCCCTGACACTCACTCAAACTCCTGTCACCTGGGAACCTCTACCAGACCTGTGCTTCTTCCACCTGGGGAGCCCCCGGGGCCCTCATTTCACCCCATTCCCTGAAGCCTGGCTGCTGCTGCTGCTGCCCCACCCTCCAGCCAGAGGAGGGCGCTCCCTCGTCAGATGTCCCTGTCTCTATGGGGGTCCTTCCTCCTGTGAGCTCCGTGGCCTCGCACAGGCTGCTCAACACCTCTGAGCTCAAATTCCTGCTCCCAGGGGGAAGCGGGTTATGAAGATGAGAGGGAGAGAGAGCGAGCTGTAAGGGAAGCAGGTGACACGGGGCTGGACAGGGAAGGGCCTGGCTCTCAAGGAAGGGAGCTTCTCCAGGTGGCTTCCTCCTCTGTCAAATGGGCCCACGAATACCCTATTGATGGTGAGAATTAAGAGATACGAAACCCATTCGTTCTTTATTATGATGATTTTTATTTTCACAGTAGCACTTAGCACCTGCCCGCCCTCCACCTTCTCCACCACCCAGCAGGAGCGGGGCGGCCTGGATCTGTTTTCTGCCCCTGACCAGGGGGCCGCGTCTTCGGCAAAGTCTTCGGGGTGAGAGGTCCGGCTCCTGGAGGACAGCGGGATGGGAGAGTCCCGTTCACACCCAGCCCCGCAGAGCCGGATAGAAACGCTGCCACTGCCGACTCCATGCTGCCGGGAAGTGCACTGTGGAGGCCACTTTCTGGAAAGAAGAAACCGTCTGAACACAAAGTTGCTCAAGCCATGTTCATCTATCTGCCAGGGAAACGGAGGCCCTGAGTGCCAGAGTCCAAGTCACCCTGCAAGAGAAAACTCTGGTGGAGCCCAGGGTGTCCAGCCCCTGTCCACCCAGCCGCCGTGGTCAAGGTTAATAAGGGCAAGGGGCCAAGCAGAACCGCCTACAAGGAACCGAGTGTCCACAAAGCAGGAAGCGAAGAACGTTTCTCCTACCTAGAGCGCAGCCGTTTTGCGGAAGGCACAGTCCGGGCTCCGGGAGCCAAGCAGGGATCCGGGCCTCGTTGCGGAGGGGACGCCCGGGCTGAGCTGAGCTCACTTGCTGGCGGCGGCAGCCCCTGCAGTCATGGGGTCACCGGCTTGTGGAGAGGGGCTGGCGCTGTTCCTTGGCCCCGCTCCCCGCCCGCAAAGGGCCGGGAGGTCGGGCTCCCGGCAGTGTCCAGGCTCTCGCCCGCCGGTGCCTGAGCCGTACCCACCGCGTCCCCTCCGCCCCAACAGCTGGTGCTGAGGGTCCGGCCCGGGGTCATCTGGCAGGGCCGTGCGGCTCCTGCGGGTGACCAGGAGCGCGGAGCCCCTTCCCACTCGGGCTCGGGTGGCCTCACCTTTCCTGGGGCTGCGTCCCCGCGGGACGCCAGGTTCCCGGTTTCTTCTAGGTCGCCCTGGTTCCTGGCAGCTCCTGGTGCCACGCGGTCCTCTACGGTCTCCTCTGACCTGAGAGGGACAGTGAGATGGGGCTGGCGGGGATGGGGGTCCCCGCGCTGTTGGAAAGCAGCGGGGCTGCTGCTGACCGGAGCCGCCTGGGTCTGTTCTGGAACCGTCGCCCTGGGGCCCCTCCGCCCCGCAAACGCTCGGGATGCGGTTTGGGAGTGTAGCTGGACACCGAGCACCATCCACGCTCAGCCCCACGGGGCTCCAGGAGTCCCGAGCCCAAGCCCCTGCACTTGCATTTTATTTAAAAAACCTGAGGGTTAAATTCGGGCAAGTCAGTTGCCTCAGTGTTTGTCGCCTGCTGCCTCTATGTCGGCTTCTTTTGCTGGCAGTCAGAGACCAAGCCCCCACGCCCTCCAGGACCCTCTATCTGGTGAGGCCACCTCTGCAATCATGAGCAGCACTGAGGTGCTTCCGACCAGGGGTCACTGCCCCAGCCGGTGAGAGGCCCTGCAGTGGGGACTGGAGATGTGCGACGCAGCCTCCCAGAGCCCGCATCCTCTTGCCCAAGGAGGCTGCACACCCTCACTCAGGGCTGTGAGGGGGAATGAGGGCAGCTCACAGGCTAAGGGGCCGCTGAAGACAGGTTTTGTGGACAGGTGATTTAGGAGCCTGGAGGAAGCAGGTTAGGGGTGTGTGTGTGTGTGTGTGTGTGTGTGTGTGTGAGAGAGAGAGAGAGGGAATTCTCCCATGCCAGGACATCTGCGTGTCTCAGTAGAGTAGGAGTGAACAGCAGCATCCCTGCAGAGGAGCAGCATGTGGACAGAGTCACAGGCTGGCTGGATCACAACAAATCCTTGTGGGTCAAGGAGAGCAGGTTCCGTGATCAGCTGCGGTCTGGGTTTTGTGTTTGCCTTTTCCTGCTGTTCCAATAAGCCAGGGCACTGGGGCCAGATTGCCCTCAGCCATGGCCAAGGGTTCCCTGACAAGCTGGGGAGGACGAACTCCCTTCCCAACACAGGGACATAGAAGATCAGAGCAGCCTGCCCAGTGGGGATCTGAGCTCAGAGAGTGGAAGCCACTGTCTCAGAGTCACAGAGCAGGTCAGTGGCAGGTCCCATGTCCCTGACCCCCAAGCTCTATTTCTCTGAGGAAATATTCCATCCAAGAGCATGAGAGTCCTCTGAGCATGGACTCCCTGGCAGGTGAGGTCATTTTACCTGTTATCTGTTTTCATCCTCATTGTGTGTGTGGTTTGTATCAGTGTCCCCATTGTAAGGCAGAAAACAGGCTCAGTGATGGGGCAAAGGCTGGTGCAAGGCTACAGAGCTCAGAAGTGGCTGAGGTGAGACAAGAACCAGCAGGCTTCCTTCACCGTTGCTCTGCTCCATCTGGAGGTTGGACAATTTGCCTGTGTGCCAACAGCCACAAGCCTTTGTTGGCTCAGGGTAGATATGAAAACCTGGAAACCATGAAGCTTTCAGCCCCACTCATTTCTGCAGGGGCAGATGGCTGTGCTTGGCCTGGGCTCCCCATTGCTCAAAATAGAGCCTCCTCTTTCTGCCAGTGGTCCCAGAAATGAGTCACAGGTGGGTGAGGTTGCAGCCAGGCCTGGGCAGGATGATGTCTTCTGGGCTAGGCTGAAAACTCAAGCCTTGCAGCTGGACAAGTTATGACTTTGGTTCTGCCTCAGTCACTCCGAGGCTGGACAACTCTGGCCATATCTCTCTGTAAGCTGTGGTTTCCTTATCTTTAAAATGGAGACAATGGCACCTCTCTCCCAGAGTAGCCACTGGGGCTTAATAAAGCCTCAGCATGAGAAGATGGTGTATTTGTATTTGTGAGTTTTCCTTGGTCTATGGTGACCTTCCTGTGGGTAAGAACCAAGTATCACTTGGCTCAGGACCCAGACAGGCACAGCACAGCCAGAACCAGAGGGGCCTAGGCCTGGGTATGATTGGAATCCAGGCATCTGGCCCAGTTTTTCTGGCTCTGTCTCCTTCCCCATCTTTTCCAAACTGGTCCAAGGATCAGATTTGCCATGTCACCCAGACATCGTTGTGGCCCTGTCTGAACAAGCAGCATCAGAATTTCTCTGGTGCCAGCTGGATGACTCAGAGAGAAAAACTGGTCACCAATTTCTGCTTCAAGTGGGTAGGGAAGAAAGCTACCACTTGCAGCTACTTATTATGTATCACCAGCCAGGCACTTTTCCTACTTAGTGGTCACCTCAGCTAAGTCATAAAGACACAGAAAAGAGTGCCTTGCCCCAGGTTCACAGCTGATAAGTGGGGTGTGGGAGAGGAGGTGCTGAAATCCACATTTATCTAAACCTTTCAGACCCATGTGCATTTCTCCATTTTTACCACATTGTCCCCTCCTTGGTGACAGCCTGGGCTGCTGCTCCTGCCTCTCACTGGCCTCTCTGCCTCCAAGCTGCCTGTGCCTTAGGAAGCTCCATGTTGCACTTTCAAACCAGCAGCCCAATCCATCCCTCACCTACTTGTGCCTTTCAATGACTCTCATTGTCCTCAGAAAATGACCCTGGCTCCTAGGTGTCCACACCTCTGTGGCCCTGAGCAGGCTGACAGAAATAAAACTGCATGCCTCCTTTCCTTCCAGTGAAAAGAAATCACTGGATATTGCAACAAAATTTAAACTTATCATTTGGGAGAAATCAGAGTATCCTCTTTCATAGACAAAAAAAACAGTATTCAACCCTAAAAGGAAAGAAAACAATTCTCTTGAATGCTGCCACACTTGGAAAAACAATGGAAAATAAACACTGGAACCAGCTAGACCTGCCAGAGTTGCTGAGGGAGGATTAAATGAGTTATTATGTAATTTGCTTAGCAACAGTGCTTGGCTCATAGTTAGTGCTCAGTAATATCAGCTATTCTTTTTTTTATTGTAAATAGAAGAGAAGCTAGGAATGAATCCATGACCTTGGATGGGCATCCTCTGTCTTCCCCAGGACAGGGGTTCAGTGTCATTTTCCAGGAACCTAATGAAGCAGCCTTGTTCTTCTGGGGTGATACCCGAGATTTGTTGCCTAATGGTCATAAAAAACTAGGATGTGGACACACAAGAGTGAGGTTAAGAGCAGAAGTTTAATAGGTGGAAGAAAGAGAAAAGCTCCCTGTGCTGCAGAGAGAGGGGTCCCAAATGGGCTGCAGGATCCACAGTGAAATGCATGGGATTTTATAGATGCCTGATGAGGGGGGCGGTGTTTGATTTACACAGGGCACGAAAGATTGGTTGGACCAGGTATGTCATTTGCATGGAGCATGAAAAATTGGTTAGAGGTATGTCATTTGCATGGATTACGGAAAATTTGCATAGGTGGCAAATTTGTGTCCACTCCCACCCTAATCTTGTATTATGTAAGTGGGTCTTAAGTGGGTCTTCTTCCTGAGCTGCATCATATTGCCCATTCCTTTACTCTACATGTAGTAACAACAACAACAACAAAAATGGAGCCTCTGTGTTGGACATGCCTGGCCCACAGGTAGCCCTTTTCTATTGGCACAGCTGCCGGCATTCACCCTTCCAAGCTTCCAGCTTGCTTATCTATGTTTGCAGCTCCATTTTTCAGGCTGATCTTTGTTAGTAAAGAAAAAAAAAAATTTGTCTTCCTTTTGCTAAAGGGAAGCTCTGCCAAGTACTCTTTTATGCTCACTGTCTGTCAAATATTTTTTTTCTACTTTCTGTATCATTAAGACTCATCATCACTCAGAGACAACCAAACACTGTGACATTTTGATATAACCCTTTCCAAAAGTGTATATTTTTCACAGTTTTGAGCACGCATTGCATACCATTTTTTCACTGAACACAATCTATCATGAACATCTTTCCATAACTTAAAAGAAGCTGCATGCCAGAACAGTCCATCATGTTCTGTTTTCTTTCAGAAATCTTTAGAGATGGATCATTTTCCTTACAAGAATAGATACCAGGTAAGAGAAGCAGCCTTTAAAGCAGCGAATAGCAGCTCATGCATGCTAATTATTTGCTTACTTCTCTGGCTCCCCTATTGATGGCATCTTGAGGGCCGGTATGAACATGTCATGCAGTCTCCAAGCAACCCACAGTAGGCCCACCATAAACAGATGTTGTGGCCAGCATGGGAGGTGCAATGGTGAGTTGCTCTGTTTCCTCCCTCCCGTCCCCCTCCCCACCCCTCCCCTCCCCCTCCCCTCCCCCTCCCCTCCCTTCCCCTTCCCTTCCCTTCCTCTCTCACAAAACAGTCACAGAGAGAGGACAGCAGCGTACATGGTGAGGTGCTGACGATTCTGGTCCACTGGATCCCACCATCCCTAGGACAGTAAATACCGTCCTAGTCACTACCCAGCAAGTTACCACCGCATCATTTCCTGCATGTTCCAAAATGAATAAAGGTAATTAAGCATAAGTGCAAATAAAAAGTCATTTCTCATGTTTTTAATCTAAACTGTCACAGTTTAGTTTACTATTTTAAGTTCTTTTCGTGCTAAAACATTTGTTTTTATTTATTTATTTATTTGAGACATAGCCTTGCTCTGTCGCCCAGGCTGGAGTGCAGTGGTGCAATCTGGGCTCACTGCAACCTCCGTCTCCCGGGTTCAATTAATTCTCCTGCCTCAGCCTCTAGAGTAGCTGAAACTACAGGCGCGTGCCACTACACCTGGCTACTTTTTGTATTTTTAGAAGAAACAGGGTTTCACCGTGTTTGCCAGGCTGGTCTCACACTTCTGACCTCAAGTGGTGCACCAGCCTCGGCCTCCCAATGTGCCGGGATTACGGGCATGAGCCTCCATGTCCGGCCAATCATTTGTTTTTTTAAAGTGGCAGCCATAGGTCCTGTCCGTCTGGATATATTTTGAACTTTTGTATGTTAAATATAACACTAAAAAACTTTATTATGTTTTAGGTAATCTAAGATTGGTGTATACAAACAAACTTTACAGATTACTGTAGGGTTCAGGAAATGATGTATATAATATGACATTTATATCTCTAGTTTCTTATGTATAAATCTTCCTTTAGAAAAGATTGGCTTTTTAAAAAATGTCTCCACAAATTTAGGCTTATTTTATAAAATGTCACAACAGTAAAAAAAAAAAAATACTTTTTACCTTTCTAAAAAAGTAAAATACTCTTTTGCCATTTCATAAAATAAACCTGAATTTGTCATACTATATAAATACTGGTACTCAAATAAAATACCAACTATTTTAATCAAAATTATTTAGACAGTCTATTTATATAATTTTATGATTTTTAACTACAGTGATGGGCATTCACAAATCTTTCATAAATCAAACATATTAGTATTAGGTTTTACTTAGTAGTTATATACGAAAGATCGGGCCGGGCACGGTGGCTCATGCTCGTAATCCCAGCACTTTGGGAGGCCGAGGCAGATGGATCACGAGGTCAGGAGTTCAAGACCAGCCTGGCCAACATAGTGAAACCCCGTCTCTACTAAAAATACAAAAAAAAAAAAAATTAGCTGGGCATGGCAGCGTGTACCTGTAATCTCAGCTACTCAGGAGGCTGAGGCAGGAGAATCACTTGAACCCAGGAGGCAGAGGTTGCAGTGAGCCCTAATCGTGCCGCTGCACTCCAGCCTGGGTGGCAGAGCGAGACTCCATCTCAAGAAAAAAAAAATTTGAAGATCTTTTCAAAATGGAGATTTTTAATTAATAATTTGGTGCTTTCAAATACACTGAAGTCTTGTGTTAATCACAGTAAGTCTGGGGATAGTGAATTAATTTTATTTTTTTATGATGTGTTCAAAAATTTTTAGTTTAACCTAATATTGATTGATGATGAGTAAACAAATTGATTTTTTTCAAATTTCATAGGTCTATTAAATTGTCAAAGATATTTTTAATTAAAAAATTCTGTCTTTCAATATTGTTTCAGGGATTTAGATCTAGTTGAATCTGCTCAACCTGTTAATCAGTGTCATGTGCCAGATTCCGATTCACTAACAGTGTGCCTGTATGACTTTTCTTTCCATAGTCTTTGAATGAAATTTTTATTACTTATTTGTATGTTATATAGTACAGCTCATACATTTCAAACGAAACCACAGGGTAAAATGAGTTCTGGCTTAGTATAAAAAAGCTGTTGGCAACTCAGTATTACATATACAGATGGATGTGGCTCAACAAGAATTTAGACAAAAATATTGAACTGTAACGTGTTGCCATGATTTAGTCTCTAATGAGGTTATAAATACATCCATATTTCAGCACATATATCCAGTTGTGTTCAAATACCTCTAAAAGTGGTATATCAAGAATTCTTAGGCTACTGAGAAAACAGAGTCTGCTATTACCCAAGAAATCAACTGGAAGGCATTTTTATAACCTTACACCACAAAAGGAAAAATTGAAAGGCAGTGCTAATAAATGCAAACTACATCACCTAGAAAATGGTAATCTAGAATGTCACTGTCAATATTTAAGAATTTGAACTTTCAGTATGAAAAATTTGGTAAAATAAAGCTTTTATTTTCTTTTTTCTTTTCTTTTTTTTTTTGAGACGGAGTCTCACTCTGTCACCAATAATTGCCTATATATGTTGTAGGCAATTATTTTCTAAATTCAACAAAGTTGCAATAAACTCTTTCATGTATAAATCTCACTGAAAGGCACTATCCAGTAGCTATTTCCCTCAGTCTTTTCTGGAATTTTCTATCACTTGATTCAAAACCAACCTTATTTGAATCCTAGCAATTTCTAAAGCTCCAAAGGTAATAACAAAAAGGGAGTAGAAAAGAAGCCAAGTTACCCCAAACACTAAATGTCTAATATATTTGGTTCCGCAAATGAAATATATTTGGTTCCGCAAATGAACCAAAAACCACACAAACTAAAAAACAGTGGCTTTAAAACTCAACCTAAATTCAATGGTAGCAGTCAAATCTATATGCAAAAATTAGCAAAGACACAATACAGAAACCCAGTCTGTTATTCCAGGAAAAATAATAAAATTCTTATTTTGGCATTTTTCAGAAAGAATAAATACATTAAATATGACAAAATATACCCAGTCAAGTATAAGAAAATCTTTGAAATATAAATGATTTTATTCTTATTCTTAAATATTTACTATAATATATTTAGAAGAGCTTTTCAGTGAAAAATGCTTATAGCTACTATGTATAAATTAAAACAGCCCTTGGAAAAATAGTATCTTTTATTAATAATGCAGATCGCAGCTCCAAGGATGTAAATCTGGGCTCATAGCTCATGACCCAAATCAAGCTCAGATGATCTATGTAACAATCATAAGTTATAGTATTAAATTAAAATGCTTCTAGAAATAAAAATAAAAAGAGGTAAAAGCAAATGAAAAAAAGGGGAAGTGGATTCCTCACAATTACTCCTAAGGTATGGAATCAAACTAAGTGTTAATTAACAGGTGAATAAATATAGAAAATGTGGTATATTTACACAATGGAATGCTATTCAGCCCTTCAAAAGAAGCAACTCTTGTTATTTGCAACAACATCAATGAACCTGGAGGACATTATGCTAAGTAAAATAAGTCAGCACAAAAACTATAGAAGCAGAGAGTAGAATGATGATTGCCTGGGGCTGGGGGTGGAGGAGATGTGGGTCAAAAGTAATGGGTCTTCCCTATGTCTCTTACCTTAACATGTAATTTATTCTTCTCTCAGTTTTGATTCACCAGGGAATGGAATTATATGCTGAGGAGTCAAAACTTAATGTTGGTAGAGCTGAGAATAGCAGTTTCCTGGTAGAACAACCACTTCTCAGCAGTATAGAAATCACTGAAAGAAAAGTGTGTCTCTCATAAAAAGCTAATGTTTTTGTTTGTTTGTTTGTTTTCAGACGGAATCTTGCTCTGTCGCCCAGACTGGAGTGCAGTGGCGCAATCTCAGCTCACTTCAAGCTCTGCCTCCCAGTTTCACGCCATTCTCCTGCCTCAGCCTCCCGAGTAGCTGGGACTACAGGCGCCCGCCACCACACCCAGCTAATTTTTTGTATTTTTAGTAGAGACGGGGTTTCACTGTGCTGGCCAGCATGGTCTCGATCTCCTGAGCTCGTGATCCACCCGCCTCGGCCTCCCAAAGTGCTGGGATTACAGGCATGAGCCACCGTGCCCAGCCAAAAAGCTGATGTGTTTTAAGCAAAATAAGCATACGCATCAATAGTAAAATGCTTCTGGTAAAATAAAGGTTCATTTTGTTGATTTCTTTTTTTTTTTTTTTTTCTGAGACGGAGTCTTGCTCTGTCGCCCAGTCTGGAGTGCAGTGGCACGGTCTCTGCTCACTGCAAGCTCTGCCTCCTGGGTTCACGCCAGTCTCCCGTCTCAGTCTCCCGTCTCAGCCTCCCGAGTAGCTGGGACTACAGGCGCCTGCCACCACGCCCGGCTAATTTTTTGTATTTTTTAGTAGAGACAGGGTTTCACCGTGTTAGCCAGGATGGTCTCGATCTCCTGACCTCGTAATCCTCCCGCCTCGGCCTCCCAAAGTGCTGGTATTACAGGCGTGAGCCACCGCACCCGGCCTCATTTTGCTGATTTCTCTTGAGCTCAGGTAATATTTCACCAAAAGGCTGGCATATATTTAGCCAAAAAAGGGATATTGTTTGAAATAAGAATATTGTGAATAAAGTTATTCTGTCAATAGAATAACATTATTACTTCATACAAGTCTTACCTGTAGTTGTACATCAAATGCTACTTTTTATTAAAAATAGTATTTTATATAAGTATTCAATTTATATCACCTTTCTTCTCTATTTCAACACCTTCTTCACTTAACACCAATGGAAAGCAAGCCAGCTGGTGCCAGGAAAGCACGTGTTGTTATTGCCATTTTAATGATGACAGTGAAGAACACTCGTTTGAGTGTTCTTCGTTTGAGTAGTACTCGCGTGCCAAACGCTGTTCATTTAACACAAAGAACTGGTTTTCTATTTTATCCTAAATTTACTGATAACATTTTTAGCTAAGAAGACTTTGTCTCATTCAAGTGTGTTTTATGGAATTTGGTTGACATTTAAGTGTCTCTGACTTTCCTGGAATATATTATAATTTTTCATAAATCCATATTGAGTACTATAAATAAACAATCTTTTACTAAAAGCCTTTGTGAGGTAGAGTAGGATACATCAAATTTTATTATAATATGGTAAGTGTGTTAACCATGTTCCTAGTAATCCCTCTGAACACAGCATTCTCAGTTTCCAGTATTCACATTGAGTCACTTAGGGGAAATTGGTATCTCTGTAAGCAGGCAGAAGAAGGTGCCCAGTGGAGGTGCACCACATTGCATGGAAATGCTGTCCACATGCACCTTTGGGGTCTTAATTTAACTGGGCTGTCATTTGCATGGCTAGATACTTACTGAATCCGGTCATACTGTTTTTGGCAGCTAATGGCATTTGTTCCCCATAAGTTTTCTACAATTATTTGCTTTGCTGAAAAATAAATCTTTTGTTAACTTACTCTAAATTGAGAGACTAGATTTGCAATTTTCAATTTTTAAACATGAAAGCAAAGCAGAGAAGAACAATATGTGTATATAACATGCATTTTCCTGCCTATGAAAATTCTTGTATTGCCTTGGAAACCCTAGGAAGCCACCTAAAGAATTCTCCCTTCAAATTGTTTAGCCAGAATTTTAAATTTCAAAAGGTCCAAAACTTAACAATTGAGCAAAGCAAAAATCTTGTCTTTGCTTCTTGTTAGTAATCTGTCATTTCAGAAAACATGGCAATTATGCCAAGCCATTGAAAAAAAATGTGATTTTGGTTAATTTTATCCCATTTAAAATGTTGTCTTTGTTACTTTTATCATGTTAATCTAAGAGAAACTATCTACATAACTATTTATGCCTTCAGGAAATATTATGCCAGGCGCAGTGGCTCACGCCTGTAATCCCGACATTTTGGGAGGCCAAGGTGAGTGGATCACTTGAGGTCAGGAGTCCCAGACCGGCCTTGCCAACATGGTGAAACCCCATTTCTACTAAAAACACAAGAATTAGCCAGGTGTGGTGGTGTATACCTGTAATCCCAGCTATTTGGAAGGCTGAGGCAAGAGAATCACTTGAAACTGGGAGACAAATGTTGAAGTAGAGCCAAGATCTTGCCACTGCACTCCAGATGGAGATAAAATGAGACTCCATCTCAAAAAAAAAAAAGAAAAAATATTTCTATTAAGTTGTTTAAAGTTCAGTATTGTAGTACAGTATAGCAGAATTCTCTAAAATTAGCAGAAGTTCATTGTAATTTCAAGGTTTTTTTTTTTTTTTTGAGACAGAGTTTTGCTCTTGTTGCCCGGGCTGGAGTGCAATGGCGTGATCTTGGCTCACAGCAACCTCTGCCTCCCGGTTTCAAGTGATTCTCCTGCCTCAGCCTCCTAAGTAGCTGGGATTACAGGCATGCGCCACCAAGCCTGGCTAATTTTGTATTTTTAGTAGAGACGGGGTTTCTCCATGTTGGTCAGGCTGGTCTCGAACTCCCAACCTCATGGGATCCGCCTGCCTCGGCCTCCCAAAGTGCTGGGATGAGCCACCACACCCTGCCTGGTTTCAAGGGATTTAACTGTGATAACAAATGATTAGGTATGCTTTATGCTTTTTCTTTTCTCTCTCTTTTTTTTTTTTTGTTTGTTTGTTTTGAGACCAAGTCTCGCTCTGTCACCCAGGCTGGAGTGCAGTTGTGTAATCTCGGCTCACTGCCACCTCCATTTTCAAGGCTGAAGTAATCCTCCCACCTCAGACTCCTGAGTAGCTGGGAATACAGCCTTGTGCCACCATGCCGGGCAATTTTTGTACTTTTAGTAGAGATGGTGTTTTGTCATGTTGCCCAGGCTGGTTTCAAACTCCTGGGCTCAAGTGATCCATCCACCTTGAACTCCCAAAATGCAAGTGGTACAGGAGATAGAAAGAAATTGTTTAGGCAGATAGCGAGGGTAAAAGAGTCCCTGGCAAGGTTTCCCTTTTAACCAAAAGCAGCCTGAAAAATCGAGCAGCAAACATGGATAAGCAAACCGGAAGCTTGCACTAGTGAATGCCAGCAGCTAGCCAGGTGTGTTCAACATGGAGGCTCCATCCTCCCTTTCCTCACCATTGAACGTTAAAGAAATAGGCAACATGGCTGCTGGCCAGGCAGAGAATCCATCTGCATAATAAAAAATTAGGGTGGGGGCGGCCAGATTTTCACACCTATGCAAATAGCACAACTAGTCCTAACCAGTTTTTTGCACCGTATACAAATGGCACACCTAATCCAATCAATCTTTCATACCCTATGTACATCAGACATTACCTTCTCAAGATCATCTATAAAACACCTTGCATTTCACCATGAAACCAGCAACCCACTTCTCCAAGAACACTCTCTGTCACAGAGAGCTCTTTTCTCTTTTGCCTATAAACTTCTGCTCTGAACCTAACTCTGTGTGTGTCCATGTTCTAGTTTTCCATGCCACGAGGATTATAGGCATGAGCCAAGGCACCAAGCTAGTATGCCTTTATTTATTTTTTTTTTTTTGTAGAGAGAGTCTTGCTCTATCTCCCAGGCTGGAGTGCAGTGGCTCCATCTCGGCTCATTGCAGCCTCTGCCTCCTGAGTTCAAGCGATTCTCATACCTTAGCCTCCCGAGTTGCTGGGACTACAAGCGCACGCCATCACACCTGGCTAATTTTTGTATTTTTAGTAGAGATGAGGTTTTACCATGTTGGCCAGGCTGGTCTCGAACTCCTGACCTCAGGTGATCTACCTGCCTCAGCCTCCCAAAGTGCTGGGATTACAGGCATGAGCTACCGTGCCCGGCGCTGGTATGCTTTTTCACAATAACTTCAATTCTAGAAGGGTACCCACTGGTCTTTATGGGGTTTCTGTAACGGATACTGTAACCCTATGCCACCGGAATGGTGCAGACATGCTGATTTTATTAGAATGAGTTCAGCCTTCTTGGTAGACTATTGGTATCCCAGAGGCTGACCATTCACTGCAGCTTATTAAATGTAGCTCCATGATGCCAATGAGTCCTTTCAGCCAGGTTGCCTTTTTCTTCTCATTGATGTAGTCAGGTCGTGATCTCTTTTGCTTGTCTTATGCTATTCCAGATGATAGGTGATTATTTCTTCCGTAAGTGAGACCCTCTTTTCTTTTCTCTGCCATGGGATCCTCCTATGATGTGTCTCTTTCTCTTAAAAGCACTTGTAATCCCAGCACTTTGGGAGGCCGAGGCGGGCGGATCACATGAGGTTGGGAGTTCGAGACCAGCCTGACCAACATGGAGAAAGGCCGTCTCTACTAAAAATACAAAATTAGCCGGGCACGATGGCACATGCCGGTAATCTCAGCTACTCGGGAGGCTGAGGTGGGAGAATCGCTTGAACCCGGAGGTGGAGGTTGCGGTGAGCCCACATTGTGCGAGTGAAACTCCTTCTCAAAAAGCACCGCTGCTTCGGGCGCGGTGGCTCACGCCTGTAATCCTAGCACTACTTTGGGAGGCCAAGGCGGGCAGATCACTTGAGGTCATGTATAATATTATACATAATATTATATATTATTATACATATTTTATATTATTATATACAATAATATATATTACATGAAAAATTACATACTGCTCACATATTAAAATAATATTTTGAATATTAGAATATTTGAATTCTAGAACTAGAATATATAACGATGAAATTGTTACAATAAATTCCACCTGTTTCTTCCTTTTTTTTTTAAGTTTGGCTACTAGAATATTTAAAATTCACATGTGGCTTACATTTTATTTCAGAGAATTAACTCCGTTTTAAAATCTCAGGCTGCCTGCTTAAAGGACCAGAAGCTAGGAAGGTCGTAAAATCGGATATTAAATAATGTTATTATATTTTTTCCATTTGTTAATAGCCATATAATTGTGAACCTCAAATATCTGAGACAGATCTCAGTTAATTTAGAAAGTTTATTCTGAGGCCAGGCGCGGTGGCTCACGCCTGTAATCCCAGCACTTTGGGAAGCCGAGGCGGGTGGATCACCTGAGGTCAGGAGTTCAAGACCAGCCTGGACAAAGTGGTGAAACCCCGTCTTTACTAAAAATAGAAAAATTAGCCAGCTACTCTGGAGGCTGAGGCAGGAGAATCGCTTGAACCCCGGAGGGAGGTGGAAGTTGCAGTAGCAGAGATCGGATCGTGCCACTGCACTCCAGCCTGGAAGACAGAGCGAGACTCCGAAAGAGACAGAGAGAGAGAAAGAAAAAGAAAGAAAGAAAACTGGAAGTGGGGAGGCGGCTTCCAGGTCCTAGGTAGATAAAAGACAAATGGTTGCATTCTTTTGAGTTCCTGATTAGCCTGGGAAAAGGAGGCAATCAGATATGCAATCATCTCAGTGAGCAGAGGGGTGACTTTGAATAGAATGGAAGGCAGGTTTGCCCTAAGCAGTTCCCAGCTTGACTTTTCCCTATAGCTTAGTGATTTTGGGGCCGCAAAATTTATTTTCCTTTCACACACTATACTATTTATTAATATAAATGCATATGACCTTATACACAAGGTTAAATGCAAATACCCCGTGGGTGGGCCGGGCTCAGTTCAGGGAGGAAGCCCTGACTGAAAAGCCTGCAGTTTAGGTTTCATTCTATCTTCTTTCAGCCCAGCAACTGAGCACACCTTCTGTCATTCAGGGCCTGAGGGGGCGGGTCCTTAAACATCCTCCAATCAGGGACGCTGGGCTGGGACCCGTCCAATCAGGCACGCAGCTGGAGCGGACAGGACGGCTTCCGGGATTTGGCGGGGCCTTTGTCTCTCGCTGCAGTCGCAGCTCCAGGTCTCGTCTTCACTGCTCTATGTCCTCTGCTCCTAGAGGTCCACCTTCTGTGGCCCCGTTACCTGCAGGTATTGGGAGATCCACAGCTAAGACGCCAGGACTCCCTGGAAGCCTAGAAATGGTGAGAGTGCCGGGTCCCAGATCCCGAGAGAGGGGGAGGGCCTGGTTGGAACTGGTGGGAAGTGGATGTGGCGAGACTCCGGCCTCCCTGCAGTAGACTCCAAAATCCGCGGCCAGGAGTTCTCCTTGGCGCAGCTCGGCCCTCAGTCCCCTTCAGTCATAAGATGGCTGCTGGGCTGGCAGCCGGGATCCCGGGCGTCCTGTCTCCTCCCTGCGCAGTGACCGTTCCCTGGCCTGGAGCCCTCCCTGGGCAGCTCTGCTGCCGCAGCGCCGCATCTCTCCTCGATGACTCGGGATGCAGGGTTCATGACTAGGAAGAGCTTTGGTCCATGGGGTTCCCAGACCCTCCTTTTTTCTATTAAAAATGTATGGAAGTCACCGCGAAAATATTAAAGAATTTAATCAGACAGTCATTCACAAATTATAGAGCACCCAGCTGTGGTTTGTAGTTTGTGGTCCATGGGAAGGGCTTGAAGGAAAGACTTTTATAAGGTGTGTGATGAAGAAAGCCAATAATTGGTTAGGTACCGTTATGTAGTTTCTTAATTTGTAAATTCAGGGTGGACATTTCCTGGTTATGTCATCAGAGGTTAATTGGCAGTTTATGGTTGGTTAAGCCTGAATTTTGTTTCCCTCAATGTTGTAATTTACAAAAAGTTTGAGTTAGATTTTTTTTTCTTTCTTTCTGAGACAGAGTCTCACACTGTCGCTCAGGCTGGAGTGCAATGGCAGCCATCTCGGCTCACTGCAACCAACGCCTCCCGGGTTCATGCAATTCTCCTGCTTCAGCCTCCCAAGTAACTGGGATTACAGGCGCACGCCGCCACGCCCAGCTAACTTTTCTGTATTTTAGTAGAGTCTGGGTTTCACTGTGTTGCCCAGCCTGGTCTCGAACTCCTGAGCTCAGGCAATCCACCCGCCTCCGCCTCCCAAAGTGCTAGGACTACAGGCGTGAGCCACCGCGCCCGGCCAATTTGAGTTAGATTTTTTTAAAAAATGGGGACCCTGGGACTGGAGCTACCTCAGTCTAATTGCCTGCTACTTAATTGTGTACACACTCTACAGGGGATAGATTTTCCCCTGAAATTTTCACATGTGGCCCAAGCAGAGTCTCAAGACTACTCCCCACCCCCAATTCCTTCAGCCTAACTCTGGCTTGCAGTAAAATACCAAATTTCCAGTTTTTTCTGACATTCCGAAATGCCAACTTCCTCATCCTAATTCACATTATTTTAGTGTACATTTTAGATACTGTATTTTAATTAATCATTTTTTGACACAGCATTGGATAGCACTTTAGAAAAATTTTTTTCTGTTTGAAAATATTTCCCAGGAGAAGAAAGCAAAGAATCATCCCCTGACACTGTATTGTAAAAAAATCTCTGTGCCTCTTTTTAAAATAATCTTCCCTAGGCACAGAGATCTTACCAAAATGTTTTTGGGTCAAGGTTTCCCTTTGGAAACTTTATGGAGTGCTGTTTCCTCAGCCACTCCTCAGTGTTTTCCTGGTTTTGAGTTTTAGTACTGTCTGGGGATAAACCAAGATACCCACAATCGCTATGTCTGCTACAATGTTTAGTGAATATCAGCTCCTGGGTCATTTTCTCCCATAGGACAGTCTCAGGTATGGAGTGTAGCTTCTTAAAAGAGCAGGTGGATGTCGTGGGGCTGAGAGGCATCTCCTGGTGCACTTTTTTTTTTTTTTTTTTTTTTTTTTGAGACAGTCTCATTCTGTCGCCCAGGCTGGAGTGCAATGGGGCGATCGTGGCTCACTGCAAACTCCGCCTCCCAGGTTCAAGCGATTCTCCAGTCTCAGCCTACCAAGTAGCTGGGATTACAAGTGCACGCCGACACACCTGGCTAATTTTTGTGTTTTTTGTAGAGAGGAGGTTTCACCATGTTGGCTGTACTGGCCTTGAACTCCTGGCCTCAAGTGATCCGCCCACCTTGGCGTCCCAGAGTGCTGAGATTACAGGCGTGAGGCACCCCACGCTGGCCACACTTTTTTTTTTTTTTTTTTTTTTGAAAAGCTAACCCGTTGAGACATTAAGATTGTCTTCACCCAATCCAGCTTTCATTTCTTGGAGACAGATTGCTGGTCAGCCAATCAGATGCTGGTATTAAGGGGAAAACAAATAATTTCTTCCCCCTGAATTCTCTTAACATTTGTGAAAGAAAAAATAGTGTACCAAAAAAACTAAAAAAAACTTACTCCAGTGAGATGGTGCAAGAACTTGCAAACTAAAATGCATCTGGAGCAGTAACTGAGGTATAGTGTCTCCGAAGAGGGTGGTCGTTGAGCACTTAAGTGAGCAGGATGGGGTGGGAGAATCAAGGGATCGTGGCCTGACTTGACACGAGTCAAACACATCAGTTTTCTAATCAGCACTGCCACTCTCTGGGGGTTTATCATCTTGAAAAGATTTCTTCACTTTTTTTGACTTCAGTTTTTTATTGTAAGTTGCATTTTATTAGTAAAACTTGAAAGGTAAAAAATTTACAAAAAGGTGGGTTTCAGGGAGAGAAATAATATCTAATTATATAGTCCATTTGTTAAAAATTCTCATTTATCTTTTTCTTTGCCAGAATGAGTTTAAGAATTTTCTCGGGTGTGTCTTTTATGGGTGAGATCAAACAGAATTCCAAGTCTTGGCTTTTAGAATGCTAACCAAGGAAAAAAATAGGGAGAATCTCTTTTTAATTTTGGCTGTAGAAAATAAATACTTTTCCACAAGAATATGTAGTAGATAATTGGTGAGTTACTTAGATTTGTGAAAACATCAGTTCCTCTTTATGCAGAGTACATTTGTAACAGTGAATATCTCTAGTCTATGTCCTGTTATCTTGATTTCTGAGTTTAATGCTGAATTATATGGTAAAACTTGGTACCTCCCAGAAGCGTTCCCATATGACTGTTTACTACATGATTTTTAATAAAAATTATAAAATAATACGTTTATCATCTAAAAGGAATGGATACTTTTGCTTTTCTTGTTGAGGTATAAAATGTAAACACCTTAAAATGTCTTCCCCTTATATGATCACTGTGTTTGAGTAATTTTGCTGGATTTTTTAAACACTTACTTTCAAAAACCAAGTTAATACCTCTGACATGGAAATTAAAGCTTCAGCCCAGTGACTCTAAGCTAAGGCTAATATGGAGCCTGCAAAAGGAGGTTATTAAAGGCCCAGTTAGGTTCTTTTTGGGGAGCCTCCCCTGCAGATGTCCCAGCCTGCTCACACCAGCCATGAAGAAGCCTTTATACTGAGAGAAGCTACAGAGCCCAGGAAAGCTGGGGACCCACAGGCAGATGCAGTTAAAGTTAAGATGGAAGGGGATTAGGAAGGTCTTACTGGAGATGAAGTTGTTACTGTTTTAAGGCAGTTTCTAGACTTACAAAATAAAACAAAGTTATGTAAAAAAAAAAATTTGAATTCCAAAAGAGTGTTGCAACAGGCAAAGTACCAACTATAAGATCTTGAAGGACTGCAAAGTTTAGGCAGACAAGATTAGAAAGAAGGTGGGAGGGGATGGCAAATAGAAGGTGGGAAAATTAGATTTTATATCAGAGAATGTTTTACCCTGAAGTCAGCATGTTCTTAGCTGGGACATAAAATGGTGTATGTTGGTTCAGACTGAGGGTAGCTCAAAATTCTGAGCCTGTGGGAAGAAGATAAACTTAAGTAAAGTTTGATTAAGAAATATTTCCTCTTAGCCACTGAGACCAGTTCAGCTGTTTTTTGTTTGTTTGTTGTTTGTTTTTAATGAGAAAAGGAAATGTGGAGTCTGTGTTTGGTTATGTGATAGGTAAGAAAAGAGCACCATCTAAGTCATAATGGGAGGGTGTTTCTTTCCATCAACTGTTCCTGGAGAGCACAAAGGATGGATAATTTTATTAATCACAGCTATTTACCAGGATTATCTATGTGCTTCATCTTTCCCCACCTCTTTTCTTGGTCCTATACATTTCTTCCATTTGAGTTTTCCTGCGTTGTGTCTTTTATAATAAACTGGTCAACATAACTACAGTGTTTGCTGAGTTCTGTGAGTAGCTCTATCAAATTATTGAACTTGAGGGAGGTTATGGGAGTCCCAAATTTTTAAACAGTAACCCCAGTGTATAGATGGGCCTATGGAATTTGTGACTGGCATCTGCAGTGAGGATAGTGTTGTGGGACTGAGCCCTGAATCAGGGTCTGTGCTGACCCTGGGTGGTGTCAGAATTCAAATGTTAGACAATTAGTTGGTGTTAGAGAATTGCTTGGTATTCCACAAACTCTAGAGATTTGGTACCAGAGGAAAGATATCACAGAAGCCTGGCCTGGAATGGAACTCTGGGTGTCTGGGAATGGGAGGCTCTGCTCTCCTGTACACAGACTGTCACACTGCCCGTTGTCCTGTGATTCCATGTCTCCTCCCAGGGTGAGCGAGAACTGACAACTTAGAGGAAATGAGCTGTGATAACAGACCCCTTTTTTCCACAGCTGCCACCACAGGATTCCCACCCACTCTCAAACATACGCACTAGACATTGATGTGTCCACACCCCTCCCAGGACTAGGAACCACCCTCAGGAATTTCACCACAACATTTTTGATCCTGGTATTTTTTGCCAAAAATCCACAAAAGTGTCTACATGTCTCTGGGGATATCCCCACCCCCAGACACTGAATCTGCAGTAGCAACCTGCTTCCTCTACCAACCTGTTCATAATCTCATCTGCCTGCATGGACACAAATCAGAGTACAGCCCCCCTGGGCCACTATCTGATAGCACAAACAAATCCATCCACTTACATTGCACTATTCTCCACTCATGGATTTTTTTTCCTTTTAACTTTTATATTTGGTTCGTGGTACACGTGCTGATTTGTTATATACATAAAATTGTGTTGTGAGGCTTTGGTGTGCAGATTATTTTGTCACTGAGGTAGTAAGCATAGCACCAAATAGGTACTTTTTCTGATCCTCTTTGTCCTCTCACCCTCCACCCTCAACTTGGCCTCTGTGTTTGTTGTTCCCCGCTTTGAGTCCATGTGTTTTTGTTTGTTTGTTTTGAGATGGAGTCTTGCTCTGTTACTCAGGCTACAGTGCAGTGGCATGATCTCACTGCAACCTCTGCCTGCCAGGTTCAAGTGATTCTCCTGCCTCAGCCTCCTGAGTAGCTGAAATTACAAGCACCTGTCACCACGCTTGGCTAATTTATTTATTTTTAAAAATAGTGACAGGGTTTCACCATGTTAACCAGGCTGGTCTCAAACTCCTGACCTCAACTGATCTGCTGGGCTCTGCCTCCCAGGGTGCCATGTGTTATTATTTAGCACTTACTTATAAATGAGAACATGTATTTGGTTTTCCATTTCTGCATTAGTTCACTAAAGATGATGGTCTCCAGCTCCAACCATGTTGCTGCAGAGGACATAACCTTATTATTATTTTTTTAGGGCCACACAGTATTTCATGATGTTTATATATCATATTTTGTTTTTATTAAATATTTTGTTTTATTTTGGAGACAGGATATTCTATTGCCCAGGCTGGAGTACAGTGGGGTGATCTTGGCTGACTGCAGCCTCAACATCCTGGGCTTAAGCAATCCTCCTACCTCAGCCCCCAAAGTAGCTGGGACTACAGGCATATGCCACCACACCTAGCTAGTTTTTCTTTTTGTATTTTTTGTACGTACGGGGTTTTGCCATGTTGTCCCAGGCTAGTTTCAAACTGCTGAGCTCAGGCAATCCAACTGCCTTGGCCTCCCAATGTGCTGCGATTACAGGCGTGAGCCACTGCACCCAACAATATGTTTTCTTCTTTTTTTTTTTTTCTGAGACAGTCTCCCTCTGTCGCCCAGACTGGAGTGCAGTGGCACGATATTGGCTCACTGCAGCCTCCACCACCCAGGCTCGAGCGACTCTCCTGCCTCAGCCTCCCAAGCAGCTGGGATTACAGGCATGCACCACCATGCCTGGCTAATTTGTTTTGTATTTTTTAGTAGAGACGGGGTTTCAACATGGTGTCCAGGCTGGTCTCCAACTCCTGACCTCAAGTGATCTGCCTACCTTGGCCCCCCAAAGTGCTGGGATTATAGGTGTGAGCCACCGCGCCCAGCCATAATGTTTTCTTTATCCGGTCTACTATTGATAGACATTTAGGTTGCTTCCATGTCTTTGCTCACAAGTACTATTGTGTATAGTGCTGCAATGAACATGCATTTGCATGTGTCTTTATAATAGAATAATTTATATTTTGGGGGGTATATAGAGTATTTTTGGGGTATTCAGGTTGCTGAATCAAATGGTAATTTTGATTTTAGTTCTTTGAGAAATCATCACACTGCTTTCACAGTGGTTGAACTAATTTATACTCCCACTAACAGTGTATAAGTATTCTTTTTTTTTTGCAGCCTTGCAAGCATCGTTTTTTTTTGTTTGTTTGTTTGTTTTTGTCTTTTTATTAATAGCCATTCTGACTGGTATGAGATTGTATCTCACTGTGGTTTTTCTTTACGTTTCTCTAATGATTAATAATGAGCATTTTTTAATATGCTTGTTAGCCACATGTGTGTCTTCTCTTGAAGAACATCTGTTCATGCTTTTTTCCTAGTTTTTTTTTTCTGGCAAACTTGCTTAAGTTCTTTATTAATTTTGGATATTAGACATTTGGCAGAAGCATAGTTTGCAGATATTTTCTATTGTTCTGTAGGTTGTCTTTTTACTCTGTTGATAGTTTCCTTTGGTGTGAAGAAGCTCTTTAGTTTAATTAGGTCTTATTTGTCCATTTCTGCTTTTGTTGCAATTGCTTTTGGTATCCTCAACATGAAATATTTGCCAGTTCCTATATCTAGAATGGTCTTTCCTAGGTTATCTTCCAGGGCTTTTGTATAATTTTAAGTTTCAAATTTAAGTCTTTAATTTATCTTGAGTTGACTTTTGTATGTAGTGTAAGGAAGGGGTCCAGTTTCAATCTTATACATAGTACTAGCTAGTTATTCCAGCACCATTAAACAGGGAATTCTTCCCACATTCCTCTTGTCAGCTTTGTAGAAGATCAGATGGTTGTAGGTGTGTGGCATTATTTCTGGGCTCTCTGTCCTGTTGCATTGGTCTATGAGCCTGTTTTTTGTTTTGTTTTGTTTTGTACCAGTACCATGCTGCTTTGGTAACTGTAGCCTGGTAGTATAGTTTGAAGTCTGGTAATGTAATGACTCCAGCTTTGTTCTTTTTGCTTAAGATTGCCTTGGCTATTCAAGTTTTGTTTGTTTTTGTTTCATATGAATTTTAAAATAGTTTTTTTTTCTGTTAAGAATCTTTTTGGTAATTTGATAAAATAGCATTAAATCTGTAATTTATTTTTTTTTTTTTTTTGAGACGAAGTTTTGTTTTTATTGCCCAGGCTGGAGTGCAATGGTGCAATCTCGACTCACTGCAACCTCCGCCTCCTAGGTTCAAACAATTCTCCAGCCTCAGCCTCCTAAGTAGCTGGGATTACAAGCATGCACCACCATGCCTGGCTAATTTTTCTATTTTTAGTAGAGATGGGGTTTCGTCGTGTTGGCCAGGTTGGTCTCAAACTCCTGACCCCAGGTGATCCACCCACCTCGGCTTCCCAAAGTGCTGGGATTACAGGCGTGAGTGAGCCACTGCACTGGGCTAAAGTGTGTACCTTTAATGCCTAGTTTGTTGAAGGTTTTTTACATGAAGTATGTTAAATTTTATCAAAAGCTTTCTCTGCAGCTATTGAGATAATCTTGTGGGTTTTGTCTTTAGTTTTGTTTATGTGATAAATAGCATTTATTGATTTGTGTATGGTGAACCAACTTTGCATTTTAAAGACAAAGCCTACTTGATTATAGTGAACTAGCCTTTTTTTTTTTTTTGAGATGGAGTTTCACTCTGGTTGCAATGGCATGATCTCAGCTCACTGCAGCCTCTGCCTCCTGGGTTCAAGTGATTCTCCTGCTCCAGCCTCCCAAATAGCTGGGATTACAGGCATGCGCCACCATGCCTGGCTAATTTTGTATTTTTAGTGGAGACAGGGTTTCTCCATGTTGGTCAGGCTGGTTTCGAACTCCCGACCTGAGGTGATCCACCCGCCTTAGCCTCCCGAAGTGCTGGGATTACAGGTGTGAGCCACTGTGCCTGGCCAAGTTATTTGTATTTTTGTATGTTCAGTGGTAATGTTCATTTTGTCATTTCTAATTGTATTTATTTGAATCGTCATTAATCTCGCTATTGGTTTATTTTATTAATTTTTTCAAAGTTTTAACTTCTGAATTTCTTAATATTTTGTATAGTTTTTTTATGTCTAAATCTCCTTCAGTTCACATCTGATTTTAGTTTTTTCTTGTCTTCTGCTAGTTTAGGGATTTGCTCTTCTCTTATTCTTTTATTTGTGATATTAGGTTGTTAAATCGAGATCTTTCTAACTTTTTGATGTGAGCATTTAATGGCATAAATTTCCCTCTTAACACTGCCTCAGCTGTGTTCCAGGGATACTGGTATGTTGTATTTTTGCTCTCATTTGTTTCAAAAAACTTCTTGATTCCTGTCTCAATTCCATTATTTACCCAAATATCATTCAAGTGCAGGTTAAGTTCCACGTAATTGTATGGCTCACCGTAAACTCTGCCTTCTGCGTTCAAGCGATTTTTGTGCCTCAGCCTACCTAGTAGCTGGGATCACAGGTGCCCGCCACCATACTCAGCTAATTTTTCTAATTTTAATAGAGTCGACGTGGTTTCACCATGTTGGCCAGGCTGGTCTTGAACAGATCTGAGGTGATTCGCCCGCCTCGGCCTCCCAAAGTATGGGGATTACAGGCGTGAGCCACCATGCCTGGCCATTTATGTTGTTTTTAGTTGGAGAGTTCTGTAGATTTCTATTAGGATTATTTGATCAAGTATTGAGTTTAGGTCCTAATATCTTTGTTAATTTCCTGCCTCAATAATCTGTCTAATAGTGTCTGTGGGGTGTTGTTTTCTTCCACTATTACTGTGCTAGAATCGAAGTCTCTTCATAGGTTTCTAAGAACTTGCTTTATTCATGTGCACTCATGAATAACACCTCTTTTCTTCTGTTCCCCCCACCCCATAAACATTCTTTAAAGTGCACACAGTGTGCCCAAGGCTACTCCTTAGATGCCTGAATCCAGTTATCTACTGAGTTCAGATGTCCAAGAGTTCAAGAGCATGTCCTGAGACCTGGCTGTTGTAGGAGAAAATATAAATTAGAAATAAGAGGCTTTATGATTCTGTTTCCTGAAAATAAGGGAGAATATTTTGCTCTTCTCTGTTTTCTTAAAGCATTTAGATTATATGTAGATATTTTTCTGCTTTTTTGAATATATGTAAATCATATGAACAGCTAAATAAACCCTTTGTTTTTCTTTTTGACTCAGGATTCATTTTAGTTTTTTTTTTTTTTTTTTTTGAGATTGAGTTTCGCTCTGTCATCCAGGCTGGAGTGCAGTGGTGCGATCTTGGCTCACTGCAACCTCCGCCTCTTGGGTTCAAGTGATTCTCTTGTTTTAGCCTCCCAAGTAGCTGGGACTACAGGTGTACACCACCATGTCCAGCTAATATTTGTATTTTTAGTAGAGATGAGGTTTCGCCATGTTGGCCAGGCTGGTCTCGAACTCCTGACCTCAGGTGATCTATCCACCTGCCTTGACCTCCCAAAGTGCTGGGATTACAGGCCTGAGCCACTGCACCCGGCCAGCAACTTATTTTCTATTCTTGCAGATCCAGTGATTGTTTCACAAGTCACAAAAAAGTAAATATAAACACAATAAAAATTCCTTTAAACTACATTGAAATTTTCCTTTCTGTGTCTCTCTCATCTGTCTATATTTTGTTTTTATTCTATGCATTTTTTAAAAAATCAGTGACAGAGAAACAGAAGAAGAAGTAAAAATGCTGGGCCCTTCATTTAAATCCTGGGAATTATTGAATGTTTGGTACTAGCTCCCAGGGTGTTACGAGGATTCAATCACATAATGTGTTATTTCCAGCGAAGCGCTGTGTAACATACTCTTGAGAGTGAGAACACGGTGAACACAGTGTCTGCTTAATAAACATTGCAGTAGTACATGTGTACATGCTGTTTTTCAAATGCAGACTTATTCAGACATTGCTGCCTTCTGTTTAATCTGTAAACTTTAAAGAGACAGCGAAGAAGATACTTTAGGGTGGAGATGGATTGTCTTCACTTGTGTTATGACAAGAGTGCTGAGTGTAAGGTACACTTTGCTGTGCCTGCTTCCTCTAACTAGAGCTAATAATGAGCCTAAGGGGAGCAACATCAGCATTGACGAGGACTTGTTTAAAACACCGATTCATGGACCCTTTGCAAACCTGCAGAATAACATTACATAGAGTTGGGTCAAAATTACGAAGTGATTTATAAGCTCGTTAAAGTCTGAGAGGCAATGCTTAGCTAAGTGGTTATCAGCTCAGGCTTCTAATGAGGATTACATGGCCAATTTGCAGAAATCTTTTTACTTGTGCCCTTTCCACAAGTTCTGTTTAATGTTCTTGGTGGAAGCATCCATGTTGTTTTAATTATTAGATTGGTGCAAAAGTAATTGTCGTTTTCGCCTTTTTTTGTTTTTGAGACAGATTTTTGCTCTGTCACCCAGGCTGGAGTGCAATGGCTTGATCTCGGCTACTTCAGCCTCTGCCTCCTGGGTTCAAGCGATTCTCCCACCTCAGCCTCCCCAGTAGCTGGGATTACAGGCATGCACCACTACGTCCTGGTAATTTTTGTATTTTTTTTTTTTTTTTTTTTTTTTTTAGTACAGATGGGGTTATGGGGTTTGGCCATGTTGGTCAGGCTGGTCTTGAACTCCTGACCTCAGGTGATCCACCCACCTTGGCCTCCCAAAGTGCTGGGATTATAGGCATGAGCCACCACACCTGGACTGTTTCTGCTATTTAAAAAAAAAAAACACTATTATTATTACTTATTATTTTTATTTCTTTTACCTTGCCATTAAAAAAAAATTGGCAACAGCCACAGTTATTTTCACACCAACCTAATAAGTGCCTCATGTGATTCTAGAGTGAGAACAGAATCAGCTATGAGGGGTTCAAAATACATTCATGAGAGTTAATTTCTGCCTTTGTACTAAAGGGTGGTCACAGGGCCAGTTCTGTTTGAGTTTGGTAGGAACAGGACAGTACAGCCCATATTGCCATTACTGTAGCAGAAATTGCTGGTGTCTGTGGCAAGGGAGGGCACCTGAGGATAGATAAAGAGAAACTTTATTTTTATCTCTGTGGAGTAGCTCATTGTTCCTGAATCTTTGCTGTTATAAAGAACAGAAACGGGCGGGCTTTATCTGTTTTGGAGTTTTTCATGTCATCTGCCTGTGGGTGTGGTGCTAGCAGATAAGCAGGCGGTGCTGACACTTCAAAGGCACATTCTCAAGATGCAGGTGTGTAATTAGTCCAGAGACTCTCATCTGAGAAGGAATCCCAGAGAAGGAGGAGAAAAGGGGAAAAAATGGCCTTTTTTTTTTTTTTTTAGCTAAACATGTCTCAGATCAAGAGCTGTGTCCACTCTGCCTCCTGGAATGCCATGCGTTTAGTACTTGTAAACCTTTGCTTCTCTACTTGCATTTTTCTTCCCTATTAAGTTTATTTTAACTACTTTAAAAAATTCTCATGATAGTCAAGCATCTCTGAAAAATACTTCTTTCCTATATACCAGAGCCTACTCTACTTTCTCTACATCGTGGCTTCTTATATTCCATGCAGAATTCTCACATGACTTTGTGATGTGCAACATTAAAAATGTTTCCTTTGTGGCTGTGGATACTCAACATTCCTATTGGGGAAAAGCTGGTGCCGAGACCAGCTCGGTCAGGGAGAACCTAACCCAGCGGCGCTAGAGGAATTAAAGACACACACAGAAATATAGAGGTGTGAAGTGGGAAATCAGGGGTCTCACAGCCTTCAGAGCTTAGAGCCTCAAACAGAGATTTACCCACGTATTTATTGACAGCAAGCCAGTGATAAGCATTGTTTATGTAGATTATAGATTAAAAGTAGTTCTTATGGGAAATAAAGGGATGGGTTGAAATAAAGGGATGGGTTGGGCTACTTATCTGCAGCAGGAGCACGTCCTGAAGGCACAGATCGCCCATGCTATTGTTTGTGGTTTAAGAAAGCCTTTAAGCGGTTTTCCGCCCTGGGTGGGCCAGGTGTTCATTCCGGTAAACCCACAACCTTCCAGCGTGGGCGTCATGGCCATCATGAACATGTCACAGTGCTGCAGAGGTTTTGTTTATGGCCAGTTTTGGGGCCAGTTTATGGCCAGATTTTGGGGGGCCTGTTTCCAACAAGCTGGGGTCCTTTGTAAATATGGAGAACATGTAATGTTGGGGTTTCATTTGTGTTCTCCATTAGCTCTATGCAGAACAGAATTAACAAAATGCTTATTTAAACAGGATAACATTTATTACCCAAAAAGTTCTAAAAAATAATTACTCAGAGATGGCCAGGCATGATGGTTCATGCCTGTAATCCCAGCACTTTGGGAGGTTGAGGTGGGCAAATCACCTGAGGCCAGGAGTTCAAGACCAGCCTGGCCAACATGGTGAAACCTCGTCTATACTAAAAATACAAAAATTAGCTGGGTGTGGTGGCACATGCTTGTAGTCCCAGCTACTAGGGAGACTGAGGCAGGAGAATCGCTTGAGCCTGAGAGGCAGAGGTTGTAGTGATCAGAGATTGCATCACTGTACTCCAGCCTGGGCAACAAGAAAAAAAATTATTAGGAGAAAACTGCTCTCTACGGTGTTGAAGACTACTTAAAATTACTGTTAAAAATAACAACATAAGATAGGCACGTCGCTCACGCCTGTAATCCCATACACTTTTGGAGGTTGAGGCGGACAGGAGTTCGAGACCAGGCTGGCCAACATGGTGAAACCCCATCTCTACTAAAAATGTAAAAAAAAAAAAAAAAAAATTAGCTGGGCATGGCAGCGGCGGCAGGCGCCTGTAATCCCACCTACTTGGGAGACTGAAGCAGGAGAATCGCTTGAATTCGGGAGGCGAAGATTGCACTGAGCCGAGATCACACCATTGCACTCTAGCCTGGGCAAGGGAGCAAAACTGTCTCAAAAAAAAAAAAAAAAAAAAAAACCATACACACAAAATAACAACATAAGAGTTATCTGTATCTTGAAGAGGGCATAAAACTGATGTTTGTGTATGGTTAAATTCAGACTATAATTTACTTTTGCGAGGGGCAATATTGAAGCAGTGATGCTGTGTTTTTCTGTGTGCCTCAGCGCATCATACAAATCTGTCCTGGTTCAGTTGATGTTAATGATTCACTTGGTATACCTATGTAACAGAACATGTAACCTATGTTACATGTTCTGCACATGTAACCCAGAACTTAAAGTATAATAAAATAAAAGAGCTCTCTGACAGATTTATTTTTCTTACTATAGAGTTAATTATTTTTCTCTTCTTTATTAAGTATCTTTATGCAGCTGATGTGCATAAACCATCACATTTAATCTGGAAGCTGCCCTTCTTTCTTAGGTTTCCTTTGTATATATTTGTCTTTGGAAAATAAAGGCTCTCATCTTTGTTTACAGGCCAGAAAAACTGGGAAAATCACAGGCTCTTCCACTTACTGGATGTTTGACAAAATATTCTTCTTGGGCCAAAAACATTGGCATTACTGGTGAGCTTGTTAAAAATTTGGAAACTCAGACTTTATTCCAGATCTTCTGGAAAGAAAATCTGCATAACAAGATCTCCAGTTTATTACTGTACACATTAAAATTTTAAAGCTAGCTTGTAACACAGCATTTCTTTTCTATCTGAAAAATATACACAGCTGATTCTGTATGATGTAAATATAGCACTCACAAATGTACGTGTTTGTGTTACTAATTTTATACTTTATTATCTAGAAAAGTATCATATATAAACTGCTATTGTGGATCTTATGCTACTCTTTTCTCAGAGTTAGAGAACACATTTGAGAATATTTCTGTTTTGAAAATTATTTTATTGGATAATTTTAGTCACTCCTATAAGTAAAAACCAGTTCTCTTTACTTTCGCATTCCACCTTGAGTCAAATTAAATATTCTGTCCAGAGCAAGTTGGTAAATATGTTTTTGTGTGTGTGTGTTTTTCAGGGACCACTGACATTTAGGGATGTGGCCATAGAATTCTCTCTGGAGGAGTGGCAATGCCTGGACACTTCACAGCAGAATTTGTATAGGAATGTGATGTTAGATAACTACAGAAACCTGGTCTTCCTGGGTGAGGATAATTTTAATACATAATTTAAAGGTTTCACTTCTCCTTTCTGTAGAATGTTTTTTGGAAATTTCTGCTTTGCATAAATAAATTTTAGATCCCTATTTTCAACAAAATCCTGGGGATTTGTTCATTTAGAAATGAATTTCTTCAAGATGTTTCATCTTGACTTGAACTTTCCACGTTCTTGAGCTACTCTGTATCCTTCACTCTAGATTAATGGTAATTCCAAAAATTTAGTGGCATAAAAGTTGCCCACACCGTAAAATCTAATTGCCACCACTAATTTTTCATTCCGTAGTACTGAGTAGTGAAATTAAGAACATACAAATTTAAAATATTTTTTAAATATTTAGAAATTTACATTACTAATTAGATATTTTGGGATTAATTTACTAGAATACTTAATTACATCCTCTTTACTGAGCACATTACTGGTTGATAATTGGAGAATATGAGCAAGATTCATGTTACTCATTTTTAATAAAACAGGTATTGCTGTCTCTAAGCCAGACCTGATCACTTGTCTGGAGCAAGGAAAAGAGCCCTGCAATATGAAGAGACATGCGATGGTAGCCAAACCCCCAGGTAGGTGAGAGTGATAGCGAATATAACAGATGACACAGATGACAGGTCTAAAGGTCAAGGAGAAAGTCAGTTCTTAAAATGTGATTTGGGCCAGGCGCGGTGGCTCACGTCTGTAATCCCAGCACTTTGGGAGGCCGAGGCGGGCGGATCACGAGGTCAAGAGATCCAGAGCATCCTGACCAACATGGTGAAACCCTGTCTCTACTGAAAATACAAAAATTAGCTGGGCGTGGTGGCACATGCCTGTAGTCCCAGCTACTTGGAAGGCTGAGGCAGGAAAATCACTTGAACCAGGGAGGCGGAGGTTGCAGTGAGCCAAGATTGTGCCACTGCACTCCAGCCTGGAGACAGAGTGAGACTCCATCTCAAAAAAAAAAAAAAAAAAAAAAAAAAAAATGTGATTTGGGAAGCTGCGTTCAAAAAAAGTAGTTTCTGGAGAGCTGGATTTTTTTTTTTCCTTTGCTCTCACATAGGAGCATATTCTGTCTTATGCTTTTAAATTCTCTAAGGATTCTACTTTCCCTTCAGTGATTTTCCTTCAAGTTTATGGTGAAAGCTAAAGTCCTATTCCTGGCATATAGGAAACTGCACAATCTTACTGCTTTTCCATTGTTTTGGGGGACACACAGATATCTGCATAATTTTGAGAAACTCTGTGTTAAACTATTTTTCATGTTCTCTTTTTGCATCACATCTGAAATATGTGAGAGTAGTTTATATTACATTGGGTTTTGTTCATTTTTCTGTACATTTAATCCTGTTTTTGTTACTATAGTCTTGAAATATAGTTTGAAATTTTAAAGTATGATGTCTTTCTACTTTGTTCTCTTTCCTCAAGATTGCTTTGGCTATTCAAAATTTATTGTAGTTTCATGTAAATTTTAGGATTATATTTTCCATTACTGTGAATAAAATACCATTGCAATTTTGATAGGGCGTTTATTGAATCTGTAGGTCACTTTGGATAAATGGCACTTTAACAATATTTATTCTTTGAATCCATATACGTAAAATATTTTTAAGTTTATTTGCGTCTTCCTTAATTTTCTTCATTGTAAAGATTTTTTAGGCTGGGTATGGCTGCTCACGTCTGTAATCTCAGCATGTTGGGAGGCTGAGGCGGGTGGATCACTTGAGGTCAGGAGTTCGAGACCAGTCTTGCCAACATGGAAATCCCGTATTTACTAAAAATACAAAAAATAAGCTGGACGTGGTGGTGTACGCCAGCTACTTGGGAGGCTGAGGCAGGACAATCACCTGAACCTGGGAGGCGGAGGTTGCAGTGAGCTGAGATCACCCCACTGCATTTCATCCTGGGCAACAGAGCAAAACGGTCAAAAAAGATTTTTTACCTGCTTGGTTAAATTTCTTCTCAGAAATTTATGATTTAATGCTAATGTAAATAAGATTGTTTTCTTCCTCTATTTTACCAGATAGTTTAAGTGTATGAAACCATAACATACGCTTGTATGTTAATTTTATATTTTGCTGATATACTCAGTGTATTTATTAAACAGGTTTTCATGTACTAGTTGTGGTTTTTAAAAGATAAGATCATGTGATCTACAACAGCAACTTTTTACTTATTTGTCCTCAATTTCAATGGCTATTTTTTCTTTTTTTTTTTTAAACTAATTCTTCTAATACATACTTCCAGTGCTATGTTAAAATAGAAGCAATTGACAATGGCACAATATAGTTTTGCATTGGTGTCTGTGAATTTGAAGAAACAAACACATCTTCAAGTTTTTATAACCTGGTTTCAGCAGGTAAAGATCTTTTTATGTTGGGCCCCCAGAGTGATGGTTTGCCCTCTGGGTTTGTAGTGGAGAGGGGTTGTAGCTTGCTCACAAGGATGCTGGGTCTGCACTAGGGTCCACCTTTAGTTGGCTTGTTACAAGGAGCTTGGGTAGTTGTAATTCCCATTATATTTTTGGACAGACTGAATCTTTCAGGACTTTGCTTTGTAGGGCAGACACCAGGGCAGGTTTTTGCAGTTGGGTCTATATATGGTGGGCCTTTTATTAGGATATGGATGAGTGTGGATTTCACTGAGTACCAGAGAGGATTTTCCCAGGTCACTGTGTGGATTTCTATGTAGGCAGAACCGGCCATGAACTGTAGCTCAGGGAGCTGGAACTGAGTCATTGAACTGCTTCAGGGACCATAGTAAAGCCCAAGGTCTGCAGGTCTGTCCGCATGGCTATAAATGCATGTCTTTCTCTAAGCCTCTGGAAGGGCAGGACCTCTCCCAGACTGTGGCTGGGAGGAGTTTGGGATGGTTACAGAGTAAGTTCAGAATTCTCAGTGAGACCAAGTTGGGTGGGCCATTTCATGGTCTGCAGCAAAGAACAGGGGTCCTGTAGTTTGCCTCCCGAATGAGGGCCTGCCTCCTGGAAAGAACACCCCTCAATCTTGAGCTTTAGCAGAGTTTCATAACTCCCTCCCTGGATCTCAAAGATTCTTTAAAGGCACTTATTTTGAAGATGGGGTGTTGCTGCATAATCCAGGCTGGTCTTAAAATTCCTCCGTGAGGCGATTCTCCAACCTTAAAGTACCATGTAGCTGTCCTTACAGGTATGAGCCATGATGCCTGATTCTCTCATAGAGGCATTTTTGTCAGGGATGGCTGACAAATTTTCTTGTTGTGAGGGGATAAATGAATAGGGCACCTTTTATTTTTGCATCTTACTGATGTCACTCTCCCTACATAGTTTTACTTTCTATTTGCTAGTTCAAATTTTTCTGTTACTTTATTTTATATTTATTTTTCTTTTTTTTTTCTTTGAGATAGAATTTTTAGCTCTTGTGTCCCAGGCTGGAGTGCAATGGCATGATCTCAGCTCACTGCAACCTCCACTTCCTGGGTTTAAGTGATTCTCCTGCCTCAGCCTCCCAAGTAGCTAAGATTCAGGCACGTGCCACCATGCCCAGTTAATTTTTGTATTTTTAGTAGAGACGAGGTTTCACCATGTTGGTCAGGCTGGTCTCGAACTCCTGACCTCGTGATCCGCCCACCTCAGCCTCACAAAGTGCTGGGATTACAGGCGTGAGCCACCACACCTAGCCTTAAGTTTTCTTTGTTTTATTAATTTATTTGAATTTTCTATTTTTGAAAATGGGGTCTTGATGTCTACTATTATTATGTTGGTATGTATTTCCTGCTTCACTTTTGTCAGTAATTGCTATGTATATATTGGAGCCCTGATGTTATACATACATACACAGATAGATACATATAATAGTTATGGATTCCTGGTAAATTGACCTATTTTACCATTATATAATATCAATCTTTGCTTCATGCTAATGCTTTTTTTTTTTTTTTTTTTTTTTTTTTTTTTTGTGTGTGAGACAGAGTCTTGCTCTCTTGCCCAGGCTGGAGTACAATGGCACGATCTCGGCTCACTGCAATCTCCGCCTCCCAGGTTCAAGTGATTCTTCTGCCTCAGCCTCCCAAGTAACTGGGATTACAGGCACTCCCCCACCAACATGCCTGGCTAATTTTTGTATTTTTGTAGAGATGAGGTTTCACCATGTTGGCCAGGCTGGTCTCGAACTCCTGACCTCAGGTGACCCACCCACCTCGGCCTCCCAAAGTGCTGGGATTACAGGTGAGAGCTACCATGCCCAGCCACTAATACTTAAAGCATACTGTGTCAGATATGATTATGACCACCTCACCCAATTGCGGTTACTATTTTCACGGAACATAGATATTTTCCAATAGGTTACTTTCAGCCTATTTGACTCAATGCTAAAATGAGTCTCTTGTAGGCAGCATATTTTATGCTTTTTTCTTAAGCCACTCTGGCATTCTATTTCCTTTTTTTTTTTTTTTAATAATTGTATTTATTTATTTATTTTCGAGATAGGATCTCATTCCATCAACCACGCTGGTTTGCAGTGGTGTGATCACAGCTCACTGCAGCCTCAACCTTCCAAACTCAGATGATTCTATCATTTCAGTCCCTCAAGTATCTGGGTTACAAGTATGTACCATTATACCCAGTTAGTTTCTTTGTTTTTGTTTTTTTGTTTTTTTTTTCCCCCGGAGACAGAGTCTCCCTCTGTCACCCAGACTGGAGTGCAGTGGCATGATCTCGGCTCACTGCAACCTCTGCCTCCCAGGTTCAAGTGATTCTCCTTCCTCAGCCTCCTGAGTAGCTGGGATTACAGCGACTAATTTTTGCATTTTTAGTAGAGATGGGGTTTCATCATGTTGGCCGGGCTGGTCTTGAACTCCTGACCTCAAGTGATCCTCCTGCCTCAGCCTCCCAAAGTGCTGGGATTACAGGTGTGAGCCACTGTGCCTGACTAGTTTCTTTGTATTTTTTGTAGAGACAGAGCTTTGCCATGTTACCCAGGCTGGTCTCAAACTCCTGGGATCAGGTTATTAGTCCATGTCACACCTGTAATCCCAGCACTTTGGGATGCCGAGGCGAGTAGATTACATGAGGTCAGGGGTTTGAGGCCAGCCTGGCCAACATGGTGAAACCCTGTCTCTACTAAAAATACGAAACATTAGCCAGGTGTGGTGGTGCATGCCTGTAATCCCAGCTTTACCGGAGGCTGAGGCATGAGAATCGCTTGAGCTGAGGATGTGGAGGCTGCAGTGAGCCAAGATGGTGCTGCTGCACTCCAGCCTAGGTGGAAGAGCAAGACTCTGTCTCAAAATTAAAAAAAAAGAAAAAAAGAAAATCGCAAAATTTACAATAAATATTCTTAAATATTCAGTTTAGTCATACTAATTATATTATGCAACATTTTACTAAGTGTTTTTATCTTACAAAGCTAGTCTCAACACATATTAAACAACTACCATTTTTTCCCGTTTTCATGGCACTTTTCAAACACTACTCTTTTTTTTCTAGGAGTGTAACTGCATCATATATCTCATACAAACTCTGTCTTTTTGTGGCAGCTCATTTTATTTTGCATAATGTCATCAAGATTTATCGTTATAGTTGTTAGAATATCTTCCGCTTTTTGAAAACTGAGTGACAGTCCAGTTTTATTGTTGTTGTTTGTTTTGTGTGTGTGTGTGTTTTTTTATTTTTATTTTTTATACAGATTCTCATTCTTTCACCCAGGTTGGAGTGCAGTGGCGTGATCTTGGGTTACTGCAACCTCTGCCCCTCGGGATTCAAGTGATTCTACTGCCTCAGCCTCCCGAGTAGCTGGGATTATAGGCGAGTGCCATCATGCCCGGCTAATTTTTGTATTTTTAGTAGAGTGAGGGTTTCACCATGTTGGCCAGGCTGGTCTCGAACGCCTGACCTCGTGTGATCCGCCCTCCTCAGCCTCCCAAAGTGCTGGGATTACAGGCATGAGCCACAGTGCCCGGCCAAGTATTTTTATATTTCAGATCATATCTACTGAATGATTTGGTGACAGAAATTTGCATTGCTTTTACCTATTGGCTTTCAGTAACAATGGTATAATAATTATGGGTATGAAAATGACTCTTCATATGACCACATATGTGAAAGTATATATATGTGCTGCATTCTATTTTACTAGTCTCCTTTTTTTTTTTACCTTTATACTTGTAGCAAATTGTTTTAATTCTGTAGCTTTGTAATATGTTTTAAAATCAGAAACTATAATGCTTCCAACATTGTTCCTTTTTTTGAAGATTGTTAGGTACTTTATTGTCTCTTGAGATTCCATATACTTTAGGGGTTGCTGTTTTTATGTCTTCAAAAATGCAATGAGAAATTGAGAAAACATTGCATTAAATCTTGTAGATTACATTGAGCAGTATAGACATCTTCCCAATATTTCAACTTTTGAACAAAAGCATGCTAAAGAATGTGGTTTAATTTACTATATATTTGTAAACTTGTTAGCTTTTAATATTGTTTTATATTGTCATTCCATTTTTGTTATAGAAAGTAATCCATAAAATTTCAGTTCTAAAATACTTTTTAAGACTCTTTTGACTTATTTGGTGGTCTGTCAAGAAGAAAGTTGTATAAGCTATTGATAAGGGTGTGTATCTTAATGTTGTTGAGTTTTGTATACCTATGTTAGGAATATTTGTTTTATACTGCCTTCAGGTCCTCTGTTCTCTTACTAATGTTCTGTCTTGTTTTATTCTTACTATAGAAAATGGGATATTAAAATAGTCTATAATTATATTGTTCTCTATGTGTTTCAATTCTGTTGATATTTGCTTTATATATTTGGAACACTAATGTGAGACACACACTCACACATACACACACACACACACACACGCGCGCGCGCAAATTTGTCATAGTTTCTCATGAATCTATTATTGTTTAATGTCCGTACTTGTCTCTTTGGAGTTTTGACTTAAAGTACATTTTATAAAATACGACAGTTACTTAAGATGTAGCTTGTGTAATACTATTTTGACGTCTGCTGCTCTCGTTTTGTTAATATTTGCATGGAATATTACTTCCATCTTGCCACTTTCAGTCTTTTTATTATTAGATCTTTGCTGAGTCTTGTAGAAAGGCAACTTGGATCTGGATTTTTCAAATTTTTTTTTTTTTTTAGGGGGAGTCTCATTCTGTCACCCAGGCTAGAGTAGTGCAGTGGCACCATCTCAGCTCACTGCAACTTCCGCCTCCCAGGTTCAAGCGCTTCTCCTGTCTCAGCCTCCCAAGTAGCTGGGATTACAGGCACCCGCCACCATGCCTGGCTAATTTTTGTATTTTTAGAAGAGATGGGGTTTCACCATGTTGGTCAGGCTGGTCTCAAACTCCTGACCTAAGGTGATCCACCGCCTCGGTCTCCCAAAGTGCTGGGATTACAGGCATGAGCCACCGTGCCTGGCCGATTTTTCAATTTTTTAAATAAATCCCTTTATTAAATGTATGTCTCTTGATCGGAAAGTTAATTATATATATTCAAATAATTTTCTGAAGGAGAAAGTCTTACTAATATCATTTTATTAGTTTTATTTGATTCTTGTATCTTTGTCTCTCATTTTCTTTATCTTCTGTGTGTCTTTGCGATTTTTGTATCGATATGCTTTCATTTCTTTCTTATTTGTGTATCCATACAGATATTTTTTGGGGTACCTTGGGGATTACATAAAACCTCTAAAAGATAAAACAATATAGTTTAACCTGGTAAAAAAAATTAACTTCAGTTGCATACAAAGTTTTTTTGTTTGTTTTTGTTTTTTTGAGACAGAGTCTCGCTCTGTTGCCAAGGCTGGAGTGCAGTGACACAATCTTGGCTCACCACAACCTCTGTTTCCCAGGTTCAAACAATTCTCCTGCCTCAGCCTCCTGAGTAGCTGGGACTACAGGCGCGCGCCACCATGCCTGGCTAATTTTTGTATTTTTTTAGTAGAGACAGGGTTTCACAATGTTGGCCAGGTTGGTCTCGAACTCTTGACCTTGCGATTCACCCGCCTTGGCCTCCCAAAGTGCTGGAATTACAGGCATGAGCTACCATGCCCGGCTGCATACAAAGTTTTTTCCTCATTACATCTGCCCTCAACCTTGTTATTGATGGTGCTAATTATCTTTTTATGTTGTATGTCTATTAACAGTTGTTTATAACAATTTCTATGCTTTTATCTTTCAAGTTCTAGAGAATAATTAAAAATGTGTACTGCACCATTATGATAATGCTAAGGAATAGTATTTTTGTGTATGTGCATGTCTCTCCCAGAAAGTTATGTATTTTCATATGATTATGTGTTGTTTTCTTGCATCATGTTATTTTCAGTGGAAATAACTCCTTTTCACCATCTTTGATATGTAGGGCAAATGGAGTGCCAATATACTTTTTCAGGATTTGGTTATTTTGGAAGATCTTTTCCTTTTTATCTGGTAGGACAGTTTTGCTGATGGTATTATTCTCACTTGGCAGCTTTTTTTTTTTTTTTAAGGACTTTGACTATATCACACAGTTTTTTCTCTGGCCTGCAAAATTTTCTTGACTAATTCACTGGTTTTCTCATAAGACTATCCTTGTAAATGACACATCACTTTCATCTTACAGTTCCCAAGATTGTCTTGCCTGTGACTGTTGAAATCGTGCTTATATATGTGTGTGTTATAAATATCTTTGTTTGTATCCTAGTTTGTTGAGCATCTTCATTTTTACATCAGATTTTCCTACTTTTAAAATTTTTTAGTTTTTTTGTCATTTTACCTTAACAATTTGTTTTTGATATTTTTAACACTTGTTTTTATCCTCATATTTCTGATTTTCAGTAGTTGTCTGTGTTCCTATTTAATTCATTGAGTATTATTCAATTTATTTTAAATTTTTAAAATTAATTTTTACAGCTTCATTCTTTAATAGTTGCTTTCAGAAAATTTTATAATGTTTTTGATGAGGCCATGTTGCCTTCCTATTTTGTATGCATTATAATTTTTTATTGAGATTTGGACATTAAAAACAAGCTACCCATCACAATCTTTATAACGTATCTTTGTCTTGGCTTAGTCTGAAACCAACTGTCTTGGCTAGAGATTTTGGTAGTCTCTCAAACATGTTCTTAAAATGTGTCTTTTCTGAAATTTTTTGGGTTTTTTAGTTAAAGGAGTTTGTTCATGTTTCTTCTTAATAGTCAGTAATCACTTGCTACACCTGTTCCTTGTCTGTGGTACTGCAGTTTCTCTGCTGCTGCAACATTCACCTTGGGTCTCAGCTGACTCAAACTGTTATTCCATAGTATATCACCATTTCTTTTGCATTTGTCAGGAGAGACAGAAACCAGTGTCTGGAAAGGCCCCTAGAAGTCTGAAATGAATATGTGTGTGCCACTGTTTTTCTTCTCTTTTCAAAAAGAAACCAAGAGTTGGCAATTTACTCCTTTTTTTTGAGACAGAGTCTCACTCTCATCACCCAGGCTGAAGTCCAATGGCGTAGTCTCAGCTCACTGCAGCCTCTACCTTGTGGGTTCAAGGGATTCTCCTGCCTCAGCCTCCTGAGTAGCTGGGATTACAGGCATGTGCCACACCCGGCTAATTTTTGTGGTTTTACCAGAGACAAGGTTTCACCATGTTGGTCAGGCTGGTCTTGAACTCCTGACCTTGTGATCTGCCTGCCTCGGCCTCCCAAAATGCTGGGATTACAGGCATGAGCCACTGCACCCGACCTGCAATAGACTTTTCCTTCTATATGGCTCTTTGCATTGTGCTTACCTGGGGCACTGCACACACTTAACTCATTTATAAATTTTCCACAAATGTATCTTGGTCAGTATGTTTTTGTTACATTGATATGTCTGTGAAGGAATTAGGGCCTGTGGTATTTTGCTATACCATCTTCCTTATGTAGTTTGTATATTTTTATAGGTTAGATTTGTAAAGTATATTCATCTGAGTCTAGTAAGTGGGGTAATTGTTACTTTTATTTCTTTCAGTTGTGTGTTCTCATTTTGCCCAAGACCTTTGGCCAAAGCAGGGCTTAAAAGATTCTTTTCAAAAAGTGATACTGAGAAGATATGGAAAATATGGACATGAGAATTTACAATTAAGAAAAGGCTGTAAAAGTGCGGATGAGCATAAGGTGCACAAAAGAGGTTATAATGGACTTAACCAATGTTTGACAACTACCCAGAGCAAAATATTTCAATGTGATAAATATGTTAAAGTCCTTCATAAATTCTCAAATTCAAATATACATAAGAAAAGACAAACTGGAAAGAAACCTTTCAAATGTAAAGAATGTGGCAAATCATGTTGCATACTTTCACAACTAACTCAGCATAAGAAAACTGCTACTAGAGTGAATTTCTACAAATGTAAGACATGTGGAAAAGCCTTTAACCAGTTCTCAAATCTTACTAAACATAAGATAATTCATCCTGAAGTGAATCCCTACAAATGTGAAGAATGTGGCAAAGCCTTTAACCAGTCCTTAACTCTTACTAAACATAAAAAAATTCATACTGAAGAGAAACCTTACAAATGTGAAGATTGTGGCAAAGTCTTTAGTGTATTTTCAGTCCTTACTAAACATAAGATAATTCATACAGGAACAAAACCCTACAATTGTGAAGAATGTGGCAAAGGCTTTAGTATATTCTCAACCCTTACTAAACATAAGATAATTCATACTGGAGAGAAACCCTACAAATGCAATGAATGTGGTAAAGCCTTTAACTGGTCCTCAACTCTTACTAAACATAAGAGAATTCATACTGGAGAGAAACCCTACAAATGTGAAGAATGTGGCAAAGCTTTTAACCAGTCCTCAACCCTTACTAGACATAAGATAGTTCATACTGGAGAGAAACCCTACAAATGTGAAGAATGTGGTAAAGCCTTTAAACGGTCCACAACTCTTACTAAACATAAGAGAATTTATACTAAAGAGAAACCATACAAATGTGAAGAATGTGGAAAAGCCTTTAGTGTATTCTCAACCCTTACTAAACATAAGATAATTCATACTGGAGCAAAACCTTACAAATGTGAAGAATGTGGCAGTGCCTTTAGGGCATTCTCAACCCTTACTGAACATAAGAGAGTTCATACTGGAGAGAAACCTTACAAATGCAATGAATGTGGTAAAGCCTTTAACTGGTCCTCAACTCTTACTAAACATAAGAGAATTCATACTGGAGAGAAGCCCTACAAATGTGAAGAATGTGGCAAAGCTTTTAACCGGTCCTCAAACCTTACTCGACATAAGAAAATTCATACTGGAGAGAAACCATACAAACCTAAAAGATGTGACAGTGCTTTTGACAACACCCCAAACTTTTCTAGACATAAAAGAAATCATATGGGTGAGAAATCCTAGAAATGTGAAGAATGTGACAAAGCCTTTAAGCGGTTGTCACACTTGATTGTATATAAGATAATTCATACTGGAGAAAACTCCCAGAAGTGGAGTTTTCCTTATTGCACAGGAAAGCATTTATACTTGAGAAAAATTGTATAAAGAATGGAAAAGTCATTAATATCTGCTCATATCTTAACATCAGCGAGTTGGTATTTAATAAAAGCATTATCAATGAAATTACTGTCAAAAGATCTTTCAGACAATATAAGCCTGCAAAGTGCAGCAGAGTATTTATTTTGAAGAGAAACATTAAAAGTACAAAGAGGTTTGTAGTACCTTTGTTTGTATCATAGATCTTATTGTACACATTTTGTACCAGAGAAAAACCCTGAAGCAGTTGTTCAAACTTTGTTCAATACCAGGAAATTTATATTGGAGAAAAACCCTATGAGTGTAATGAATTTGGAAAAATATTTTTTTCAACAACAGCTTAGAAAACATGGGAGGAATTACACTAAAATATATTTTTGCAAATGCAGCAGTAAATATGAAAGAAATGATCCAAAGTTAGGTTTATATAAATATCAGAGAATTCACAATACAGATATCTAAGATACTGACACTTCAGACATTACACAAAATCAGAGTGCTGAGTACAGAAAGTTATCCAAAACAAAAGTTGGTAGATAACTAATAGTGAACAAGTTTTTGGCAGAGGTATATTTACATTCAGAGTACACTTTTCTTTGGAAAAAATTACAGGTTTTTTGAAAAGTGAATAATGTAATTCAACTCTCAAATTCATGGTTTTTTTTTTTTTGGTTTTGGTTTTGGGTTTTTTGTTTGTTTGTTTGTTTGTTTTTGAGACGGAGTTTCACTCTTGTTGCCCAGGCTGGAGTGCAATGGCGTGATCTCAGCTCACCGCAACCTCTGCCTCCCAGATTCAAGCAATTCTCCTGCCTCAGCCTCCCTAGTAGCTGGGATTACAGGCATGTGCCACACCTGGCTAATTTTTGTGGTTTTAGTAGAGACAGGGTTTCTCCATGTTGGTCAGTCTGGTCTCAAACTCCCAACCTCAGGTGATATGCCCGCCTCGGCCTCCCAAAATGTTGGGATTACAGGCATGAGCCACTGCACCCGGCGCATGTTTTTTCTTCATTCCTATTGTATTCACATGTGAAAGCATGTGATCAACTTGCTGCATCAAAGATATGAGATTTTTTTTTTTATTAGGTGGGCATTATTTATGACCTTTTCTGTGGAAGAGTAAGAACATTAAAATGAAAGATGCATGATGAAAATCTAAGTAGAGAGGCTCTTGTGGTTAACTGATAATATTGAGTGATGCATGAGGTAGGTGTTCAGAGTAATATTCTGCATTATAGTGAAAAATTTTTAATATTAAAATTCAATTATATCATTTTATGAATTGTGCTTTTCATAATGCAGTACATTTCAAAATTTTTAGATTATGTATGAACTTAGATTTTTAAACATGTTTTAACATGTTAAGACTTGTGCATTCAGTGAAGCGTTATTATGCCACAAACTAACCTACCTCACCTTACTCAATGGTGTAGGTAAAAGATGATAGCAATATATTATTTGGTTACATAGTGGACTAACATTTTTAGTAATCTCTTTTGCCAGTGGCTTTAAACTGCAGATAAGTTAAATATTCCCATAGGTTTTACATTTATATTTTTTCTTATTTAAATTTATTGTTCTTATTTTTCATGGGTACATAGTATGTTTTTATGCTGTATATGGCATGTTTTGATACAGGTATATAATATGTAATAATCACATCAGGGTAAATGAGGTATCCCTTACTAGCATTTATCCTTTGTATTTTATTTTAAAATGTACAACTAAATTGTTATGGACTACAGGGTTATTTTTATGGTCATAATAAAAATTACAAAAGTATGAATAAAATACATACATTTCTGAGTCCTGAATATTTTTAAAAATTTGTTATATATTTTTCTTCTAACATGT